>NC_000023.11:57291355-57607411 GCF_000001405.40 Homo sapiens | reverse complement strand
CAGGGGTTTACAGACAGAACTCTAATCTCCCAGGGACAGAGCACTTGGGAGGAGGGGCGGCTGTGGTCTCAGTTTGAGTGGACTTAATCCTTCCTGCCTGCTGGCTCTGAAGAGTCTGCGAGATCCGATGGAGGGGTATTCCTGTACACCAGCTCCACTAAGGGTCAGATTGCTTCCTTAAGTGGGCCCCTAATCCTGTGCTTCCTGACTAGGTGAGACCTCCCAACAGGGGTCATGAGACACCTCATAAAGGAGAGTTCTGACTGGCATCAGGTTGGTACCCTTCTGGGATGAAGCTTCCAGAGGAAGGAGCAGGCAGCAATCTTTGTTGTTCTGCAGCCTCCACTGGTGATAACCAGGTGAACAGGGTCTAGAGTGGACCCCCAGCAAACTGCAGCAGACCTGCAGAAGAGGGACCTGACTGGTAACAGGAAAACAAATAAACAGAAAACGACAACAACAACATCAACAAAAAAGACCCCACAAAAACCCCATCCAAAGGTAAACAGCCTCAAAGATCAAAGGCAGATAAATCCACAAATATGAGGAAAAACCAATGCAAAAATGCTGAAAATTCCTAAAGCCAGAATGCCTCTTCTCCTCCAAATGATGACGACACCTCTCCAGGAGGGGCACAGAACTGGGCTGAAGTTGAGATGGATGAACTGACAGAAGTAGGCTTCAGAAAGTGGGTAATAATGAACTTCACTGAACCAAAGGATTATGTTCTAACCCAATGCAAAGAAGCTAAGAACAATGATAAAAGATTACAGGATTGGTTAACTAGAATAACCAGTTTACAGAGGAGCATAAATGACCTGATGGAGCTGGAAAACACAAGAGAACTTTATGATGCATACACATGAAAAATAGCTGAAATGACCAAGCAGAAGAAAGACTATCAGAGCTTGAAGACTGTCTTGCTGAATTAAGGCAGGCAGGCAAGATTAAAGAAAAAAGAATGAAACAGTACAAACAAAAGCTCTGAGAACTATGGGACTACATAAAAAGACTGAATCTATGACTGATTGGAGTACCTGAAAAAGACGGGGAGAATAGAACCAAGTTGGAAAACACGCTTCAGGATATCATGCAGGATAACATCCCCAACCTAGCGAGGCAGGCCAACATTCAAATTCAGGAAATCCAGAGGACCCCAATAAGATACTCCATGAGAAGATCAACCCCAGGACACAAAATAATCAGATTCTCCAAGGTCAAAATGAAGGGAAAAATGTTAAGGGCAACCAGAGAGAAAGGCCAGGTCACCTACAAAGGGAAGCCCATCAGACTAACAGCGGGAATCTTGGTAGAAACCCTACAAGCAAGAAGAGATTGAGGGCTAATATTCAAGATTCTTAAATAAAAGAATCGTCAACCCAGAATTTCATATCCGGCCAAGTGATATTTCTTTTTTCACTTCATAATTTATTTCTCTTTTCACTTAATAAGTGAAAGAGAAATAAAATCCTTTTTGTACAAGCAAATGCTGAGGGAATTCATCACTATCAGGCCTACCTTACAAGAGCTCCTGAAGGAAGCACTAAACATGGAAAGGAAAAACCATTACCAGCCACCACAAAAACACAATGATGTGCTCAGACCAACAACATTATGAAGCAACTATATTAACAAGTCTGCAAAATTAACCAGCCAACATCATGATGAGAGGATCAAATTCACACATTACAGTATTAATCTTAAATGTAAATGGGTTGAATGCCCCAATTTAAAAATACAGGATGGCCAGCTGGATTAAAAAACAAGACCCATAAGTGTGTTGTATTCAAAAGAAACATGTCAGCTACAAAGACACACATAGGCTCAAAATAAAGGGATAAAGAAAAAATTATCAAGCAAGTGGAAAGCAGAAAAAAGCAGGGGTTGCAATCCTGGTTTCTGACAAAATAGGCTTTAAATCAACAAAGGTCAAAAGAGATAAAGAAGGGCATTACACAGTGGTAAAGGGTTCAATTCAACAAGAAGAGCTAACTATCCTAAATATATATGCACTCAATACAGGAGCACCAAGATTCATAAAACAAGTTCTTAAAGGCATATAAAGAGACTTAGACTCCCACACAATAAGAGTGGGAAATTTTAATACCCCACTGTCAGTATTAGATCATTGAGACAGAAAATTGACACAGATATTTAGGACTTGAACTCAGCTCTAGATCAAGTGGACCTGTTAAATTTCTACGGAACTCTCCACCCAAAAACAACAGAATATACATTTTTCTTGGTGCCAGAGGGCACTTAACTCCAAAAATGATCACATAATTGGAAGTAAAACACTCCTCAGCAAATGCAAAAGAAATGAAATCATAACAAACAGTCTCCCAAACCACAGGGCAATCAAATTAGAATTCAAGATTAAGAAACTCATTCACAACCACACAACTACATGGAAATTGAACAACCTAGTCCTGAATGACTTCTGGGTAAATAATGAAATTAAGGCAGAAATCAAGAAATTCTTTGAAACGAATGAAAACAAAGATGCAACATACCAGAATCTCTGGGACTCAGCTAAAGCAAATGAAAAACACAATGAGATACCATCTCACACCAGTCAGAATAGCGATTATTAAGAAGTCAAGAAACAACAGATGCTGGCAAGGTTGCAGATAAAAATGAACACTTTTACACTATTGGTGGGAATGTAAATTAGGTCAACCATTGTAGGAAACAGTGTGGTGATTCCTCAAAGATTTAGAACTGGAAATACCATCTGACCCACCAATCCTATTACTGCATATATACCCAAAGGAATATAAATAATTCTATTATAAAAATATATGGACGTGTATATTCATTGCAGCAGTATTCACAATAGCAAAGACATGGAATCAACCCAAGTGCCTATCAGTGATAGGCTGGATTAAGAAAAATGTGGCACATGTACAGCATGGAATACTATGTTGCCATAAAAAAAGAGCAAGATCATGTCCTTTGCAGGGACATGGATGAAGCTGTAAGCAATTATCCTTAACAAACTAACGCAGGGACAGAAATTGAAACACCACGTTCTCACTTATAAGTAGTAGCTGAACAATGAGAACCCATGGACACAGGGAAGGGAATACCATACACTGGGGCCTGTCAGGGGAGGACAGTTGTGGGGAGAGCATCAGGAGAAATAGCTAATGCATGCCGGGCTTAATACCTAGGTGATGGGTTGATAGGTGCAGCAAACCACCATGGCACACGTTTATCTGTGTAACAAATTGGCACATCCTGCACGTGTACCTTGGAACTTAATTTAAAAAAATAAAAGGAGTAGGATAATATTTGTTCATATGTGTCTAATAAATGCTTTTACCTTGAATATATAAAGAACCCCTAAAAATCAATCAAGAAAAAGACAAAGCCCTCACCCACTTAAATAACACAAGACTTCCAAAATAAGATATCCAAATATCCAACAAACATGAAAAGATTCTCAAGCCCATTAGTAATCATAGAAATGTACATTTAAAACTACAATGAAATACTATTAGAAAACCAATAGTAATGGCTAAAATTGAAAAGATGAAAATGCCAATTTTGGAAAAGACATGGAGCAAGTGGAACCATTACACATGCTACTATATAACCTTTCCATTCTTCTAGGTATTGACCCATAGAAATCCATATGAAAATGCACTAAAATATATGTTAACTAAAATAATGTTATCTGTTGCAGCCAAAATCAAGAAACAATGCAAATACTCATTAACATGTGAATGAATATCATGTGATTCTATAGAGAAATTCAAATAAATGAACTGCTACACTCAATGAACATGAATAAATCTCACAACATTGAGGAAATGAGTTCAGATGGAAATTATTACAAATAATAATAATATCAAGCAGAATACCATGCACCAGTTACCAATTCCAGGGGAGGACTCCAAACCCTTCTGCCCACTGCATCTGGGTATTGGAGTCACCAAAAAACCCCACAACACAGTTAAGCAATGGATGGAGCAAAGCTTTACTACATAAAGAGTGCATGATAAGCTTCAATAGTGTGCATTGATTTCCCGTGGCTAGATGATTTCTTTTGGCAGCCAACAGGGAAATTTGCCTGTGGCACACCCCTCTCCTGCTGCAGAGAAAGGATCCTAACCCTTCCCTAGGGAGGCAAGGTATGGCAGTGGGGTTTGCCAGGTGCCATGTAACCCACATGGTTAAGCAGAAAAATAGGCACGCATTTAGCTTGCACCAGGGAAAGATACTCTTGCACGAGGTGGTATGTCCAGCACAGTCATATGGGCATTTTATCTCTTGGTTAGGGAGTGTTCCAGGCCCAAGGTCCATAAATATGTGGCTAAGTGGGAACCAAAAACTGCAGACATGAGACTGCCTTTCCCAACAAATAATAATAATAACAACAATAAAGAGGACAGGTAGAAATTTTAAGAGAGTGAATTAGCGATTTTCATTATCTGAATCAAATATTCACTGTAAGTGGAAAAGAAAACACCTTTAAAGAGTATTTCTTTGTGGAAAGCACCATCTACTCTCAGTGTCAAATAAAATAACATTTAATTTGACCACTTTTGACATTTCATATGCAGGATGTCAATTAAGGAAATTTCTCTCTTCACTGGGTATTATGTACCCTCGATGATTCTTCATGTAGTTTGTATTAGACAATCATTGAATATTGTAATAATGTTTATTTGATGTCTTTATATTGCTCAGTATAATTGGAAAATACTGGAGAATATTGAACACGTGCCTCTCATCTTTGTTTCCAGATGCTGTTGATCAAAGGCTTTCGAGAAAGTAAAAAGTATGTGGCTCTATTGTAAAATCCTTCTTATGTTTTTTAGCCATGGTATATCCTGTTTTCTATCTTTGAGAATAATTCTCAATGCTTTTTACTATTGTCTTATTATGAATATATGAGTGGAAAGTAAATGTAATGTTGGCTGTGGATGCACATAACATTTTACCTTTGTAAAATATTTTTGTTGTTGTTGCAAAAGAATCTATTATGAATCATAGTCAGAACTACCTTACAAATATTATGAAATGTTATATTTAAGGACTGTATATATTTTGTATTCAAATTTCAAAGTCTAAATGCTATCAGATGCCCTTTGTAAAAATAAAATATAATATCAGTTAGCCTATTTTTTAAAGTACCAATTAATGACATAATACTTTAAACGGAGTTTTAAAAATAGGCTTCTATAAGTTTATATGATATATAAGATTATACTCAGCAGCAAATTTGATAAATATAAATGAATACTTTTAAACAACAGAATCAAATAGCTTTTTTCTTGTGAATTTGATCTTAACTCTAAGACCTACTTAATGTCTCACTCCCCAAATTTTTTCCAGAGACTTTATCACTGATCTATGAACGTGGGGGATACTTGCCTTTCTCCATTTTCGAAGTAGCCAACATTCTAAGGCTATAATTCTAAACATTTATCTAAATAAATGTTAACAGAGCTCTAAATTGTATTGCTTCCAAAATACAGAGATGATTGAGAGATATTCAAATAGTGTAGAAAAATGTACCCCTATCTCAAGCAAAATTTTATTTAGTCAAAACAATTTTTAAATGAAGATAAAATATTAAAGTGTAATTATTATCATAAGACATGCCAACTGATTAAATTATTGTTAAAATTATAATGAGATAATTAATAATTAGCACCAGGAAGCCCACAATCATATGTGAATTGAAGGAGAAAATGCTCAATTTTCTTACACATAGCAAGTACTAAAAGTTGACCGTAGTTGGTGTTAACTAGCTAATGTTGGCACTTTGGACAGGAAAGGACTCACTAAGGCAGCACTAAAGTTGAAACTAGCTAGGGATGAACTGCTGCTGCTCCTTCACTAGGGTTCTCTGTTCTGGAAAATTTCTAAGCAGACAAGTGGACAGTTTCCTTCTGTCATTTGAAGGGAGAAAATTCTGAAGTTAGCTTCTATGCTGTACTGTAAACAGAAGAGAGAGGTTAGTCTTGTTTAAAATAAATCACTTTCTTTTGCTATTATGCTATAAGGAAAATGTTTGTTTTTTACCCTTTGTGAGTGTTTTACATCTTGAAGGTTAAAAAATTCTTAGCATTAAAGAAAGCTTTATTTTGCTATTTTGAAACAGAATTTTCCCTAATTGTCAAAAATGTTAAGCTACTATTTTTTACCAGAAATCAAAACACTTACTTGTTTACCAGAACCTCCACCCCTGAGCACTGGTGAACTTTTAGGTTCCTCCATATTTAACTCTAACTTTCAGTCCCAAATGTTACATGAAATTAATTACTAGTTCATTCCTTCCACCTAGTGTGTCAATATAATACATTTATCTTTGAAATAATGTCATTATTTTTCCACAGAATTAAATTTTGCAATAATGTCTTATAATAAGAAGAAAAGAAATTTACACACAAAGTGTAGGCTTAATACCTTTCCTCATTCATAAAATGAGGGAGATAAGTACACAATCCCCAGGATCACTTATAGGTATAAGATTCATCAAGCCAAAAGTTGTAATCTAAAAATAAATAAAAAACAAAGTCTGTTTCATAATTGATTTTCATATTTTGCTATAGTTTATCAAATCTACTTCTCAGAAACCTGTCAAAGTTTTAGCTTAGAATACTTTTGTTGCAATACTTATACTTTAAACAAAATTTTAGTTTCTGATGAAATACAATATTTCATGATATTGTGCATATTGGTTTCCCATCATCAAAATTTATGCTCACTTACAGAAAATGGTACTTCTTATTCTGATAAACCTATAATGTACCTCTTAAAGCTTTGTTATATACTGGTTTTAATAGTTTCCCATATAGATCATATCTTTAAACATAAAGACAATACCTGTTACATAATTGATACTCAAAAAAATTTGGTATGGATTAATGAGTTATACTTTAGGTGTAATAATTCACAATACCTCATATATTAGGTATTCAATACATAAGTGCTGATTGATAGCTTAGTAAACAAATAGAATGGATGGTCTTAAGGGATTCAGAAATTGTTGGTGCTGTTAGGTATCTCTGTGTGCTTTGTTTTAAAATACCGAATTAGGATATTGTCTTTAGAAAAATAAAAAGTTAAAAGAGTTCTGTATGTCTTTAAATGTCAGCAATTAACAAGAGGGAGAAATTATCCTAGGTGACAATGTGGGACTCCTATCAAATTCACCATCAAATACAGTGTAATTCCTGGAGAGTTATTTACACTCCTTTAATGTTTTACCCTTTATTTTTGTTCCATTCCTTCTAGAGTTCTCTCTTTTAGTGGACAGGGAAACTACAAAATGGAAAGACTGTTGTAGGGGTTCTCACGCTATCACTTGGCTCATGATTCTCTTTAGTGACAGAAGAGATTATGAGTAAGATGCCTCAATGAGGCAATCTCACACAGATCCAGGAATACTGGACTTTTCACCACCTTACTCTTCCCAGCTCCAACTGAGACAGATGCAGGTAAAATTCACTTCTACTTTCATAGTGAACTGCTGAAATTCATGACAAAATACTGAATTCCTGAAATTATGATGCAGTCCTTTATAATACACAGACTATTATACCCTAAACATAATCAGTTAGTATACAGCACAGAAGGCATAGCTCATTTTCATACAGAGTAGTCTCAGGAAGTGATGTAATGTCCAGATTGGCATTGTCCAATAGAAATATAATGAGAGTTTATATGTAATTTTATTTTTTAAAAGAGCCATATGTTTAATTTTAAATTTTCTTTACTTTTCTTCTTTTTTAAAGAGATAGGGTCTCACTCTGTCACCCAGGCTGGAGTGCAGCGGTGGGATCATAGCTCACTGAAGCCTCAAATTCCTGGTCACAGTGATCCTTCCGCCTTGGCCTCCTAATGTGTTGGGATTACAGGCATGAACCACTGTGTCCTGCCTTTATTTCAGATTTTTTTAGTAGCCACATTAAAAAAGTAAGAAGAAACTGATAAAATTAATTTGAATATTTTCTTTGACCGAATCTATTGAAAACATTATTCAACATGTAATCAATATTAAAATACTAATCAGATATTTAATTTTTTTGTATTAAGCCTCTGAAAACTTTTTGTATTAAGGTTTATATTTTACTTTCATAGCACATCTCAATTTAGATACTAAATTTTCAATGGCTAAAGTGAAATTTAGTCCTGCTGAAACAATAGAGTTGTGTCTAACAGAAAAATGTTTATACTGCTTCAGTTTTAAAACTTAAATTTAATTAAGAATTCAGTTCCTCGGTTGCACTAGACACATTTCAAGTGCTGAATAGGCACATATGACTAGTAGCTACCATATTGGCCAATGCAGATCTGGATCATTCAAGACAAGCTGGGGAGGTCTCTCGTAATTCAAAAGGAGGTAAGAGGATCATAACTGTGTAGGTAGTTCTGAGAATGCCTAAAGGAACCCCCTGCCAAAAAAAAAATAAAAAAAAAAAGTAGCCTTTTGCTGTCTTCTAGAAAGTGGATAAACCACAATGTATCCACGTTATAATGTATCCTCATGCAGGATAACAATGCTTTAACAATTATTGTTTAACTAAATACACCATCTTTATACACTGATTCTCAGAAAGAACTCTTACTTCCCTCATTCTGTTAGTAAAAATATGATTATTATAGTCCCCAAGGAAACCTGAGTTACCATTCTTGGTTTCCATGATGATCTCTCTCTCCCTCCCTCCCTCTTTTCTTCCCCCCCACTCCACCGCAATGAGGTACTAAGTAATATTCCTTCTTCTCTTCAGTATTTGAAGAGATATTTGAAATTATCTGATATTTGAAATCTGTCTTCAAATACTGGAAATATTTGAAAATATTTCCAATACCTCTCCACTGACACCATCCTAGTCCTGGCTTCATCCTTCATATCACACCTTGATTGCTGCAAAAGCTTTCTCACTGATTTTCCTATTCCGGTCTTTCCCATCTAATCCACATTGTACACTTGCATGACATTAACTTTTCTAAAACATAATTTTCATTGTCTGACTCCTCTATTAAAACATATTTGGTGGCTCTTCTCTGTGCCCAGAATAAATGTCTCATTATTCTTACTGCTTTTTTTTTGTTAACCTCTTAATCATTTTCATTTGGTGCCAAAGTAAACATTTTTCCGTTTTTGTTCTTCAATAGTTTAATATATTATTTTTCTATCTCCTCCCATCAATGGCGATCTCTTTAAAGGTCAGGGTTATATAGTACTCCTCTCACAGACCCTTCAATATGTTATGGTGTAATCTTCACAATGACGCTCAGTAAATATTTGTTAATTTGGAATATATACAGTATAATCTCCAGCTTACAAATTGCTTTCTTATATGTTTCCTGGACATGAACATGAACAATGTAGGTCACAGAGACAAACTTCATAGTCTATCCATGTTTCTCGACTACTACTCAAGCATTTTGTTGTATTAATTATACTAATTGGTAAAAAATACAAATGTCAGTGTATTTTTAGCTTATGACCAACATGATCAATGGAGCCCCTAGAAACATAATTCTTTTTAAGCCATTATGTTACTGTGTTTGCAATTGACGAGAAGTTTTAATAAGTCAATGCCTGAGGAGAAGCAGAAAGGAAACAGGATGAAATTAAAACAAGTACCATTATTTAAAAGGAGTGATGGCAACTTTTTTCAGACTAGTTAAGTGCAGCTTGTCACCACCAACAGAATTATACCTATTACCTTGAAAGTGTAAAGCTGTTCTCCATGATTTTGCTAGAAAATGATGTTGAAAGAGAAATCATTTGAACAAATTTGTTCAGTGAAACTTTGTGAGCCCATGGACAAATAAAAGCTGTTCCCTTTGAGAACGTAAAATTTTCCTTTGAAAATTCCAGGAGTAAGTAGGAAAAGACATAGTTTATAATTTTTTATTGGGAGAAAGTTGGTTTAAAGAATTTAAAAAATGAAGTCACAGCATTAAATTATCTTTATGTTTATAAATTTATTTAATTTCCAAGACTTATGTGTTCATCTCAATCCTTGACATACTCATCTGCCAGACACAAAAAATAGTGGTCTATTTAAGAGGCCTTAATGAATGACAACATTTTTGAAATATGCTATATGAGTACAAATATTTCCAGAGCAAAGAGGGAAAACTGTTGATTGGGTAGACAATCAAATTCCAAGCATTTATCTGATTTACAGAAGTACATCTACTTTTTGTTTTTCACTAAATGAATACAACCACTTTTAATATATATGTGGGTGTGGCTGTGTGCGTATTTCAAAACACACACGCACACACAATAAAGAAACATTTCATAGTGGCAAAATTTTAGTGCACTGCCAAAGTGCTACAATAACTGTCATCCACAGACATCCACATGCAAACACTACTGGACTAGTACACTAGAGCAAATAAGAGAGTATTTAGCAAAACTCTCTGGCAAAAACTTTTAAAACGGAAGTAATGAAACAGAAATCCACTTCTAATTTGAAGGCTTTAGAAAATAATCTTCATTTTAATCACATATACACATAGTATTATCTAAGCTCAGAAAATAACTTCTTCCTGTATGCACAGAACTTCAATGTACACTCAGTAAATGTTAGCATTTGAAGAAAATGTGCCATGAGGAGAATGTCTGAGGGATAATGGCAGGAAAAAGATATATCCATTATAAAAGAGGACAGAAAGGCATAGCAAGGATGGGGATGTGCAGGAAAGGGAGGGGAGAGGGAAGAAAGTAAACTGACCATAAAAGAAACCAATTCAAATGGAAAACAGCGACTAACCTTGACACAGGAATGAATCATGAAGGCTGGATGGGTAGACTGGGAGGGGTGAAAAGAATGTATATTCTTTGTTTTAAGCTATATATAAAATTGTCAGATTTAGCCAAAGCCTAGTTGGAATGGGAGTTGGCTAAATTACATGAAATGTAACACAGACATTGCCAAAACTACTTCACAGGGTTGTTCTGAACAACGAGACACAAATTGTGAAGATGTTCCCCAAATTGCAAAATGCTACACTAATGTAAGACAGATAGTTTACACAATATTCCAGTTCAATCTTTCCTTTCAACTCTGGGAAATTACAAGTGCAAACAATGAGATCTACAGAGCACAGAAAGAAAAAAACCTCCACTGCTCCATTATCAGATTTTCAGGGAACAGCAGGCTTCACAGTCACAGAGAAGCCTGACTTTCAAAACAGAGCAAAGATGGTGACAAACTGATCGAATGGAGAGATACGCTCTTATGCATGTGGGCAATGTCCCCACTCCTGGTATTACCCACAGCAATTCTTAGAGGGAAAATTATTCAGTAGAGGGAAAATTATTCAGTAGAGGGAAGAGGGAGTAAACAGATTCCCTTGCCTACTTCACCCTAAACTTCATAAACCTCTTTTATCTGCACATGAATAAGATTAAACTACTCCAATTATTGTCTTATAAAAGGAAGGACTGAGAGGATAAAAATGGTACAAATTCACCAACATATGCCAAAACACAGAGTATCTTTCCTTAACATAAGAAACAGGAAGAGAAGAAAATTTAACAGTGTGTCAGGTATGTGTGTGCATTGTTATAATCAGTTAAAAGCTAGAAAACTGAAGCTTAATAACTAATTTATTCAAGGCCACTTATCCAACACCACAGAGCCAAAATTTAGCCCTGGGTCTGTTTCATGTCAAAGTCCTGGCTGGCAATTTCCACAAAACTGCCTTCCATCATCAAAAGAAGTTAGGAAGATAAACAGTGAGAACAGCCAACACATTTTTTTGCTATCTATTTTTTCTTGTTAGTTCTATGACTATTTAAGAAAATATTTTGGCATTGAATAATATTTCTATTACATAGCATTTCCTCCTTTGCTAATGCTTAGTAACTCTACAAAGATGACTCATCATATCAGAAGCATCATGAATTAATGCATTTATCTGCAGCAGCTGCTAATACCACAAAAAGAGAGAAAACCACAGATTATGCGCCACCTACTAAATGAACACAACATAACCTATGAAACATTCATGCCAAAAGCCATGTTTCAATCTCATCAAGTCTCTAGACATAACTAGCAAATTAAAGAAACAGAGGATAGAGGAAAGCAAACATTACCATAGGGATGCAATTAGCAAAACTTAAATTGTGGCAAATGCTACATGTGAAACAACCTCATTTCATAAACAAAATCGCAAGGAAAAAAAGAAAGATGAAAGGGAAACATACGGATTAAGAAGACACTTAGGAGATTTACGGGATTCTACTAATTAAAAATAATAAAACAAGTAGCATTTATGAGGCAATTGGAAGTTTGAACCCTCACTGGATATTTACTGATATTAAAGAATTACTGTAAATATCACTTGCGATAATGGAATTATCATTTTTTTCCATATCATCCCATAGCTTTCAGAGATATATAAAGAATATTTATGGATAAAATGATCAGATGTCTGCTATTTGTTACAAAATAATACTAGAACATGGGGAGTGAGTGAGGCTAAGTTAAAAAAGATTGTTCATGGATTCATAATTGCTGAAATTGAGTGAAAAGTACATGGATGTTCATCATAGTATGATGTAACATTATGTATGTTTGCCAAAAAAAGAACATGTCAGGGCTGGGGGGGCAGTTAAAAAAAAACGCATGCCACATCACTGAAAAACGTCCTCATATTTTTCAAGGAAAGAAATGTATTATCAAGGAATCACAGAGCAGAAAGACCTTAAAAGCAATCTATTCAAACCACCTCAATTTATAAATAAGGAAATTAAGGCTCAGATAGGTTAACTGACTTGCTCAGGGTCACACAACTTGTCAGTTCCAAACTCAAGATCAGAATTTAAATCTCCAAACTTGTAGTCCAGGGCTGTGCTCTTTTTGCAAACCAAAAAGAAATGACTGCACTTAAATATTTAGTCCAGAATATCCTCAAAATTGACTGTAATAAAAGTAAGCCACATGATGAGGAATGAATAGAGTTGGTTCATACCAAAAATGAGCTGCCAGTCACAGTGATAAGATCTGTTTCTTTCTGAGAACCATGGTTTCCTGCTGCATTGGGGAATCCAAACTGGGTTTCTCCCTCCTGTCCAAAGAAGTCAGAGTCAGGATGTACGTTCCACTCCGCTTTGGTTGGTGTCAGTAGTTCTGAGACACTGTTTTCACAAAGGGTGCTCGAAGGAGTCAGAGCATCTGTGTCCACTGTTAGCTTACTGCTGGGTGTCAAAGCCTGAGGCTCTGGACTGGAGTTTTTCATGGCCAAAGAGTCCAGAGATCCCAATGGCCCCACACTTACACTTGAGACCTCATCCATATTTAAGGAGCTCTGCTGAAAACCAGTGGCCGCCGTTCCAAAAAAGAGAGAGGTATCCAGACTTTGAGGAGGGTCGCTGGTGGCCATCAAGGACGGAGGGTCCACAGCCTGCCCTACGGAATTATTATTATTAGCAGGGAGGTGCCCTGCCAGAGTCGAGCTCACAGAAGCCACATCAATAGTCAAGATTCCAGAGTTCACCAATGCTGTGTCCAGCAATGCAGCAGAAGTACTGTCAGGTACATCAGAGAAGAGAGACACTATCTCTGCATCACTGAGATCATTCTGTCTCTGGCTGGTAAGTTCACTGCTGGGTGTGAGAGAATTTGCTGCTTCTAGCTGAGCTAAGAGATCCTGGCCCACCTTATGCCTTTTAACCATGTGCGTCTTCATGCTGTGCTTGGATGTGAAGAGTTTATTACAAGAGGAGATCGGGCAACGGCTTTTCCAAGTGTCCACATCCTGCAGGTGTTTCTTGGAGTGAATGTAGAGGCTACTGCGAGCAGAGAACCTGGCACAGCAGCCTGCCACAGGACACACGAAAGGCTTTGTGCCCAGGTGGGTTATGCTGTGGCCTTTCAGATGTTCCGCCCTCGTGAAAGATTTCCCACAGCCTTCCACAGGGCACATGAACCTCCGGTCATCGTCGTGCTTTCTTTTGTGCCTTAAGAGTTTGGACATGCTAGTGAAGTTCCAGCCACAGCCATCAAAGTCACAAAGGAAAGGTCTCTCGCCGGTGTGACTCCGCAGGTGAATTTTCAGCCTACAAGCCTTGTCATATTGTTTGCTGCAGCCAGGAAAAGAGCAGGAAAACAGTTCCTGTTCCCTGAAATGGGCGCGGTTATGGGAAAACAGAGCACTCACTGTGATAAATGTCTTCTTGCAGCCAGAAAACGCGCACTGGTAAGGCCTCTCCGGTTCGAAGTGGCTGCGCTGGTGGGCGCTGAGTTTGGCCTGCGTGGGGAAGCTCTCCTCGCACACCTCGCATTTGAATGAGTTCTCCTGCTCATGGCCCTTCATGTGCGCCTTGAGGTTGTACACTGTGGTGAAGCTCTTGCCACAGCCCTCTGCCGGGCAGCCAAAGGGCCGCAGTTTGTCGTGCGACTGCAGGTGCCTCTTGAGCTTGTAAGAGGTGGTGAAGGTCCAGCCGCAGCCACCCAGGGGGCATTTGAAGGGCCTCTGGCCCTGGCTGCTGCTGTGCGTCAGCAGGTGCACCTTCAGCTGGTGCTTCTTGGCGAAGGTTTGCCCGCACTGCGCCTCGGGGCACAAGTACAGCACCACGCCTGGGCCGGAGCCCAGCGGTCCGCGGGGGCCCAGGGCGGCGGCCGGGCCCTCCGCCTCCTCCTCAGGCGCCGGAGCTGGCGCGGGTTCGGCCGGCTCAGCTAGCAGGAGGTCTGGCGGCAGCTCTGGGCAGTCACCCGGGTGCGCGGCATGCGGGAACCCAGCTTGCGGGGCGATCAGACACCCGGGCTGCTGGGCAGGAGCGGCCCCTGGCTCCCAGGCGTGTGGTGGGGGCGTGGCCAGGGTGAGGACGCCGTTCTCAAAGCGCAACAGCAGGTCCTGGTTGTGGATAGTGACTGTGCCCGCGAAGGCCGCGGCGGGGCCGGGGGCGGAGATCGGGGCCGGAGTGGGAACCGCGGACAGGCAGCGGGGGCCTAGCGCAGTGGGCCCCGCGGGATTCGCGCCGCTCTCGCCCCCCTGGAGCCCCGGGCCCTCCTCGGCCTCCTCCCTCAACACAGGCCCTGCGGCCTGACCGGAGCCCGCGGTCTCCACGTCGCCACCCACCGGGTCAAGCAGCACCAGGAAGAAGTCGTCGCCGCCGCCGCCGCCGCCGCCGCTAGGTTGATCGGTCCTCGGCGCCAACAGGCTTGGGCCAGGGCCCCGTGATGCCGTGCTGGCCTCCTCGCGCCGCCGCCCGGGCCCGCCATCTTGGGGGCCCCGGAGCAGCAGGAGGCGGCGCGTGGGGACCTGGCCAGCCGGCGAGTCAGGGCCTCGGTGGACTCGGCCGCCACCCGCGGGGATACCGCCGCCGCCGCCGCCCTGTAGTGTCCCGCGAGCCGGGAGCAGCTTCGGGATTTCCATCTCTGCGTCCGAGAGGCTCGGCTGGAACCAGAGCCGAGGAGGAGGCGCGATCCCGCCCCCTGCCGCGGGCCTGAACACGTTCCTGAAAGGGGAAAAAAAAATGTGCAATGCGCAGAAACTGGCCCTATCAGATATTAAAACGTATTTAACGCCACAGTGATTTAAATATTCTGGTACTGGGTCTCTGGAACAGAATAGAAAGCCCAGAGGTAGAGCCTGGTATGCATAAATACGTTCTACAGTTAATATAAGTAAGTAATTAAGGGGGTCTTCTGAGGTAATGGGGAAATGACGACAGCTTGTTCAGTAATGCTGTGGAACACCTAGGTATCTATCCGCTGGAAGCAATTTTAATCCATGACTCATTGTATATACCCAAATAAACACACCCCAGCCCCTCCCAGTGTTAGATATGTTGCTTCGTACTTTCTGTGTGTTAAAATTTGCTGGCTGGCTGGCTGGCTGGACTGATGGATGAAAGACAATTCCTGAGAGAAAAAACTGTCTCTGTGTCAGCATTAAACCACCATAGCGCTGGCAGTTCTGCTGAAAATGTCCTTCCCCTTCCCACCTCCCCGCGGGACAACTTCCATATTCACAATTATCTTGAGCAAAGTCTTCGGTACAATTTGCCGCATAGTTCAAATTTTGTCTTGCTGATACAGACATTAGAATGAGTGAGAGATGCGGCCAAAACAGGTTAGCACTCTTCAGCCTAGAAATTCAAAGTCTGGAGGATGAAACAATTTACACTGAAATCTGGAAAAAACCCAACCTTCTCCTGGCTTCTCCCTATACAGTGCACAACCTAAACCAACTTTTGCCCTTCCACCATCGGTTGTACTGTGATAAATTTCATGTCTGCTCTCACAGCACAATGAGGGCATTCATTCCTCAGTTTACTCTGCCTTCTCCAGCACGTGGAGGTCTCTGGGCAGGAGTTTCAGTTAAATGTGTTTAGGTTAAATCCTGAGTCACTGCAATGGATTCTGCCAAGTAAAAGGCACAGACGATCTTGTCCAATCAACCTGGTGTACCTGTTCACATTTAAGTGTGGTGGCCCAGGCTTGCTGGGCCTGTGGTGCCTAATGATCTTATTAATGATGATGACAATCCTTCATTTTGTCCGTTACGACTGAGTTGGGAATTGACACAAATATAGGGTGAAATATCTGAGATAAGAAAGCTTAGAGTAATGACTAGATTGGTGGTGGTGGGGGAGCGGGGTGTAACCTGTTGTTTAAATACTCCCAGCTCTCTCGCCCTCTTTTAATGACAGTGGACACTTGGTCTCTTGAAAATCAAGCTATTCATCCATAACTATTTGAACCTCATCAAAATGTCTACTCCACATACTTTTCTTTCTATTACTTTTTCTGGTGGAAGCATTTTTCAAATCTGAGGTATAGAAGAGTGCATAAAACATATTTGTATCGTTTAGATTATTTTACAAAAGCAGACACCTGTGTAACCAGGACCAAGGTCAAGCAATAGACCACTGCCAGCCTTCCAGAATACAGCCGCTGTACTCCTCCCAATCACAACCCACACTCTCCTATATGAATATAGTCATTGCCCTGACTTTGTAATAATCATTTCACTGCTTTCCTTTATAGCTTTATCACTTTTGTACGCATCCGTAAACAATAGAGTTGATACGAAGTTGTATAAATGGAATCATACGGCAAGTTTCCTTTTATAACTTGTTTCTTTCACTCTGTATTATACTTGAGACTCATCCATGTTGTTCATAATAGTTATAAGTAAGTAGATCCTTTGTCTCCATCGACTGTCGTTCCAGCATATGCTTATAGCAAAGTGATTATGGTATGATTATACCACTCCATTCTACAGCAGATGAACATTAGGATTGCTTCTATTTTTCAGCGATTATTATGAACATTCTTGCACATTTCTCATGGGACACATGTGTAAAAATCTCTCTAGGGTATATATCCAAGAATAGAATCACAGGGCCATAGGGTATGGATATCCTGAGCTTTACTAGATGATGCCAAATTGTTCTCTGTAGTGATTGGGCAAGCTGTCAATCCCACCAGCAGCACAGAGAGCCCCTACTGCTCCACATCTTCACCCACACCAAGTATTGCCAGAATTTAAATTTTGCCAGTCTACTGGTGGGCAATACCCAAATTACTAGTAAGCTTTAGCACATTTTCGTGTTTATGAGCCTTTTGGAGTGTCTACTCCGAAGAAGGCCTATTCAAATTTACCTCTTTTAACCCATGTTTCTATTCTATTGTTCATCTAGTACTTACTGACTTAATGAGCCTGTTAAATATTTTAAATACTAGTCCATACCTGTGGCCAAAATATTCCCTTGTTCTGTTTGTATTTCCCATTGCTTTGTGCTGTGTTTTGTGAACAGAAGATCTTAATTATAATATAGTCAAATTCATCATTCTTTTCCTGATGGTTAGTGTGTTTTTGTTTTAAGAAATCTGTTTTAAGAAATCTTTTCTGTTTTAAGAAACCCTGGGCCATGAAAGCGTTTTCTATATTTTCTTCCAAAATACGTATGCTATTGCCCTTCACAGTCAGGTCTTAATCCACCTGCAATTGATGTTTGTATATTGTGTTGAGTGGGGTTCCATTTATTTATTTATTTATTTATTTGTTTGAATATCCAGTTTTCTCAGTGAACCACTTATTGAAAAGTCTGCCTTTTGCCAACTGATTTACAGTGCCATAAATCAAGTATCTACCCATATGTGGGCTAGTTCCTATACTCGCTATTAAGTGCTCGGCCCTATTTGTTTGAAATATCACACTGTCTTAATTACTACAGATCCATAGTCAATTCTGATATTTGGATAAGGCAGTAAATTCTACATCTTTCTTCAAAAGTGTCTTGGCTACTTTTGGCCCATTTCAATTCCATTTAAATTATAAACTCATCATAAAAACTTCAACCAACAGCTAGTTTGGGGTTCTAATTCATATTGTGCTGATATTTTAGATTTGACTTCTCAATATTGAAAGTTTGGTTCATGGCTTTGGTCTGTCTCTCCTTTTAATAAGGTCTCCTTTAATGTGCCCAAGTAATACTTTATATTTTTCCCAAAAGGCAACTTTTTTGTCCTAGGCACTTCATATTGTGCAAATCCTGTTTGGAATTTTTACTGTCTAAATTTGTTTCTGGTAAATAAATAGGATGCAATTGACTTTTGTTCATTAAGATTTTATCCTACAAGCGTATAAACTCTTCTATTGATTCTAATAATTTGTCTGTAATACTTTGTGGAATTTTATGTACACTGTCATATCATCTGTAAATAGTGCCAGTCTTTCTTCTTCCTTTCCAAATATCTTATTTCTTTTTCTTGCTCTACTGCTCTGTCTGGGACCCCATCACCACCCCCAGTAAACTATTGAATAGAAGTGGTGATAGTGGACATCCTTACTTGATGAAGCTCTTAAAGAGAAAGCTTTCAGTGATTCTCCATTAAGAATGATGCTTGCTGTAGATGTTGTGTTCTGTAGCAATATAGATTCAATCCAGAGATAGAAAGCACACAGTGATCTAGAAAGAGAAGGTTTAATATAAAGAATCATTAAACTATGATAAAATATCTTATATAGAATACAAGACAACTCTATATGGGGTTTTCTGGGACTGGGGGAGAGTATCCAAGGAAAGACAAACTTAGAATGAAAGCTTCTCCCCAAGGCTGGATTTCATACCTAATTGGAGAAGAACCCACTGGATGGCAGAGAAGTTCCACTGGTTTGCCAGTACCTGAGCTGGTCTGCAGAGCTAGAACTGGTCTACGATCACAGAGGAAGCAAGAAGCCCCCCTTTGAAGCACGGTAGTGTGGACAAGCAATAGCTGGTGGCTAGTAAGTGGGTGTGAAGTAGGGGTTGGGGGGCCTGGCTCAGTTGGAGGCCTGGAGTAAACAATGCTCCATGCACAGGATTAGGGTGGGGTCTCAGTGTTGAGATGGCTGCAGTATTGACAGGACTACATGAACCTGGTCGTGTGTGTGTGTGTGTGTGTGTGTGTGTGTGTGTGTGTGTGGCTGTGGAGCAAGTGAGCAGAGAGAAGCAGTAGGCAGATGACTTGGAGAACAGCATGTCCCTATCAAGAAGGCCACAAGAAGCTGATCATTAGGGCACAGCAGGACTGCAGGTTTGCTGAGAGACAGTTGTTCTGGGCCCAGGCCTGAGACAAAGCTTCTTGAATGTCCTCACGTCCACAACTCTGAGAACCAGAAATCATAGAAGTACCACTTCCTCTTTCAGTGTCTGTCCCTACAGAGCCCCCTATTAAGTAAGTGTAACATTATGCTCTTCGATGTTACTTTAAAGGAGAGATGCTTAAAGAATCCCTCTATTATCAAAGAATATATATTGAAGGGTGAATTTGGAGCTGAGAGGTAATAAATTGATAACTGGCTTCATATCCTGTATCAGGTTAGAGGAGTCCACACTCTCTGTAGTCAGTATCAATAGTAGGCACCCTACCTGCCGGGTTATAGTTGTTGATTGCACAAGGGAGATTATCTACCACCCTGTTTTTGCTCTGGTAAGCCTAGACTTCACCACTGGGTAATATATCCATGTAACAACAAGTACATGGTACTTATCCATGTACTTGTACCCCCTAAAGATATACAAATGGTTAAAGTAACGGGCCTGGCTATTTCAGGGGTTTTAGTTGACTATTTAGGATTCTTGGTGGGCTCAGTGTTCCCAGGCCTGAACTGAGTTTGCTGCAAAACCCAGCCTCTGGCACAAAGGGGCGTCAGTAGCTTAGGGCATAGAGCCTGTGAGCCTTGTGGTCCAGCCCTACCCAGGACTTCCTGCTCCACTCACAAGGAGAGCTTTGTTGTGTTGTGAGATTGCTTCTTCTACCATAAATGTGAGTAGCAAATGTTCTCTTCAGGAGTAGACTAATTTTGTTTATACCTTAAATGCTGCTCTGTTCCCCTGCACCAGAGTTAAACAGATAGATAAAAGGTGCTTGGAATTCTTTTAAAGTCATGCCTTACAGAGCTGTATCCTTGCAGGAGCAAGGCAGTAGATTCCTGAGTTAGTCTCACAAAGCGTATATCTCTAACTATATTGGCAGTTTGAGTGTTTTAGTCACACTTTTCTCAATTTGATTTAGGGCCCAAAATAGGCAAAAATTCATGGGAGAAAATAGCCCATGGTTTTGCCCTTCTTGTGTGAAATCTGAAATTCGTTCACTACCAGGAGGAGTCGCTATTTAAGCCTGCCCCATGGGTAGCTGTCACCACTAGGCTTCCAATCAGTAACTCTCACTTGCTAGAAATGGCTTAGAACTAGGTTTTGTGGAAAAACAGGCTTCCAATCTGCAGTCTCTGAAGGAGGGTGACACAGCTGTGGTGTCTTTCCTTGCAGGAGAAAGGGGAATTGGGAGCCTCCCATGTTGAGCTGTCTGGGAGGAACCCAACAGGGCTCGCATCCTCCCACTGACAACCTTAGTGACCCCTGTCTGGTAACCTCTGACCCCACACACAAGAGCAAAAGGGGGAAAGAGGAAGTGTGAGCAGCGTGAGGATGCAGTTCTTGTTCACCGTGTCCCTCACCCCAACCTTCCATGCTCTGGCCAAGGATGCGGAGCTAGAGCCAAGGTTTGGTAGTTTCTGAAAACTCAAGTAGTTGTTTTTCTCTCTGGTCCAGGTAGAGGATGAGGGTAGGGTTTTGGAGTAATTCCGCGTTTCTACCAAGGGTAATTCCGTGATTTTGTCGCACTTTTGGTGAGCTTGACAATTACTGCACTACGGAAACCAGCCCAGACACAGAACCCTGCGACCCCTTCAGAGAATGTAATAAAATTTCCTAGCACAACGGGTTTCTGTTACATTAAGCTCCAATATTCCCTCAAAGTTTGTATGGGTGTAGGGTTTTTCTTTCTCCCACTGTTTTGTCTTAGTGAAAACACTCCAAACCACACACAGGGATAGCTCGGCCACTCTAAGACATTGCCCAGGTTCTGATTCCCTTCCATCTGCAAGCTTGTCTTCTTCTGAATGGCTTAGAAGAATTTCTAAAAAGGGAATCACTTGTGCAATGCTCTCCCTGTGGAGGGTGTTCGATCAGCAACTCTGTGGGGCCAGAAGATGGACCAGGGACCGATGGCCTGAGCCTTCTCCAGAAAAATTTCACACTGTTTGCCAGCAGAATGCATCACTAGGAAGTACTGTCTCAGTTATTTGCTCAGTGGGGGATTTTACAGGTCCTGAGCGCCTGCCTTCCATGTCTGTAGAATAATCAGCCATCTTTGTGTCCTGACTATCAGCTTTAACTTCTAAAAAATGTATGTGCTACTTTTCTATTGCCTTTCATCCATGCGACCTAATGAAGATAGAATATTCACATGTATCTTTACCTTCTGGCCATTTCACTATCATCCTCACCTCCGCCCTCCTGACTCCAGGGGTGTGGTCCCTAGGCCCTCAAGCAGCAGTCAGACAGCCTCACTTGGGCCTGGGCTTTGACTCTGAGTTCTCCATCAGGTGAACTGTGGACTCAGGGTCAGCTCATCGATCAGGACCTGGTGCAAAATGAGGTCCACCAGCCAGATGGTCACCTTGATCAGAGGAAATGCTTTTCCCTGCAGCTGGATCAGCGGCAGAGTTAATGGTTTTCACATCATTTATCCCACATGTACAGATGCAAGACCACTGCTTCAAAGCCCACTGGACTCAGATGGTTGGCTTTTCTTCCTGAGCTTCTCCCAAACTCTCAAGGCCCAGGTGGAGGAGAGGTCTTTAGTTCCTGACCACTGGCTGCATTTTGCCTCACTCTGCCCTGCACATGACTTAACTTTTAATTAAAAAAAAAAAGCACTTCCCCCAAAGGTCTGATAAGCTATGAGACCTTTCAGTGGGAACTTGAAGGATGAGGAGGCATTGGGAATGACAGTTTACAAACTGTCCACAGGAATTGATTGGAATATTTTGGTAATAGAATAGTCTAAATGCAGTTAGCATGTTTGAGTACTTGATTTATCACGTGGTATTTGGAAAAAGTGCTCATCACTTTTTTATTTTCTCACCAATGGGAAACTAATCCAGAGTGTTCCTTAAATATCAGATTTCTCACCCATAACTCTGTCCACAAGTGGTTCATATCTGAGTCAAACATGCTCCTATACCATCAAAGTAGAAAGCAGGACCTTACTTGAGATGCTCTTTACTAATAGTGAAAAAAAAATACATTTACACAATGTGAAATAATACTTTGAAAATATGACCCAGAATGTGAAAAAGCAATAGCACACTAAAATAAACACATAGAAACAAATAAGTCTTGACAATTTTTATTATTGATGTTTAAAGATAAGTTAACTGGCAAATACATCGTCAAAGACTTTGCAGTACTTAAGGTGTTGTTTTGAGGGTTCTTTGATGCAAGACATATTGCCATTCCTTAAATTTAAAACTAAATGAAATTATATGTAATTTATATAATTTATAAAATACAAATTATTTATATTTTATAAGCATAACTCCTTACCAATAATCATAAGCCCTTACCACATTCAAAATGACGATCATTTTCATCACCTCCTAAGGCTTTCTCATGCCCCTTTATGTTGCTTCCCTCCCTACCCATCCCCATCCCATCCCTGTCCCTAGGCAACCACTGATCTACTTTCTCTCACTATAGATTAGTTTGTGCTTTATAGAATTTTATATAAATAGAATTATACACTGTATACTCTTTTTTGTCTTCTTAAAATCAGCATAGTTATTTTCAGATTCACCCATGCTGTTATTTCTATCAATAGTTCATTACTATTTGTCATAGTATAGTATTTCATTGTATGGTAATTTGGATTGTTTCCAGTTTTTCACTAGCACAAATGAAGCTGCTATAAACATTCACGTACAAGTCTTTATGTGGACCTATGCTTTCATTTCTCTTAGATAAAAACTCAGGAGCAGTAGTATTGTACGTGTGCACTTAACGTTTTAAGTTCAGGTTAACGTTGCAGATTGATCTTACCTTGCTGCTTAGAGTCCTGTTGATAGTACAGATTGAATGGATTTTATCTCAGACCAGTCAGATTAATCAGAGTGGCTAAGTGGCATGTTATTATATCAGTGGGTTAAAGATGACCTCCATATATTGGCCTCTATGTTGCCATTATACTTTCTCACAGCAGGCTGAAAGCCTGGCAATGACAAACTCGAATTTTTTACACATGCAATTGCTTTAAATATAGCTCAAGTAAGCATATGTGTAGCCATTTAGGGCTTGCCTGCCTCGCATGCCCCACAAAACTGCACCAACATCTGCTAGCCACGGTTAAGGCAAACACAGGGGCTATAAAACACCCCATGCCACTGCTTGCCTCCAGAGCTCTCTGACCCAGAAACTCCCTCTCCTGATGCTGAGTCATATCGCCCAGACACATAAGGCTCTCTCCTATTCTCCTCTACCCCAGGAGTTACCTTGCCTTTTTCCCCTTCTGGGCAGTGGCCCTCTGCTGCTGCCTCTGGAAGGTCTGATGTGAGAGACTTCCCCTCTCTGGCAACCTGTCTAAGCACCGCCAAAATAAAAAGCTTCTTGGCTGGGCGCGGTGGCTCGCGCCTGTAATCCCAGCACTTTGGGAGGCTGAGGCAGTGGATCACCTGAGGTCAGGTGTTCGAGACCAGACTGGCCAACAGGGTGAAACCTCGTCTCTACTAATAAATACAAAAATTAGCCCGCCATTGTGGCGGGCACCTGTAATCCCAGCTACTTGGGAGGCTAAGGCTGGAGAATCACTTGAACCCAGGAGGCGGAGGTTGCAGTGAGCGGAGGTTGCGCCACAGCATTCCAGCTTGGGCAGCAGAGTGAGACTGCTTCTCACAAAAAAAACAAACGAAACAAACAAACAAACAAACAAACAAACAAAACGGTTCTTGGGTGCTACTGCCATCTTGTGGTCATGTCTTCTTCATTGATCAGCCCAGAAATCTTGGAACTCGCAGCAAGTGGTGAGGAGGATGGGATTTTCATGAACAAGAAATTGGCATAGCGTCTACCCAGTCAGTAGGACAATCAACTGAAAAATCAGTCCTAGGCAGCCTTAAGTGCTCAGACTCTACATTTAGAATGCCTCTGTAGCAGTTTTGCGTAGCATCGCTCATTGCTGTACTGCAACAATATACTTTTTGCAGTCTCCTTCTATACCTCATTGACCTGGCCTAGAGGTAGCACCAGTAGTTGAGTGAACCCACACCATTAGAACTGACTTTTGGGGTCTTAGATGCCAAGGTACTGGGGAAGGAGGTCAGCCCACTTACCTGGGTCCCCCCCTCAGTTGACATTGGACATTGTGCACCTGTGTACCTGAATAGAAAAGGAGAGGGAGTGCATGCCTCTGGAATAAGGGTGAACCACCCTGGACTGCATAACAGGCTATGGTGGGAAATGCTCCCTGTGGCTGGGTTGAGGATTTGGGGTAGTCTGAGATGTGAGGATTTCCTCCTCCCCGGAGACAGATAGGCAAGTAAATGAGCCAATAAGGCAGAGACATCAGGCCAAGGCTGGTCTCCTAAGGGCAGCTGGTGGAAAGGCCTTTGCAAGCAGGTAGCATGCCTCTACTGTTGTTACACTCAATTATGATGTTGCAGTTGTCATCATGCTATCCCCTCTCCAGAGGGATATTAATATCTCAACCTTTGGACTGAGCTAGCTAGAGTGGTACTTAAAGTGACTGAAGGCAAAGAAATTTATATTCCTACCCCTCCCGGAACCCTACAGGAGGTTGCTGTCAGGTCGAACAGGCATTCCTAACCATGAGGCATGTGCTGACCTTGCTGGCAGCAATTTATCACCAGGATGCCACCTGGAGAAGAGGTAAGAGCCCAAAGTCTTGGGAGAGACAGTTTGGACAAGAGGTCCCTGGAGAGGAGAATAGGTGCTCTCCAGAAGAAAAGGCAGCAGTGTCACCACGGTAGGGACTGGGATAACTTATCCTCTGCTTTGCCTGTAGCCACTCAGAAAGTAATAAAAATGGAAAAGACAAAAAGGGAGAGCCAAGAAAGAAGGGTCAGTTCTTGCTCGGAGGAGGAGTCCCATCCTCTCTCTTACCTGAGCCCCAGTCTCTCCTTAAGTACCCAGGCCAAGAACCAAATAAACAAGGGGCTGCTTGGCTCTATAGAATGCATCTGGCAGGGAACAAATTCCATGTAATGGGGAATGAAATTAAACAATTGGGAGCGATAGTACATGATGGAAAAATTGTGTCCCCTCTAATGGATCCTGTAGAGTAGAATTTGGGAAGAAGCCACACAGAGGCATTGGACCTCTGTTCACATCTTTATTGCTGATGTGTATTTTTGTGGATTAGAAGGCTGCCCACCCTACATTAGACCTCATAATGGCCTGGGAAGACTGTCCAGGGAAAAGATTAGCCAAGGCCAAAGATCTCCTCCACCAGTTGGACATGTTGGAGTGGAGACAACAAATGAGGTGTGGCAGGATGACTTGACAAGACTGGAGGAGTCTGAATCGAGTCCTGAGTCCACTCAATTGTTTCTTTGGGGGCAGGGCTCCTGGGAAAATCTTTACTGGGCATGGTGGCTACTGCTAAAACAATTCAAGAGGCCATAGCTGCACTGGATTTAATAGAAACTCATGAAAGACAAACTCAGAGTCAGGTGCTGCCTGCTAACACTATAATACCCTACCTGGCCTAAATCAAAGTTACTATCAACACTGAGGCTGCCCCCTCCTGGGCCAAACAAGCCACCTATGTCCAGGCCCTCATGTGTGCATCAACCATGAGATGAAGAAAAGAGGTTATGTTAGACCCTAAGGCACAAGAAGGTCCCAAGTTGGATGATCTCTGGTGAATCATTGGAGTAATTGCAATACTTACTAGGGTTAGATTACAACCCCCCATTCCACAACTGTCTCTGATCACTGCCAAGTGGCTAAGAATCTTCTCCCACACAGGGATCCTGCAGTGTCAGAAGGCCCCTTCTGACAGACAGTTGCCCTTTTACCGTATTAACTGTGGCTTGGGCACTGACAAACAACACTGCTAAGTCTGTCAGTCAAACAGAGTTACTTGATGCAGCTTGAACCTGCCCCTCCTGGTTCAGATGGTTCATACACCACAGCAGAAGCTGAAGCAGGACACTGAAGGACATAGATAAACAAGGAACACTGATTCCTACTACGTCGCCTATCAATTCCCCATATGGCCTACACTAAGAGACACTACTAAGTGGAGACTATAGACCTTAGAGAGTTCATCGAGGATGTTCCCTTTATTAGAGCACCTCTATAGGACATTGTGACCTTAATGGGTGTCATTCAAAACATCAGAGGTAAGTTTCTATTAATCCAGGGCATCTAAGGCCCCCTGAAATTGAATCTGCAGTTATAGACTTGGCTAACATATTCTATTCAGTAAAAATTTCACAGTAGAGTCAAACACATTTCACTTCTACCTTTGAGAGTCAATAGTACACCCTTACCCACTTGCTTTTGGGGTATTTATTTTGTTTCCCCTCATCTTCATTGTGATGCTAGCTTTTTGGGGGGGGGTATTTAAATAGCCCTTCAATTGCACAGTCTTTGCCAACAGGACATAGGCACCTGCCCCACAATTTCACCAGAAGCTATGCTTTGGCATTATATCAGTGACATCCTCCTCACGGAACCTGTCCAAGACTGTTTCACAGTTGATCACAGCCCTCAGTAAACCACCTTTCACTGAGGGTGGATGGGTAATTACACCATATAAGGTATAAGTCTGTAAAATTTGGGGGGCTACACTAGGCACTTGGAAGGGTGAACTATTTCCAATCTGATAAAAGACAAGCTCCTCGTGCTTAAACTGCTCACATCAGAAAAGAAGCCCCAACATTCATTAGGAATGATAGCACAACGTATTCCTCACCTCCAGTGTTTGCTGACCCTTGCCGAATTGTCTATTGAGACACCTGTAAAGCTTCCCTTTTCCAGTGGGGACCTGAGCAACAACAGACACTGGGTGAGCTAAAGGAGGCTAATACTTTGGCTCTCCCTCTAGTGCTCCCAAGGACAAGACTTGCAATTACAAATTTCCACTGCTCCCAAATTTGCTTCCTGGAGCCTCTGGACCAAATGGACAGGTAAATGCCTACTCGTGAGCTTTTGGTGTAAGTAGCTCTCAGCCTCAGCCTAAAGTATTCACTAGACAGACACCCACTGGCAGCATACAGGGCACTTACCAAAACTGAAGCCCTGACGGGGCAGAGACAATTACCCTATGGACCGAGATTCCTGGGTTATGGACAGAGCTGCGTGTAAAATTGGATCAGCAACAGAAGCTTCTTTATTAAAATGAAAATGGTATCTACAGGATTGAACTACACCTGGACCTCCTGGAGTATCACTACTGTGTGAGGAAATGGCCACATACTCTGTCAGTGAGGTTAACTTGCCAAAACCCCTGGAAATGCCCCTGGCTCTTGCTCACTGGGGAATGGAGGGAGAATAACCAGCACTCTCATAACAAGAAAATTAATGTTTTTCTTTACTAATGGAGTGAGCACAGGGTATAAGGGAGTCAGATAAAGGGTAGCCACAGCCTATCACCCTTATTCAAATACTCCAACTTCCATATGGAGATGGGCCAAAGTGCCCAATGGGCCAGGCTGTGTGCAACACCCCTAGAAATAGAGAAAGCCTTTGACAAACATTTTACTAAGCTTCACATTTTTGGCAACTCCTGGTCAGTGGCTAATGGGCTATTGCGTTGGGACTTGGGCACAATCAGGGCTGGAACATACAAGGCTGACACATTTGGGGTAAGGAGATGTGGGGAAAAATATCAGCACATTGGCCTCCACTCTGCACATTTTTGTACACCATACCCCAGCTCACAGCAAACAATACAACCTGGAAACTGACAAACTAGCTAAACTACCAAAGTAGTTAATCCTTTTGAAAAGAAGGGAGACAGCAGAACTTTGGTAAGAGCTACCCTACACCCTACACAGGAGAGGTCAGGGCATTTGGGCATCATGAGACCATGAAAATCAACTGTTAATGAGAAATAGACCCAGCAGAGAGACATTTACGTGAAGCTGTTAGGGACTGTACCACAGGCCAGAAATCTAAAGACTTGGACCTACTGCATGGGAGGAGAAGAGTCATATCAGAGCTGGCAAATCCAGTCAATTTCATTGGGCCTCTCTCTGAAGCAGCAGGAACTATTACATATGCCACAACAATGTAGAAATACCTACACAGGCTTACTCTTGGCTTATCCATGAAAGGCACCAAGCTCTGCTAATGTTATTGAGGAACTGATAAAATAGTTTGCATGGCCTTTGGGAGTACAAAAGTTACACAAAGTTATCCAGTCAGATCAAGACTCTCACTTCTCTGCAAAGAAGATTCAACCATAGGTATTACCAAAGAACACTGCTTGGATTTCTCATTTATTCTCTGGTCCTCCAGTAACAGGTATCACAGAATGACACAATGGGCTTTTTAAAACAAGGGATATTGAAAGAACATGCAGGACAATAGCATTCCCCGTAGCCAAAAATACTGCCCATAGTCATGCTTACATTAAATCCATACCTCTCTGGCATAAATGCACCATATTTTAATTCACAGCAAATGAGGAGACCACCAACAGAGATGCTGCAACCTCTGGTAATGTATGTACCCACTGGACACAACATGATTTACCAGTATTCACGAACATGGGGGCCCTGAAGTGACTGCCCACAGCAAAGGAACTTGGCTCTTTCACCTCTTCCTTCTCCCTCATAGAAAATCCAGAGCCTGGCCATTTTTTTCCCCTCTCAATCCTGACAAGGATCTGGCATGGACCACTCACTCTGGGTGCATTCTCAGTCTTAGTCTGCTCATTACCCAGCATAAAACTAGCAAACCACCCACCACTATCTGGAGAGGGAAGCATCCTCATTTTCTGCCCATGTACTTTGCTCCACTAAGGGCACTATGGAACAAACCTTGACCTGCTCCGGACACCCAGGAGATTGAACCAACAACCCTTGTATCTGGTAACACCATTTGGGTGGCTCCCAGAGGACAATCAGATTCCCTACTGCTGGCTGCAAATGACCTCCAACATTTATGCCTATGCTGTTGTTCTGCCCTTTCCTTACCTGAGAAAGTTCCTACCTTCACCAATGTCAATTATCCCTCGATTGGTGGATTGCCCTATCCCTGGTGATCCATACCCTACTGCTGGCAAAGTATGTGTGGAAACAGCATGCCACATACACACCACAGGGAGACCCAACATAGGTCAGACTGGGGACAAAGGGAACCATGCTCCCATTTCACTGGTTCAGTCTACAGACATCAGCACTGAAGCTAGCACTTCTCCTCCTCTCTCTACTACCACTTAGTAACATCCTTCCAGCTAAGTCAGATTCTACAATTTTGCTTGTGACTCACAGATGCCTTCTAAGCTCTGTGGGCCACCTTTTCCTTCACATCAGATGAAACCCCCTATTACTAACTCATGTGCCATTAAACAAATGGAGAAATGGGCCACTATCTATGGAACCCAGAGATAGTATGCACCAAATATTACAACCAGGATGCTTGTGATTGGCACTAATGTTATTAATGCTAATGTTTTATAGCATTAAAATGCTATAATCCAGATCCAATACCCACAAGCCCTACAGGATTGCATAGATAAAATGACAGCTTTTTCTGATCCCTGGAATGATAATAAATGCAATCGCCGCCCACAGTGTATACCTTTACAACTATTGGCTTCTTTTCCTATTAATTATAATGATCTTTCTCTGCCTCCATTAGAAGCCCCACTATTGAGATGGAAAGAAATTGTATTAGCCAAGCAGGCAAGTGAACCTTACCATGGACCTCCTCACTAGTTGCTAATCAATGCATACCAGGAAGGTAATGCATACTACACATTACCTGGGCCAAGACATTTCTTAAAATACACACACACACACACACACACACACACACACACAGTACAACCAGCTTGGGAATTCTTCCCTAACCTAATCTCAATACACCAACTGCAAGTTTTACATAAAACTCAAAGGAAGAGAACTTTACAGCAATTGCAATGCTGGCTGCCCACAGTGAACAAATCATAGCTCATGGGTATCACAGCAAAGACAATTCTTACAAAAACCATATTTGATCCCATGGAGAAATCTAACTACTCTTTGCATGGGAGTTTCTCCACCCACATTGATAGCTATTTGCTTATAGCTATTATGAAATTTGACAGGCCTACCAAAGCCACAATCATTAAAAACTTAGAAAATATTTGAGGGAAGTTGTTGCCCAGTGTTACTTTTCTGGGGGCTCCTTAAAATCCATACACACTCCAAAACTACAGAAGATAGAAACAATACTGAGAAGACCTGTAGTGAAACTAACTTGGGAGGAATGTTTTTCATCTTTATTAAAACATTTGTATGTCTTTTCATTTCTTTTTCAACTTTCATTTTAGATTCATTGGGCACATGTGCAGGTTTGTTACCTGGGTATATTGCATGTTGCTGAGGTTTGGGGTACAAATGATCCCATCACCCAGGTATTGAGCATAGTACCCAACAGTTTGTTTTTCAACCCTTGCTCCCCTCCCCCGTCCCCCTCTAGTAGTCTCCAGTGTCTCAGTAGACACTTTATGTCCATGAGTACTTGGGAGGAAATTTATTGGTGTAGTCACACTGCCACCTCCCAAGGGGCCACTCCTGAGGTTATTAAAGGTATACAAACCTCTTCCCCATGAAAGTTTCCCCTAAAATGGAGTCCATAAAGTATTTGGTCCCCCACTGAAACACAATAATGTTGCAATACAAGGGAACATAAAAGGGACCTATGCCTTGATACAATTGATATATTTTTTTTTCTTTTTTGAGACAGAGTCTTGATCTGTCACCCAGGCTGGAGTGCAGTGGCGCGATCTCGGCTCACTGAAACCTCTGCTTCCTGGGTTCAAGTGATTCTCCTGCCTCAGCCTCCCAAGTAGCTGGGACTACAGGAGCATGCCACCACACCTGGCTAATTTTTTTTTATATATTTTTAATAGAGACAGGGTTTCACCATATTGGCAAGGCTGGTCTGGAACTCCTGACCTCATCATCTGCCTGCCTCGGCCTCCCAAAGTGCTGGGATTACAGGGGTGAGCCACCGTGCCCGGCCGATGTCTATTTTTAAAAAAATACTTGGTTCACCTGTTTTGTTCACTCATATGCAAGTGCCTCATAATTCAGGATCTAATTTGTTGTGTGGTTAGACTAACAACGTTCTTCTTGGACTGCCAAGAGCACCTACAAAACCTATCCCACACTCATGGGAACACATCAATACTATTTATTATTGGCAATCAACAGGAAACTCAAGCACAACACACAACAGTCACAGCAAGGAGGAACATGCAATTGCCGACTACACCAAACGTGCCTATAGCCTTAGCCACAGCAACATATAAGATGGTAAATCTAACCTAATGCAGGGTTTGCTTCTGCCAACCTGATTTTAGAAAACATAGTGTAATACTTCTTTCCTGGCAACGCTGCATCATATACCTCACTTATTTAGATGAGCCGATTCCCCTAACCATTGACATTCAACAACCTTATCCAGAGGCTTATCTCACATAAATGTATAGACAATGGTGGGCTGAGCCCACGACAAATTTAGTTAACCCAGGTGCTGAATGCAAGGTGGATAACACAAGCTTGTTTGACTATACCATTTTCTGCTCCTATTAACACAACCTGGAACTTCTGGAACTTCACGAAGCCATGTGAACTTCCCTTCAGTGGAACACAGAGAATACAGGCAGCCAGGGAGCCTGGTGGTCCTGTAAAGGAATCAGATGGCTTCCCTATCACAATCTTCTCCTCATCCAACCCTGAAGAATATTTCCTGCACTTGGGATTGGTGCAAAATTCCAGTAGAATTTTATTCAACAGTGGAACCCCCTCCGCCAAGTACTTGCCGCCACCAAACCACATTAGCTGCAACTCCCCAATGTCACAAATGAGCTTTCCAAATAGTTCTTCATGGTACTAACTTCCCTAGGATCACTAATTTTGGAGGCAGTAGGAACAGCATGTGTGTGGAACAGCACACCACAATTAAGAGAAACACAGATAGCCATGTTGAAGGAATTACCCACACAAATTAGATAAACAGCCCAAGGACCAAAACTCTTTGCTGAATCTCACTGTACTTTAGGGGCTATGGTGTGAGATAACTGCATAGCCCTAGGTCAGGTATTTGGCTGCTGGAGGGGTTGGAGGGCACGAGGGCTGTATGCTTGCTAAAATTATCTTCCTGCATGTGTGTAGATAATACCAAGTTTTACAGATAGCTGGGGTCATGTAGGAAAGGGGATATAAATGCCACTCTGTTGACTAAACGGATTGATCAAATCAAAATTGTCTCCTTTTCTAATCTATTCTACTGGCTGCCCAAGTGGGCAGACTGGCTGAGAACTGGCTTTAAAATCCTAATTTGTAGCCTTATAGCATTCTGGGTCTTGGGGACGCTTCATCGCTGGCTCCCAACTCAAACGCCGTGAAATAGCATACAACTTAGATTGTAGAATAACATGGGGCCAAGGCATGGACTGTTATATAAGTGGGTTTAATATCTTTAGATTGTGCCATGTATCTTGTCACCTATATTCAGAGATGGCTAAGACCATTAGCTCAAAGCTCATTGGAACTCAAATCAAATGTTTACACATCCAATTGCTTTAAATATGGCCCTCAATAAGCACATTTTTAGCCATTTAGAACCCACCCACATTGCACCCTCTGTAAAACCAGACACACCATCTGCTAGCTGTAGATAGGACATACTCTGGGGCTGGAAAAAAGCCTCAAGCCTCTGATGCCCATGGGAGCTCTCTGACCCAGAGACTCCACACCAGGCTGCTGAGTAACATCCCATAGACACGTAAGTCTCCTGTCCAATTCTTCTCTTCACTGGAAGTTGCCTTGAACTCTTCCTCTTCTGGGTGGTGGCCTCTTGCTGCTGCCTCTCTCTGGAAGGTCTCCTGCTTTGAGGGAAGTTCCCCTCTCCTAAAACCTTTCAAAGGGCCACCCAAATAAACCACGTTGTGTGCTACTGCCATCTCCTGGTCATGACTTTTTCCTTGCTCAGCCCTGACATCCAGGAAATCACCACACATACTTAATGGCAAAATTTGTCTGAAGCCTTGTTCTTTTTGCTTAGGATTATCTTGGATATACAGGCTCTTTTTTGTTTCCATATGAAATTCAAAGTGATTGTTTCCAATTCTATGAAGAAAGTCAGTGGTAACTTGATGAGGATAGCACTGAATCTATAAATTACTCTGGAGAGCAGTATGGACATTTTCACCATATGGATTCTTCCTATCCATGACCATGGAATGTTTTCCCATTTGATTGTATCCTCTCTTATTTCATTGAGCAGTGGTTTGTAGTTCTCCTCCAAGAGGTCCTTCACATCCCTTGTAAGTTGTATTTCTAGGTATCTTATTCTCTTTGTAGCAATTGTGAGTGGGAGTTCAATCATAACTTGGCTCTCTGTCTATTATTGGTGTATAGGAATGCTTGTGATTTTTGCACACTGATTTTGTATCCTGAGACTTTGCCGAAGTTGCTTATCAGCTTAAGGAAATTTTGGGCTGAGATGATGGGGTTTTCTAAATATACAATCATGTCATCTACAAACAGAGACAATTTGACTTCCTCTCTTCCTATTTGAATACCCTTTATTTCTTTCTCTTGACTGAATGCCCTGGCCAGAACTTCCAATATTATGTTGAATAGGAGTGGTGAGAGAGGGCATCCTTGTCTCGTACCCGTTTTCAAAGGGAATGCTTCCAGCTTTTGCCCATTCAGTATGATATTGGCTGTGGGTTTGTCATAAATAGCTCTTATTATTTTGAGATATGTTCCATCAATACCTAATTTATTTAGAGTTTTTAGCATGAAGGGGAGTTGAATTTTATCCCAGGCCTTTTCTGCATCTATTGAAGTAATCATGTGGTTTTTGTTATTGGTTCTGTTTATGCGATGGATTATGTTTATTGATTTGCATATGTTGAACCAGCCTTGCATCCCAGGGATGAAGCCAACTTGTTCGTGGTGGATAAGCTTTCTGATGTGCTGCTGGATTTGGTCTGCCAGTATTTTACTGAGGATTTTCCCATAGATGTTCATCAGGTATATTGGCCTAAAATTGTATTGTTTTGTTGTGTCTCTGCCAGGTTTTGGTATCTGGATGATGCTGGCCTCATAAAATGAGTTAGAGAGGAGTCCTTTTTCTGTTGTTTAGAATAGTTTCAGAAGGAATGGTACCATCTCCCCTTTGTACCTCTGGTAGAATTTGGCTGTGAATCCATCTGGTCCTGGGCTTTTTTTGGTTGGTAGGCTATTAATTACTGCCTAAATTTCAGAACTTGTTATTGGTCTATTCAGAGATTCAACTTTTTCCTGATTTAGTCTTGGGAGGGTGTATGTGTCCAGGAATTTAGCAATTTCTTTTAGATTTTCTAGTTTATTTGCATAGAGGTGTTTATAGTATTCTCTGATGGTAGTTTGTCTTTCTGCAGGATCAGCAGTGATATCTACTTTATCATTTCTCATTGTGTCTATTTCATTCTTCTTTCTTTTCTTCTTTATTAGTCTGGCTAGCAATCTATCAATTTTGTTAGTCTTTTCAAAAAACCAGCTCCTGGATTCATTGATTTTTTGAAGGGTTTTTCATGTCTGTAGCTCCTTCAGTTCTACTCTGATCTTAGTTATTTCTTGACTACGGTTAGCTTTTGAATTTGTTTGCTCTTCCTTCTCTAAATCTTTTAATTGTGATGTTAAGGTGTTGATTGTAGATATTTCCTGCTTTCTCCTATGGGGTTTTAGTGCTATAAATTTCCCTCTAAACACTGTTTTAGCCGTGTCCCAGAGATTCTGGCACATTGTGTCTTTGTTCTCATTGGTTTCAAAGAACTTATTATTTCTGGCTTAATTTCGTTATTTACCCAGTAGTCATTCAGGAGCAGGTTGTTCAGTTTCCATATAGTTGTGTGATTTTGAATGAGTTTCTTAATCCTGAGTTCTAGCTTGATTGCACTGTGGTCTGAGAGACTGTTATAATTTCTGTACTTTTGCACTTGCTGAGGAATGTCTTACTTCCAATCTGTGGTCAATTTTAGAATAAGTGGTATGTGGTTTTGAGAAGAATGTATATTCTGTTGATTTGTGGTGGAGAGTTCTGTAGATGTCTATTATGTCAGCTTGGTCCAGAGCTGAGTTTAAGTCCTGAATATCCTTGTTATTTTTCTGTCTTGGTGATCTGTCTAATATTGACAGTGGGGTGATACAATCTCCCACTATTACTGTGTGAGAGTCTACAAAGTCTCTTTGCAGGTCTTTAAGAATTTGCTTTATGAATCTGGGTGCTCCTGTATTGGGTGCATATATATTTAGGATAGTTAGCTCTTCTTGTTGCATTGATTCATTTATCATTATGAAATGCTCTTCTTTTTTTTTTCTTTGTTGGTTTAAAGTCTGTTTTATCAGAGAGTAGGATTGCAACCCCTGCTACTTATTTATTTATTTATTTATTTATTTATTTTGCTTTCCAATGCTTGATAAATATTCCTCCATCCCTTTATTTTGAGCCTATGTGTGTCTTTGCACATGAGATGGGTCTCCTGAATACAGCACACTGATGGATGTTGAATCTTTATTCAATTTGCCAGTCTGTGTCTTTTAATTGGGGCATTTAGCCCATTTACATTTAAGGTTAATATTGTTATGTGTGAATTTGATCCTGTCATTATGATGCTAGCTGGTTATTTTTCCCATTAGTTGATACAATTTCTTCATAGTGTTGATGGTCTTTACAATTTGGTATGTTTTTGCAGTGGCTGGTACCAGTTGTTCCTTTCCATGTTTAGTGCTTCCTTCAGGAACTCTAGTAAGGCAGGCCTGCTGGTGACAAAATGGCTCAACATTTGCTTGTATGTAAAGAATTTTATTTCTCCTTCGCTTATGAAGCATAGCTTGCCTGGATATGGAATTCTGGTTTGAAAATTCTTTTCTTTAAGAATGTTGAATATTGGCCTCCACTCTCTTCTGGCTTGTAGGGTTTCTGCCGAGAGATCAGCTGTTAGTCTGATGGGCTTCCCTTAGTGGGTAACCTGACCTTTCTCTCTAGCTGCCCTTAACAGTTTTTCCTTCATTTCAACCTTGGTGAATCTGATGATTATGGTTCTTGGGGTTGCTCCTCTTGAGGAGTATCTTTGTGGTGTTCTCTGTATTTCCTGAATTTAAATGCTGTCCTGTCTAGCTAGGTTGGAGAACTTCTCCTGGATAATATCCTAAGATTGTTTTCCAACTTGGTTCCATTTTCCCCAACACTTTCAGGTACACAAAGCTGGAGGCATCATGCTACTTGACTTCAAACTATACTACAAGGCTACAGTAACCAAAAGAGAATGGCACTGGTACAAAAACAGATATATAGACTAATGGAACAGAATAGAGGCCTCAGAAATAACGTCACACATCTACAACCATCAGATCTTTGACAAACCTGACAAAAACAAGAAATGGGGAAAGGATTCCCTACTTAACAAATGGTGTTGAAAAAACTGGCTAGCCATATGCAGGAAACTGAAACTGGACCCCTTCCTTACACCTCATACAAAAATTAACTCAAGATGGATTAAAGACTAAATGTAAGACCTAAAACCATAAAAACCCTAGAAGAAAACCTAGGCAATACAATTCAGGACAGTGGCATGGGCAAAGAGTTCATGACTAAAACAACAAAGGCAATTGCAACAAAAGACTAAATTAACAAATGGGATCTAATTAAGCTAAAGAGCTTTTCCACAGCAAAATAAACTATCATCAGAGAGAACAGGCAACCTACAGAATGGGAGAAAATTTTTGCAATCTATTCATCTGACAAAGGGCTAATATCCAGAATCTACGAGGAACTTAAACAAATTTACAAGGAAAAAAACAAACAACTGCACCAAAAAGTGGGCAAAGTATATCAACAGACAAAAAGAGGACATTTATATGGCTGACAAACGTATGAAAAAAAGCTCATCATCACTGGTCATTAGAGAAATGCAAATCAAAACCAGAATGAGATACCATCTCATGCCAGTTAGAATGGCTATCATAAAAAGGCAGGAAACAACAGATGCTGGAGAGAATGTGGAGAAATAGGAACACTTTTACGCTGTTGGTGGGAGTGTAAATTAGTTCAACCTTTGTGGAAGACAGTGTGGCGATTCCTCAGGAATCTAGAAACACAAATACCATTTGACCCAGCAATCCCTTTACTGGGTATATACCCATGCTTATAAAACATTCTACTATAAAGCACATGCACACTTATGTTTATTGCAGCACTCTTCACAATAGCAAAAGACTTGGAACCAACCCAAATGCCCATCGATGATAGATTGCATAAAGAAAATGTGGCACATATACACCATGGAATACTATGCAGTCATAAAAAAACATTGAGTTCATGTTTTTGCAGGGAAATGGATGAAGCTGGAAACCATCATTCTCAGCAAACTAACACAGGAACAGAAAACCAAACACAGCACGTTCTCACTCATAAGTTGGAGTTGAACAATGAGAACACATGGACACAGAGAGGGGCACATCACATACCAGGGCCTGTCAGGAGGTGGGGGGCTAGGGGATGGATAGCATTAAGAGAAATACCTAATATAGATGAGGGGTTGATGGGTGCAGCAAACCAACATGGAACGTGTATACCTATGTAACAAACTGACACATTCTGCACATGTATCCCAGAATTTTAAGTGTAATAAAAAAAAGTACAATCATAGGAATGCAAGTGCTATCAGTTGTAAAATCATTCAAAATAAATTGAAAGAGATATACTTATATTCTAAATACTTTCTTGATACTTATTCAATATTTGATTATCGTACTATAATTCTTATAGGTTAAATATCATTGCCAAATTTAAATACCAAATGAAGAAAAAACCCTTTTAAATAAACACATTTCTTTCATATATATATATATATATAAATATTTATATATATATACAAATATTTTTATATATATAAATATTTATATATATATTTATAATTTTTTTAACTATACTTTAAGTTCTAGGGTACATGTGCACAACGTGCAGGTTTATTACATATGTATACATGTGCCATGTTGGTGTGCTGCACCCATTAACTCATCATTTACATTAGGTATATCTCCTAATGCTATCCCTCCCTCCTCCCCCCATGCCACAACAGGCCCCGGTGTGTGATGTTCCCCTTCCTGTGTCCAAGTGTTCTCATCATTCAATTCCCACCTATGAGTGAGAACATGCGGTGTTTGGTTTTTTGTCCTTCGATAGTTTGCTGAGAATGATGGTTTCCAGCTTCATTCATTTCTCTACAAAGGACCTGAACTCATCCATTTTTATGGCTGCATAGTATTCCATGGTGTATAGGTGCCACATTTTCTTAATCCGGTCTATCATTGTTGGACTTTTGGGTTGGTTCCAAGTCTTTGCTATTGTGAGTAGTGCCGCAATAAACATATGTGTGCATGAGACTTTATAGCAGCGTGATTTATATTCCTTTGGGTATATACCCAGTAATGGGATGGCTGGGTCAAATGGTATTTCTAGTTCTAGATCCCTGAGGAATCACCACACTGACTTCCACAATGGTTGAACTAGTTTACAGTCCCACCAACAGTGTAAAAGTGTTCCTATTTCTCCACATCCTCTCCAGCACCTGTTGTTTCCTGACTTTTTAATGATCACCATTCTAAGTGGTGTGAGATGATATCTCATTGTGGTTTTGATTTGTATATTTCTGATGGCCAGTGACAATGAGCATTTTTTCATGTGTCTATTGGCTGCATAAATGTCTTATTTTGGGAACTGTCTGTTCATATCCTTTGCCTACTTTTTGATGGGGTTGTTTGTTTTTTTCTTGTAAATTTGTTTGGGTTCTTTGTAGATTCTGGATATTAGCCCTTTGACAGATGAGTAGATTGCAAAAATTTTTTCCCATTCTGTAGGTTGCCTGTTCACTATGATGGTAGTTTCTTTTGCTGTGCAGAAGCTCTTGAGTTTAATTAGATCCCATTTGCCAATTTTGGCTTTTGTTGCCATTGCTTCTGGTGTTTTAGTCATGAAGTCCTTGCCCATGCCTATGTCCTGAATGGTATTGCCTAGGTTTTCTTCTAGGGTTTTTGTGGTTTTAGGTCTAACATTTAAGTCTTTAATCCATCTTGAATTAATTTTTGTATAAGGTGTAAGGAAGGGATCCAATTTCAGCTTTCTACATATGGCTAGCCAGTTTTCCCAGCACTGTTTATTAAATAGGGAATCTTTTCCCCATTTCTTGTTTTTATCAGGTTTGTCAAAGATCAGATGATTGTAGATATGTGGTGTTATTTCTGAGGGCTCTGTTTTGTTCCATTGGTGTATATCTCTGCTTTGGTGCCAATACCATGCTGTTTTGGTACCAATACCATGCGGTTTTGGTTACTGTAGCCTTGTAGTATAGTTTGAAGTCAGGTATCATGATGCCTCCAGCTTTGTTGTTTTTGTTTAGGATTTTCTTGGCTATGTGGGATCTTTTTTGGTTCCATATGAACTCTAAAGTAATTTTTTTCCAATTCTGTGAAGAATGTCAGTGGTAGCTTGATGGGGATGTCATTGAATCTATAAATTACTTTGGGCAGTATGGCCATTTTCATGATGTTGATTCTTCCTATCCATAAGCATGCAATGTTCTTCCATTTGTTTGTGTCCTCTTTTATTTCACTGAGCAGTGGTTTATAGTTGTCCTTGAAGAGGTCCTTTACATCCATTATAAGTTGGATTCCTAGATATTTTATTCTCTTTGTGGTAATTGTGAATGGGAGTTCACTCATACTAACATAGTTAAGATACTAACATAGTTACAATACTAACATAGTAACAATACTAACAATAGTTAGTATTGTTTTGTGTGAATTTGATCCTGTCATTATGATGCTAGCTGGTTATTTTGCCCATTAATTGATGCAGTTTCTTCATAGCATCGATGGTCTTTACCATTTGGCATGTTTTTGCAGTGACTGGTACTGGTTGTTCCTTTCCATGTTTAGTGCTTCCTTCAGGAGCTCTTGTAAGGCAGGCCTGGTGATGACAAAATCTCTCAGCATTTGCTTGCCTGTAAAGGATTTTATTTCTCCTTCACTTATGAAGCTTAGTTTGGCTGGATATGAAATTCTGGGTTGAAAATTCTTTTCTTTAAGAATGTTGAATATTGGCCCCCACTCTCTTCTGGCTTGTATGGTTTCTGCCGAGAGTTCCACTCTCAGTCTAATGGGCTTCCCTTTGTGGGTAACCTGACCTTTCTTTCTGGCTGCCCTTAAGATTTTTTCCTTCATTTCAACTTTGGTGAAACTGACAATTATGTGTCTTGAGGTTGCTCTTCTAGAGGAATATTTTTGTGGTGTTCTCTGTATTTCCTGAATTTGAATGTGGTCCTGCCTTGCTAGGTTAGGGAAGTTCTCCTGGATAATATCCTGCAGAGTGTTTTCTAACTTGGTTCCATTCTCCCCATCACTTTCTGGTATACCAGTCAAACGTAGATTTGGTCTTTTCACATAGTCCCATATTTCTTGGAGGCTTTGTTCGTTTGTTTTCACTCTTCTCATCTCTAATCTTGTCTTCTCACTTTATTTCATTAATCTGATCTTCAATCACTGATATTCTTTCTTTCACTCGATTGCATCGGCTATTGAAGTTATGCATGCATCAAGAAGTTCTTGTGCCATGGTTTTTAGCTCCACCAGGTTATTTCAGGTCTTCTCTACACTGTTTATTCTAGTTAGCCATTCGTCTAACCTTTTTTCAAGGTTTTTAGCTTCCTCGTGATGGGTTAGAACAAGCTCCTTTAGCTCGGAGAAGTTTGTTATTACGGATCTTCAGAAACCTACTTCTGTCAATTTGTCAAACTCATTCTCTGTTCAGTTTTGTTCTCTTGCTGTCGAGGAGTTTCGATCATTTGGAGGAGAAGAGGCACTCTGTTTTTTGGAATTTTCAGCTTTTCTGTTCTGGGTTCTCCCCATCTTTGTGGTTTTATCTACTGTTGGTCTTTGATTTTGGTGACCTACAGATGGGGTTTGGGTGTGGATGTCCTTTTTGTTGATGTTGATGCTATTGCTTTCTGTTTGTTAGATTTCCTTCTAACAGATCCTTCAGCTGCAGGTCTCTTGGAGTTTGCTGGAGGTACACTCCAGACCCTGTTTGCCTAGGTACCACCAGCAGAGGCTGTGGAACAGCAAATATTGCTGCCTGATCATTCCTCTGGAAGCTTCGCCCTAGAGGGGCAACCATCTGTTTGAGGTGTCTGTTGGCCCTTACTGGGAGGTATTTCCCAGTCCAGCTACATGGGGGTCTGGGACCTGCTTGAGGTGGCAGTCTGTCCATTCTTGGAGCTCGAACGCCATGCTGAGAGGACCCCTGCTCTCTTCAGAGCTGTCAGACAAGGACGTGTAAGTGTGGAGAAGTTGTCTGTGGCCTTTTGTTCTATTATGCCCTGCCCCCATAGGTGGAATCTACAGAGGCAATGGGCCTTGCTGAGCTGAGGTGGGATTCACCCAGTTCATGCTTCCTGGCCTCTTTGTTTACACTGTGAGCTATTCAAACCTCAGCAATGGCAGATGCCCCTCCCTGTGTCAAGCTGCAGCATTGCAGGTCAATCTCAGACTGCTGCACTAGCAGTGAGCAAGGCTCCGTGGGCTGGGACCCACTGAGCCTGGCATGGGAGGGTATCTCCTTGTCTGCCTGTTGCTAAGACTGTTTGAATAGTGCAGCATTTGATCAGGAGTGTACCATTTCCCCAGGTACAGTCTGTCACAGCTTCCTTTGGCTAGGAAAGGGAAATCCCCTGACCCCTTGCATTTCCCGGGTGAGGCGATGCCCCGTCCTGCTTCAGCTTGGCATCTGTGGGCTGCACCCACTGTCCAATTAGTCCCAGTGAGATGAACCAGGTACCTCAGTTGGAAATGCAGAAATCACCTGCCTTCTGTGTCGATCTCACTGGGAGCTTCAGACTGGAGCTGTTTCTATTCGGTCATCTTGGAAGCTACCTCTTGTTTTAGTTCTAATTGAGCTTATTTGAATTTCTTCTCATCTTTTCTTGGTTAATATTGCTAATGGTGTATAAATTTTATTTATCTTTTCAAGGAACCAGCTTTTTATGTCATTTATGTTTTATAATGTTTTTTGTTTGTTTTAATTTCATTTAGTCCTGCTCTGATCTTGGTTATTTCCTTTCTCCTGTTAGGTTTGAGTTTAATTTGTTCTTGGTTCTCTAATCCCTTGAGGTGTGACCATAGGTTGTCTATTTGTGCTCTTTCAGACTTTTTGATGTACACATTTAGGGCTATGAACTTTCCTCTTAGCACCACCTTTGCTGTATCCGAGGGGTTTTGATAGGTTGTGTCACTGTTATTGTTTAATTTAAATAATTTTTTTTGAGACAGTCTCACACTGTCACTCAGGCTGGAGTGCAATGGCACAATCTTGGCTCACTGCAACCTCCACCTCCTGGGTTCAAGTGATTCTCCTGCCTCAGCCTCATGAGTAGCTGGGATTACAGGTGCCTGCCACCATGCCTGGCTAATTTTTTTTTTGTATTTTTTAGTAGAGATAGTGTTTCACTATGTTGGCCAGGCTGGTCTCGAACTCCTGACCTTGTATCCACCCTCTTCGTTCTCCCAAAGTGCTGGGATTACAGGCGTGAGACACCACACCTGTCCAATTTTTTTTTTATTTTCCATTTTGATTTCATTTTTGACCCAATAATTATTCAGGAGCAGGTTATTTAATTTCTATGTATTTGCATGGTTTTGAATGTTCCTTTGGAGTTGATTTCCGGTTTAATTCCACTGTGGTCTGAGAAAATACTTGATAAAATTTCAATTTTCTTAAATTTATTGAGACTTGTTTTGTGGCCCATAATATGGTCTGCCTTGAAGAAAGTTTCATGTGCTGATAAATACACAGTATATTTTGCATTTGTTGGGTAGAACGTTCTGTAAATATTTGATAAGTCTTTTTGTTGCAGGGTATAGTTTAAATCCATTGTTCCTTTGTTGACTTTCTGTCTTGATGACCCGTCTAGTGCTGTCAGTGGAGTATTAAAGACCCTCTCTATTATTGTGTTGCTGCTGATCTCATTTCTTAGGTCTAGTAGTAATTGTTGTATGAATTTGGGAGCTCCAGTGTTAGGTGCATATCTCTTTAGGATTGTGATAACTTCCTGTTGGACAAGGCCTTTCATCATTATATAATGTCTGCTTTGTCTTTTTAAACTGCTGTTGTTTTAAAGATTTTCTTGTCTGGTATAAGCATAGCTACTTCTGCTCACTCTTGGTGTCCATTTGCATGAAATGTTTTGTTCCACCTCTTTAAGTTTATGTGTGTCTTTATGTGTGGTGAGTCTCTTCAAGGCAGCAGGTTGTTGTTTGGTTAATTCTTATCCATTCTGCAATTTTTTTTTAATACTTTAAGTTTTAGGGTACGTGTGCACAATGTGCAGGTTTGTTACGTATGTATACAAGTGCCTTGTTCGTGTGCTGCACCCATTAACTCGTAATTTAACATTATGTATATCTCCTAATGCTATCCCTCCCCCCAAACCCCAACACACAACAGTCCCCAGAGTGTGATGTTCCCCTTCCTGTGTCCATGTGTTCTCATTGTTCAATTCCCACTTATGAGTGAGAACATGCGGTGTTTGGTTTTTTGTCCTTGCAATAGTTTGCTGAGAATGATGTTTTCCAGCTTCATCCATGTCCCTACAAAGGACATGAACTCACCATTTTCTATGGCTGCATGGTATTCCACGGTGCATATGGGCCACATTTTCTTAATCCAGTCTATCATTGTTGGACATTTAGGTTGGTTCCAAGTCTTTGCTATTGTGAATAGTGCTGCAATAAACATACGTGTGCATGTGTCTTTATAGCAGCACGATTTATAATCCTTTGGGTATATACCCAGTAATGGGATGGCTGGGTCAAATGGTATTTCTAGTTCTAGATCCCTGAGGAATCACCACACTGACTTCCACAATGGTTGAACTAGTTTAGAGTCCCACCAACAGTGTAAAATTGTTCCTATTTGTCCACATCCTCTCCAGCACCTGTTGTTTCCTGACTTTTAATGATCACTGTTCTAACTGGTGTGAGATGGTATCTCATTGTGGTTTTGATTTGCATTTCTCTGATGGCCAGTGATGATGAGCATTTTCTCATGTGTCTTTTGGCTGCATAAAAATCTTCTTTTGAGAAGGGTCTGTTCATATCCTTCGCCCACTTTTTGATGGGGTTGTTTGTTTTTTTCTTGTAAATTTGTTTGAGTTCATTGCAGAATCTGGATATTAGCCCTTTGTCAGATGAGTGGATTGCAAAAATTTTGTCCCATTCTGTAAGTTGTCTGTTCACTCTGATGGTAGTTTGTTTTGCTGTGCAGAAGCTCGTTAGTTTAATTAAATCCCATATTTCAATTTTGGCTTTTGTTGCCATTGCTTCTGGTATTTCAGACATGAAGTTCTTGCCCATGCCTATGTCCTGAATGGTATTGCCTAGATTTTCTTCTAGGGTTTTTATGGTTTTAGGTCTAACATTTAAGTCTTTAATCCATCTTGAATTAATTTTTGTATAAGGTGTAAGGAAGGGATCCAGTTTCAGCTTTCTACACATGACTAGCCAGTTTTCCCAGCACCATTTATTAAATAGGGAATCCTTTCCCCATTTTTTGTTTTTGTTAGGTTTGTCAAAGGTCAGATAGTTGTAGATATGCAGCATTATTTCTGAGGGCTCTGTTCTGTTCCATTGGTCTATATCTCTGTTTTGGTACCAGTACCATGCTGTTTTGGTTACTGTAGCCTTGTATATAGTTTGAAATCAGGTAGCATGATGCCTCCCGCTTTGTTCTTTTGGCTTAGGATTGACTTGGCAATGCGGGCTCTTTTTTGGTTCCATATGAACTTTAAAGTATTTTTTTCCAATTCTGTGAATTGAAGAAAGTTATTGGTAGCTTGATGGGGATGGCATTGAATCTATAAATTATCTTGTGCAATATGGCCATTTTCACGATATTGATTCTTCATATCCATGAGCACGGAATGTTCTTCCATTGGTTTGTATCCTCTTTTATTTCATTGAGCAGTGGTTTGTAGTTCTCCTTGAAGAGGTCCTTCACATCCCTTGTAAGTTGGATTCCTAGGTATTTTATTCTCTTTGAAGCAATTGTGAATGGGAGTTCACTCATGATTTGGCTCTCTCTTTGTCTGTTATTGGTGTGTAAGTATGCTTGTGATTTTGGCACCTAGATTTTGTGTCCTGAGACTTTGCTGAAGCTGCCTATCAGCTTAAGGAGATTTTGGGCTGAGAAGATGGGGTTTTCTAAATATACAATCATGTCATCTGCAAACGGGGACAATTTGACTTCCTCTTTTCCTAATTGAATGCCCTTTGTTTCCTTCTCCTGCCTGATTTCCCTGGCCAGAACTTCCAACACTATGTTGAATAGGAGTGGTGAGAGAGGGCATCCCTGTCTTGAGCCAGTTTTCAAAGAGAATGCTTCCAATTTTTGCCCATTCAGTGTGATATTGGCTGTGGGTTTCTCATAGATAGCTTTTATTATTTTGAGATATGTCCCATCAGTACCTAATTTATTGAGAGTTTTTAGCATGAAGCGTTGTTGAATTTTGTCAAAGGCCTTTTCTGCATCTATTGAGATAATCATGTGGTTTTTGTCATTGGTTCTGTTTATGCGCTGGATTTTGTTTATTGATTTTCGTATGTTGAACCAGCCTTGCATCCCAGGGATGAAGTGCACTTGATCATGGTGGATAAGCTTTTTGATGTGCTCCTGGATTTGGTTTGCCAGTATTTTACTGAGGATTTTAGCATCGATGTTCATCAGGGATATTGGTCTAAAATTCTCTTTTTTTGTCTTGTCTCTGCCTGGCTTTGGTATCAAGATGATGCTGGCCTCATAAAATGAGTTAGGGAGGATTCCCTCTTTTTCTATTGATTGGAATAGTTTCAGAAGGAATGGTACCAGCTCCTCCTTGTACCTCTGGTAGAATTCAGCTGTGAATCCATCTCTTCCTGGACTTTTTTTGGTTGGTAAGCTATTGATTATTGCCACAATTTCAGAGCCTGTTATTGGTCTATTCAGAGATTGAACTTCTTCCTGGTTTAGTCTTGGGAGGGTGTATGTGTCGAGGAATTTATCCATTTCTTCTAGATTTTCTAATTTGTTTGCATAGAGGTGTTCATAGTATTCTCTGATGCTAGTTTGTATTTCTTTGGGATAGGTGGTGATATCTCCTTTTTCATTTTTTATTGCATCTATTTGATTCTTCTCTCTTTTCTTCTGTATTAGTCTTGCTAGTGGTCTATCAATTTTGTTGATCTTTTCAAAAAACCAGCTCCTGGATTCATGGATTTTTTTGAAGGGTTTTTTGTGTCTCTTTTTCCTTCAGTTCTGCTCTGATCTTAGCTATTTCTTGCCTTCTGCCAGCTTTTGAATGTGTTTGCTCTTGCTTCTCTAGTTCTCCTAATTGTGATATTAGGGTGTCAATTTTAGATCTTTCCTGCTTTCTCTTGTGTGCATTTAATGCTATAAAATTCCCTCTACACACTGCTTTGAATGTGTCCCAGAGATTCTGGTATGTTGTGTCTTTGTTCTCATTGATTTCAAAGAATATCTTTATTTCTGCCTTCATTTTGTTATGCACCCAGTAGTCATTCAGGAGCAGGTTGTCCAGTTTTCATGTAGTTGAGTTGTTTTGAGTGAGTTTCTTAATCCTGAGTTCTAGTTTGATTGCACTGTGGTCTGAGAGATAGTTTGTTATAATTTCTGTTCTTTTACATTTGCTGAGGAATGCTTTACTTCCAACTATGTGGTCAATTTTGGAATAGGTGAGGTGTGGTGTTGAGAAGAATTTATATTCTGTTGATTTGGGGTGGAGAGTTCTGTAGATGTCTATTAAGTCTTCTTGGTGCAGAGCTGAGTTCTATTCCTGAATACACTTGTTAACTTTCTGTCTCATTGATCTGTCTAATGTTGAGAGTGGGGTGTTAAAGTCTCCCATTATTATTGTGTGGGAGTCTAAGTCTCTTTGTAGGTCACTAAAGACTTGCTTTATGAATCTGGGTGCTCCTGTATTGGGTGCATATATATTTAGGATGGTTAGCTCTTCTTGTTGAATTGATCCCTTTACCATTATGTAATGGCCCTCTTTGTCTCTTTTGATCTTTGTTGGTTCAAAGTCTGTTTCATCAGAAGCTACGATTGCAACCCATGACATTTTTTGTTTTCCATTTGCTTGTGTAGATCTTCCTCCATCCCTTTATTTTGAGCCTATGTGTGTATCTGCATGTGAGATGGGTCTCCTGAATACAGCATACTGATGGGTCTTGACTCTTTATCCAAATTGTTAGCCTGTGTCTTTTAATTGGAGAATTTAGCCCATTTACATTTAAGGTTAATATTGTTTTGTGTGAATTTGATACTGTCATTATGATGTTAGCTGGTTATTTTGCTCATTAGTTGATGCAGTTTCTTCCTAGCCTCGATGGTCTTAAAAATTTGGCATATTTTTGCAGTGGCTGGTACCATACCGGTTGTTCCTTTCCATATTTAGTGCTTCCTTCAGGAGCTCTTGTAGGGCAGGCCTGGTGGTGACAAAATCTCTCAGCATTTGCTTGTCTATAAATGACAGCTTTGAAGAGAGTAGTGGCTCTCCCAGCATGCAGCTGGAGGTCTGAGAACGGATGGACTGCCTCCTCAAGTGGGTCTCTGACCCCCGAGTAGCCTATCTGGGAGGAACCCCCCAGTAGGGGCAGAATGACACCTCACACGGCTGGGTACTCCTCTGAGACAAAACTTCCAGAGGAAGAATCAGGAAGTAACATTTGTTATTCACCAATACCCACTGTTCTGCAGCCTCCACTGCTGATACCCAGGCAAACAGGGTCTGGAGTGGACCTCCAGCAAACTCCAACAGACCTGAAGCTGAGGGTCCTGACTATTAGAAGGAAAACTAACAAACAGAAAGGACATCCAGACCAAAACCCCATCTTTACATCACCATCATCAAAGACCAAAGGTAGGTAAAACCACAAAGATGGGGAAAAAGCAGAGCAGAAAAACTGAAAACTATAAAAATCAGAGTGCCTCTCTTCCTCCAAAGGAACACAGCTCCTCACAAGCAATGGAACAAAGCTGGATGGAAGATGGCTTTGATGAGTTAAGAGAAGAAGGCTTCAGATGATCAAACTACTCTGAGCTAAAGAAAAAGTTTGAACCCATGGCAAAGAAGTTAAAAACCTTGAAAAAAATTAGATGAATGGCTAACTAAAATAACCAATGCAAAGAAGTCCTTAAAGTTCCTGATGGAGCTGAGAACCCAGGCATGAGAACTACGTGATGAATGCACAAGCCTCAGTAGCCAATTCGATCAACTGGAAGAAAAGGTATCAGTGATTGAAGATCAAATGAATGAAGTGAAGCGAGAGGAGAAGTTTAGAGAAAAAAGAATAAAAAGAAACAAAGAAAGCCTCCAAGAAATATGGGACTATGTGAAAAGACCAAATCTACGTCTGATTGGTTTACCTGAAAGTGATGAGGAGAATGGAACCAAGTTGGAAAACACTCTGCAGGATATTATCCAGGAGAACTTCCCCAATCTAGCAAGGCAGGCCAACATTCAGGTTCAGGAAACACAGAGAACATCACAAAGATACTCCTCGAGAAGAGCAACTCCAAGACACATAATTGTCAGTTTCACCAAAGTTGAAATGAAGGAAAAAATGTTAAGGGCAGCCAGAGAGAAAGGTCGGGTTACCCACAAAGGGAAGCCCATCAGACTAACAGCTGATCTCTCAGCACAAACCCTTAAACCAGAAGAGAGTGGGGGCCAATAGTCAACATTCTTAAAGAAAAGAATTTTCAACCCAGAATTTCATATCCAGCCAAATTAAGCTTCATAAGTGAAGGAGAAATAAAATACTTTACAGACAAGCAAATTGTGAGAGATTTTGTCACCATTCTGCAATTCTATATTCTTTAAGTAGAGCATTTAGGCCATTTACATTCAACATTAGTATTAAGATGTGAGGTACTATTTCATCATCGTGCTATTTGTTGCCCGTGTACCTTTTTTCTTTAATTATATTTTTGTTTCATAGGTCTTGTGAGATTCAGGCTTTAAAGTGGTTCTCTTTTGATGTGTTTTCAGGATTTGTTATAAGATTTAGAGCTCTTTTACCAGATCTTGTAGTGCTGGCTTGATACTGGTGAATTATCTCAGCATTTGTTTCTCAGAAAAAGACTGTATCTTTCCTTCATTTATGAAGCTGAGTTTTGCTGAATACAAAATTCTTGGCTGATAATTGTTATGTGAAAGGAGGCTGAAGATACGACCCCAATCCCTTCTAGATTGTAGGGTTTCTGCTAAGAAATCTGCTGTTAATCTTATAGGTTTCCCTTTATAGGTTACCTGGTGATTTTGCCTCGCACTAGCATGGGATGTTTTCCCATGCATTTATGTCATCTATGATTTCTTTTAGCGGTGTTTTGCAATTCTCATTGTAGAGGTCTTTTACTTCCCTGATTAGCTGTATTTCTAGATTGTTTTGCTATTTTTTTTTGTAAACAAAACAGGAAAATATCCATCTTCTGCATATGAGTAGCCAGTTGTTGTTGGCTATTGTGAATGGGATTGTGTTCATTTGACTCTCTGCTTGAAAGTTATTGCTGTATAGGTATGCTATGGATTTTTGTGTATTACTTTTGCCTCCTGAAATTTTGCTGAAGTTGTTTATCAGACCTAGGGTTTTTAGGTAGAGGCTATGAAGTTATCTAGGGATAGAATTATATTGTTTGTGAAGGTAGGTAGTTTTACTTCCTCTCTTTCTATTTGGATGCCTTTAATTTTTTCTGCTTCTGCATCACTTCTCTGGGTACAACTTCCAGTACTATGTTAAATACTAGTGGTAACAGTGGACATCCTTGTCTTGTTGCAGTTCTCAAGGGGAATGCTTCTAGCTTTTACCCATTCAGTATGATGTTGGCTCTGGGTTTGTCATTGATGGTTCTTGTTATTTTGGTGAGGTATGTTCTTTCAATACCTAGATTGTAGATGGTTTCTCACATGAAGGGATATTAAATTTTATTAAAAGGCTTTTCTGCATCTATTGAGATGATCATGTAGTTTTTCTTTTTAGTTATATTTTTAAATAAATTACATTTATTCATTTATGTATGTTGAAAGAATCTGCATCCCATGAATAAATCCTCCTTGATTATGGTGTATTAGATTTTTCATGTGCTGCTGGCTTTGGTTTTGCTAGTATTTTGTTGAGGATTTTTGCATCTATGTTCATCAGGTATATTATCCTGAATATTTCTTTTTTCATTTTGTCTCTATCAGGTTTTGGTAACAGAGTGATGCTGGTCTCATAGAATTAGTTAGGAGGGAAGTTCTCCTTCTAAATTTTTTGTTATAGTTTGGGAAGGATCAATACTAGGTCTTCTTTGTACGTCTGGCAAAATTTGGTTGTGAATCTGTCTGGTACAGAGCTTTTTCTGGTTGTAAGGTTTTTTTATTACTGATTGCATTTTGGAAGTCATTATTGCTATGTAAAGGTTTCAATTTCTTCTTGGCTCAAACCTGTGTGTCTAGGTATTCATGCATTTTTTTCTAGGTTTTAGAACTTGTGTGCATAGAAGTATTTATAATACTCTCTGAAGGGTTTCGTATTTCTGTGGAGTTGGTAGTAATGTCCCCTTTGTCGTATGATTGTGTTTATTTCAGTCTTCTCTCATCTTTTTATGAATCTTGCTAGTGGTCTATCAATCTTATTTATTTTTAAAGAAACAAACTGGTTTACATTTTCTGTGTTTTTTGTGTGTGGGTGTGTCTCAATTTTATTATGTTCAGCTCTAATTTGTGTTATGTCTTTTCTATTGCTAATTTTTATTTCAATATAATCTTGTTTGTCTAGCATGTGCAGGTATGACGTTAAGTTGTTAATTTGAGATCTTTACTTTTCTTGTGAGTATATACTGCTGTAATCTTCCCTCTTAATATTGCTTTAGCTGTGTCTCAGAGTTTCTGATATATTGTATCTATGTTATTCTTAGAATCAATTTTTTTAAATTTCTGCCTTAATTTCATTGTACACACCAATGTCATTCAGAATCAGGTTTTTAAATTTCTATGTAATTGTATGGTTTTGACTAATTTTCTTGGTATTCATTTCTATTTTTTTGTGCTGTGGTCTAAGAGTGTGGTTGGTATGATTTCAGTTTCTTTGAATTTATTGAGAATTGCTTTAGGCTGAGAATGTGGTAGATTTTAGAGTATGTGCCATGTGTACATAAAAAAAAGTATATTCTGTTGCTTGGGGTCGAATGTTCTACAGATGTCTGTTAGATCCATTTGATCAAGTGTTGAATATAGGACCTGAATATCTTTGTTAGTTTTCCACCTTAATGATCTGTCTAACACTGCTGATAAGGTTTTGAAGTCCCCTAATCTTATTTGTATAGTTATCTAAGCCTCCTCAAAGATTTTATGACTTGTTTTATAAATGTGGGTGCTCCAGTGTTGGGTGTACATATATTTAGGATAGTGAAGTTTTCTCGTTGAATTGAATCCTTTACAATTATGTGATGCCATTGTTTGTCTTTTCTGATCATTATGGTTTTAAGGTTTATTTTGTCTGAAATAAGAATAGCAATTCCTGTTTATTTTATTTTTTATATGTTTGATAGATTGGTTTTCATCTCTTTACTTTGACCCTCCAGGTGTTATGGCATGTTGGATGGTTCTCTTGAAGACACAATACAGTTGGATCTCATTTCTTTATTCAACTTGCTATTGTGTGCCATTATTTATTAGACTAGTTAACACAGTTCTTTTTTTAAATTTTTTAAATTTTATGGGTACATAGTGGGTGCACATATTTATGATTTACATGCAATCTTTTAATGCAGGCATGTAATGCATAATAATCGCATCATGAAAAATGGGGTAGTCATCTTCTCAAGCATTTATTCTTTGAGTTACAAACCATCCAATTATACTATTTTAGTTATGTTAAAATGTACAGTTAGGCCAGCCATGGTGGCTCACACCTGTAATCCCAGCACTTCCTCAGGAGGCCGAGAAAGGCAGACCACTTGAGGTAGGAAGTTAAAGAACAGCCTGGCCAACTAGGCAAAACCCTGTCTCTACTAAAAATGTACAAATTAGCCAGGCATGGTGACATGTGCCTATAGTCCCAGCTACTCAAGAGGCTAGGCATGAGAATCCCTTGAACCGAGGAGGTGAAGGTTGCAGTGAGCCGAGATCATGTCACTGAACTCCACCCTGGGTGACAGAGCAAGACTGTTGCAAAAAATAAAATAAAATATACAATTAAATTATTTTGACTACAGTCACCTTGTTGTGCTATCAAATACTAGGTCATATTCATTCTTTCTAACTGATATTTTTGAACCCACTAACCCCATCCTGCCTCACTATGCTTCCCAGCCACTGGTAACAATCCTTTTACTGTCTATATTCATGAGTTCAATTGTTTTGATTTTGAGATAATGTTTGGGTATTTTTTGTGCCTGGCGTATTTCATGTAAAATAATTACTCCATTCTGGTTTTTTTTTTTTTGGAAAAGTGACACAATCTCATTCTTTATTTAAATGATAGAATATAGTACTCCACTGTTTATAGGTACCATATTTGTGTGTGTGTATGTGTGTGGGTTCCAACAGAACTTCATTTATAAAAATGGTTACTGGACTGATTTGGTCCACATGTCATAGTTTGCTGATCCCTGTTTTGAAGAATTATTTTATTTTATTTTTATTTTTTGTTTTTGGTTTCTGTTTTTTTTTAATTTTTATTTTATTTTAATAGTTTTGGTGGAAGAGGTGGTTTTTAGTTACATGGAGTTCTTTAGTGGTGATTGATTTTGGAGCACCTGTCACCCGAAGGGTGTACACTGTGCCCAATGTGTAGTCTTTTATCCCTTACCCTCCTCACACCCTTCCCCCTCAAGTCCCCAAAATTTATTATATTATCCTTATGCCTTTGTGCCCTCATAGCTTAGCTTCCACTTTTATAAGTGAGAACATACAATATTTGGTTTTCTATTCTTCAGTTACTTCACTTATAATAATGGTCTTCGACTCCATTCGGGTTGCGCAAATACCATTATTTCACTTCTTTTTATGGCTGAGTAGTATTCTATGGTCTTATTATATACACATATATAACTGTGTATTATATATATATACATATATATAATAAGACTATATATATACATATATACATAAATATACACAACATTTCTTTACTCACTCATTGGCTGATGGACAATTAGGCTGGTTGCAAATTTCTGCAATTGCAAATTGTGCTTCTATAAAAATGTATGTGTAAGTGTCTTTTTCATATTGTTGGAAACAAGTTCTCAGCATAGCTAAAAGAAACCTGCACTTGGACAGAAAATTTTCTCAGCAAGGCACCTTTACTTCTGCAGAAGGGTGCTGCTCATGCCTGTTACAATCACAAGCGCACACCAAACAAAGGAGAGAAGGGGTTTTTATCCCTAAAGCAGTTCCTGTTTCTGTGTCCTTCCACTATTGGCTGGGGTTGGACCACACAATCTAAGCTGATCCTGATCGGCTAAGACTTAAACTTCCCAAATAGGGTAAACATGCAATTTGGCTCAACCTCTCCTTTTCCCACTGGAGGTTTCTTGCACTCTTGTGAGCACTCACTTCATCCTTATTGGCCACTTCCCTCACAGGAATTTAAGCACCTCTTTGCATTGGGGGTTGGTATAATCCCCTGACTGGAAAACCACCCTAAGCCATATGAGGTAACCACAGAACCAAGTCCGGACACCACATTCACTTTGTGCCCAAAGGCACATCTCATTCACTCACTTTCAACCTCCAGAGACCCTGACCACCAAGGAATACTTTGTCACCCCAGTAGCGACATTTCTTACTGTGGTCTGTACCCAGAGTTATCTGGTTGCTGTAGAGTTCCTAAGGATCCTGTCTACTGCCCGCATTGCTGAGAGTCCAGATTTGTCACTTCAGGTGGGACTCAATCCTCTGCTTCTGTGGTCACCACAACAAGGCAGTGGGACGTGTCTCTCCATGGAAGATAATCACTAGCCCCTCCCAAAGGAGAATGGGATCCCAGAAAAGCCCCCTAATTTGGAAACAAATGCTCAGCATAGCCAAAATAAATCTGCACTTAGACAAAAAATTTTCTCAGGAAGACACCTTTACTTCTGCAGGAGGGTGCTGCTCATGCCTGTTACAATCGCAAGAGCATACTAAACAAAGGAGAGAAAGGGTTTTTATCCCTAAAGCAGTTCGTGTTTCTGTGTCCTTTCCCTATTGGCTGGGGTTGGACCGCACAATCTAAGCTGATCCCGATTGGCTAAGACTTGAACTTTCCAAAAAGGGTAATCACATGATTTGTGAAGGAGGGAAGGGCAAAGAAGAAACAGTTAGGCTTAACTGAAGAAGGGGTAAGATTGTTTACAGCTTATGATCAGAAAATTGAGCCTTAGAAGAGGAACTTAGTTGCACCAACAGTATAATGACTTATTTGCCTCTTGGTAGATACCCAGTAGTGGGATTGCTGGGTCCTATGGCAGTTCTACCTTTAGTTCTTTAAGGGATTTCCATACTGTTTTTCATAGTTGTTGTACTAGTTTACATTCGCACCAGCAGAGTAAAAGTGCACCACATCTATGCCAACATCTATTATTTTTTGATTTTTTAATTACGGCCACTCTCGCAGGGGTAATGTGGTATCTCATTGTGAGTTTAATTTGCATTTCCATGATAATTAGTGATGTTGAGCATTTTTTCGTGTTTGTTGGCCTTTTGTATATTTTCTTTTGAGAATTGTCTATTTATGTCCTATGCCCAGTTTTTGATAGGATTATTTGATTTTTTTCTTGCTGACTGCTTTAGTTCCTTGTAGATTCTGAATATTACTTCTTTGACAGATGAATCGTTTGTGAATATTTTCTCCCACTCTGCGGGTTGTTTGTTTACTCTGTTGATTATTTCTTTTGCTGTGCAGTAGCTTTTTAGTTTAATTAGGTCTTATTTATTTATGTATTTATTTTTGCATTTGCTTTTGGGTTCTTGGTCATGAACTCATTGCCTAAGCCAATGTCTAGAAGAGATTTTATCATGCTATCTTCTAACATTTTTACGGTTTCATGTCTTAGATTTAAATCTTTGATGCTTCTTGAGTTGATTTTTGTATAAGGTGAGTGATGAAGATCCAGTTTCCTTCTTCGACGTGTGTCTTGGCAATTATCCTAGTACCATTTGTTGAATAGGGTGTAGTTTCTCTGCTTATGTTCTTTTTTGTTTGTTTTCCTTTATGTTCTGTTTTGTAATGTTTACAGTTAGCTGTAAGTATTTGGCTTTATTTATAGGTTCTCTATTCTGTTTCCTTGGTCTACATGCCTATTTTTTATCAATACCATGCTGTATTATAGCCTTGTAGTATAGTTTGAAGTTAAGTAATGTAATGTCTCCAGATTTGTTCTTTTTGCTTAGTCTTGCTTTGGCTATGCAGGGAATTTCTTGGTTCCATATACATTTTAGTATTGCTTTTTCTAGTTCTGGGAAGAATGTTGAAGGTATTTTGATGGAAATTGCATTGAAACTGTAGATCACTTTTGGAAGTATGGTCATTTTTTTTTTTAGATGGAGTCTCACTCTGTTACCTGGCTGGAGTGCAGTGGCATGATCTCAGCTCACTGCAACCTGTGCCTCCTGGGTTCAAGTGATTCTCCTGCCTCCATCCTCCTGGTAGCTGGGACTATAGGTGCACACCACACCCAGCTAATTTTGTATTTTTAGTAGAGATGGGGTTTTATCATGTTGGCCATGATGCTCTCGATCTTTTGACCTTGTGATCTGCCCACCTCAGCCTCCCAAAGTGCTGAGATTACAGGCATGAGCCACTGAGCCTAGCCAGCAATATGGTCATTTTTACAATATTGATTTTACTCATCTATCGGCATTGAATGTGTTTCCATTTGTTTGTGCTATCGATAATTTCTTTCAACAGTGTTTTGTCATTTTCTATGTAAAGATCTTTCACCTCCTTGGTTAGGTATATTTTTAAGTATTTTATTATTTTTGCAGTGGTTGTAAAAGAGATTGAGTTCTTCATTTGATTACCATCTTGATCATTGTTGATGTATAGCAGAGTTACTGATTCATGTATATATTAATTTTGTATTCTGAAACTTTACTCAATTCATTCATTAGATCTAGGATATTTTTGGATGAGTCTTTAGGGTTTTCTAGGTATGCGATCATGTCATTGGTGAACAGTGACTGTGACTTTCTCTTTGCTGATTTGGATGCCTTTTATTTCTTTCTCTTGTCTGATTGCTCTGGCTAGTATTTCCAGTACTATGTTGAATAAGAATGGTGAAAGTGGGCATCCTTGTTTTGTTCCAGATCTCAGGAAGAATGCTTTCAACTTTTCCCTGTTCAGTATAATGTTGGCTCTGGGTTTGTCATAGATGGCTTTTATTACCTTGAGGTATGCCTCTTTTATGCCAATTTTGGTAAGGTTTTTAATCATAAAGTGATGTTGGATATTAGCAAATGCTTTTTCTGCATCTATTGAGATAATTATATGGTTTTTGCTTTTAATTCTGTTTATGTGATGCATCACATTTATTGACTTGTGTCTGGTAAATCATCCCTGCATTGCTGGTATGAAATCCACTTGATTATGATGGATTATCTTTTTGATATGTTGTTGGATTCATTTAGCTAGTATTTTGTTGAAAATTTTTGCATCTATGTTCATCAAGGATATTTGTCTGTAATTTTTTTTATGTCCTGTCCAGATTTTGGTATTAGGGTAATACTGGCTTCATAAAATGATTTATGAAGGATTCCCTCTATCTTTTGGAATAGTTTCAGTAAGATTGGTACCAATTCTTCTTTGAATGTCTGATAGGATTCAGCTATGAATCCATGTGGTCATGAACTTTGTTTTGTTGGCAATTTTTAAATTATGGTTTCAAACTCACTACTTGTTATTCGTCTGTTCAGAGTTTCTATTTACTTCTGTTTTAATCTAGAAGGGTTGTATATTTCCAGGTATTTATTCATCTCCTCTAGATTTTCTCTTTTGTGTGAATGAAGGTGTTCATAGTAGCCTTGAATGATATTTTGTATTTCTGTGGTATTGGTTGTAATATCTCCTGTTTTGTTTCTAATTGAGCATATTTGGACCATCTCTCTTCTTTTCTTGGCTAATTTTGTTAATGGTCTATCAATTTTTTTTATCTTTTCCAAAAACTAGCTTCTTGTTTTATCTTTTGTATTTTTTTCTTTGCTTCAATTTCAATTTTTTCTGCTCCAACCTTTGTTATTTCTTTTCTTCTGCTAGGTTTGGGTTTGGTTTGTTCTTGTTTCTCTATTTCCTTGAGGTGTGACCTTAGAGTGTCTATTTTTGTTCTTTCACAATTTTTTTAAATGTATGCATTTAATGCTAAGAACTTTCATCTTAGTACTGCTTTTGTTGTATTCCAGAGGTTTTGATAAGTTGATCATTCAGTTCAAATAATTTTAAAATTTCCATCTTGATTTAATTGTTGACTCAATGATCATTCAAATACAGATTATTTAATTTTCCTGTGTTTTTGGTTTTGAGTGTTCCTTTTGGAGGTGATTTGCAGATTTATTTTACTGTAGTGTGAGATAATACATAATATAATTTCTATTTTTTAAAATTTATCAAGGCCTGTTATGTGACCTATTATATGGTCTATCTTGGAGAATGTTCCATGTGCTGATGAAAAGATTGTATTTTCTGCAGTTGTTAGGCAGAATGTTCTGTAAATATCTGTTAACTTCTTTTGTTCTTGGGTATAGTTTAAGTCCATTGTTTCTTTGTTGACTTTCTGTCTTGATGACCTGTTTAGTGCTGTCAGTGGAGTATTGAAGTCCCCTGCTACTATTGTATTGTCATCTATTTCATTTCTTTGGTCTAGTAGTAATTGTTTTATGAATTTGGAAGCTCCAGTGTTAGGTGTATATATGATTGTGGTATTTTTCTGTTGGACTAGTCTTTTATCATTATATAATGACCTTCTTTGTCTTACTTTACTGTTGCTGCTTTAAAGACTTTTGTCTGATATAGGATTAGCTACCCTTTCTTGCTTTTAGTTTCCACTTGTGAGTAATATCTTTTTTCACCCCTTTACCTTAAATTTATGTGTGTCCTTATGTGTTAGATGAGTCTCTTGAAGACAACAGATACTTAGTTGGTGGGTTTTTATCTTTTCTGTCATTCTGTATCTTTTAAGTGGAGCATTTAGGCCATTTATATGCAGCATTAGTGTTGAGATGTGAGGTACTGTTCTATTCATTATGCTAGTTGTTGTCTTGTGTTATTGTTTTATAGGCTTTATTAGACGTGTTCTTTGAGGAGATTCTATTTTGTTTCATTTAGAGGTTTTGTTATAAGACTTAGAATGCCTTATAGCATTTCTCGTAGTGCTGGATTTGTACTGGCAAATTCTCTAAGCATTTATTTGTCTGAAATATACTTTATCTCTCTTTCTTTTATGAAGGTTACTTTTGCTGGATACAAACCTCTGGAATTGTCTTTATATATTCATCTGTTGGTGGGCATTTAGGTTGCTTACAAATCTTGGCTATTGTGAATAGTTTTGCAATAAATATGGGAGTGCAGATATCTTTTCAATATACTGATTTTCTTTCTTTTGGGTTTATACTCAGTAGTCAGATTGCTGAATCACATGGTAGCTCAATTTTAGTACCTTAGAAACCTTTAAACTTTTCCCCATAGTGGTTGTACTCATTTATGTTCCCACTAACAGTGTATGAGTGTTCCTTTTTCTTCACTTCCTCACCAGCGTTTGTTATTGCCTGTGCTTTGGATTTTGCAATTTTTACTGGGGTGAGAGAATATCTCATGGTAATTTTGATTTGCATTTTTCTGATGATTAGTGAACTTTAGCACATTTTCATATACCTTCTTTCATTTGTATGTGTTTTTTTTGAAAAATGTCTATTCAAATGTTTTGCTCATTTTTAAATCACATTATTATATTTTTTCCTATAGAGCTGTTTGAGCTCCTTATATATACTGGTTATTAATCCCTTGTCAGATGGGTAGTTTGCAAATATTTTCTCCCATTTTTTAGGTTGTCTCTTTACTAGAAAATTGCTTCTTTTGCTGTGTAGACGCTTTTTAACTTGGTATTATGTCATTTTTTTTTTCATTTTTGTTTGGTTGCTTGTGCTTGTGTGGTAATACTCACGTAATCTTTGCCACTACAATATCCTGAAGAGTTTCCACAATGTTTACTTTTATAATTTCCAAAGTTTGGGGTTTTATATTTTAGTCATTAATCCACTTTGATTTGATTTTTGTATATGGTAAGAGATGGAAGTCTAGTTTCATTCTTCTGCATATGGATTTCCAGTTTTTGCAGCACCATTTAGAGAAGAGACTGTCTTTACACCAGTGTATGTTCTTGGTACCATTGAAAAACAAGTTCATAGTAGGAGTGTGGATTTGTTTCTGGCTTCTCTATTCTGCTCCACTGGTCTATGTGTCCATTATTATGAGAGTGCCATGCTGTTTTGGTTACTATAGGTCTGTAGTATAATTTGAAGTCCTGTAATGCGAGTCCTTCAGTTTTTTTTCTTTTTCCTTATGATAACTATGGCTATTCTGAGTCCTTATTTGTTCCATGTAAATTTTGTGATTTTTTTCTGTTTTAGTAAAAAATGTAATTAATGTTTTGATTGGGATGACATTAAATCTGTAGATTGCTTTGGGTAGTACGGACATTTTAAAAATTTGGATTCTTCCAATCCAGGAATATGGAATATGTTTTTATTTTTTGTTTCTTCTACATTTTTTGAATCCATATTTTTGTAGTTTTTAATTGTAGAGATTTTTCAATTCTTTGGTTAATTCCTAGGTATTTAATTTTATTTGCAACTATTGAAAATGGGATTCCTTTCTTGATTTTTTTCAAATTGTTCACTGTTAGAATATGAAATTACTGCTCATTTTAGTTTGTTGATTGTGTATTTTAAACCTTTACTGAATTTATCAGTTCTAAGAGTACTTTTTTTTTTTTTTTTTTTTTTTTTGGTGCAGCCTTTAGGTTTTTTCCAAATATAAGATCATTTCATTTGCAAACAAATGTAGTTTGACATTTTTGCTTTTCCAACTTGGATGCACTTTTTTTCTTCCTCTCATCTGATTGCTGTAGCCAGAATTTCCAGTACTATGTTGAGTAACAATGGTGAAAGTGTGCATCCTTGTAATATTTTAGATCTTATAAAAAAAGGTTTTCAATATTTCCTCATTCAGTATGATATTATGAGTCTGTCATCTATGGCATTTATTATGTTGAGGAATTTTCTTTTATACACAGTTTTTGAGGGTTTTTTATAATGATGGGATGTTGCATTTCATCAAATACTTTTTCAGCATTGAAGAGGCTACATTGTCTGGGGTAAATACCCAGGGTTTGTTGTCTTGCACAAAGAAAATTTGGGATGCAGAAACACATGAGGAGTTTAGGAGTGGAGGTTTAATAGGCAGAAGAAAGAGAAAGGAGAACAGCCCTCTCTCTGGTGAGAGACAGGGTCTTCCAAGAGGAAAGACCGACTGGTAGCTGAGTCTGTCAGATTTTACAGGTAGCCTTGTGCAGGCTGTGTCTGATTTACATAGGGTCCAAAGATTGGTTTGATCTGGTGTGACATTTACATAGTACTTTGGGAAGGCTGGTCACCCCACCCTAACCTTATTATCCAAATTGTCTTTCCAGTAGATTGGCACTATCTTGTCTGCTCCTTACCGTACACATGGCTGGCAAAGGGAAGGGGAAATGGAGCCACCATTTTGAACGTCTGGTCCCAGGCAGTTCCCTCCTGCCAGCATTCACCCGTGCAAGCCTCCAGCTTGCTTGTTTATGTCCACGACTCGATTTTACAGGCTGTTCTTTGTTAGAAAATGATTTGGGGCTGCTTTTCATTAAAAAGAAAAACCTTACTGAGGACCCAAGTACCATCACCATCTGCCTAAACAATTTCTTCTTAACTCCTATATCAGCATCATTGAAATGATCACAATGTTGGGCTGGGCGCAGTGGCTCAAGCCTGTAATCCCAACACTTTGGGAAGCCAAGGTGGATGGATCATGAGATCAGGCTATCGAGACCATCCTGGCTAACACAGTGAAACGCCGTTTCTACTAAAAATACAAAAAATTAGCCAGGCGAGGTGGCGGGTGCCTGTAGTCCCAGCTACTCAGGAGGCTGAAGCAGGATAATGGCATGAACCAAGGAGGTGGAGCTTGCAGTGAGCCAAGAACCCGCCATTGCACTCCAGCCTGGGAGACGGAGCGAGACTCCATCTCAAAAAAGGAAAAAGAAAAATAAAATAAAATAAAAGAAATTACAACAATGATAGACTGCATTAAGAAAATGTGGCACATATACACCATGGAATACTATGCAGCCATAAAAAAGGATGAGTTCATGTCCTTTGTAGGGACATGGATGAAACTGGAAACCATTATTCTCAGCAAACTATCGCAAGGACAAAAAACCAAACACCGCATGTTCTCACTCATAGGTGGGAATTGAACAATGAGAACACATGGACACAGGAAGGGGAACATCACACACCAGACACTGTTGTGGGGTTGGGGGTGGGGGGAGGGATAGCATTAGGAGATATACCTAATGCTAAATGACGAGTTAATGGGTGCAGCACACCAACATGGCACATGTATACATATGTAACAAACCTGCACATTGTGCACATGTACCCAAAAACTTAAAGTATAATAATAATAAAATTTTAAAAAAAGAAAAGAAATGATCATGTTTTTGTCATTCATTTTGTTGATATAATGTATAACGGTGTTTGATTTGTATGTGTTGTGGCATTCTTGCATCCCCGGGATAAATTTCATTTGGTTATGATGGATGATCTTTCTAATGCATTTTTAAATTTGATTTGCTAGTATTTTTTTCGAGAATTTTTGTATCAATGTTCATCAGGTGTATTGACCTGTAATGTTTTCTTTTCTTTCCTTTTCTTTTTTTTTTAATGTGTATGGTTTTGGTATGAGGGTAACACTGGACTCCTATAATGAGTTTAGAACTATCCCCTCCCTTTCTAACTTTCCAAATGCTTAAGTAGGATTGATATTAGTTCTTATTTAAATATTTGGTAAAATTTAGCAGTAAAGCTATTGGGTCCTTGGCTTTTCTTTGCTGGGAAACTATGTTGACTTTGATCTCATTCCTTTGGATTGCTCTGTTCAGGTTTCAGATTTCTTCATGGTTTATATATGGATATATGTGTCTAGGAATTTATTTCTTCTAGGTGTCTCACTTTATTGACATATATTACTCATAGTAGCCTTTAATGGTCCTTTGAATTTCTGTAGTTTCAGTTATAATTTGTCATTTTTCATCTATGAGTTTATTTATTTGGGTTTTTCTCTGTCCCTTTTTTTTCTATTTGGTATGACTAAAACTTTGTTGATTTTTATCACCTTTTCGAAAAGACAAATTTTAGTTTCATTAATCTTTTGTATTGTTTTCTTCATTTCAATTTTATTATGGCTCAATTTTTTTCTACTAATTTGGGTTTTGGTTTGCTGTTGCCTTTCTGTTTCCTTAAGATGCATTCTTAGGTTGTTTATATGACGTCTTGTACATTTTCAATGGAGACACTTATAAACTTTCCTCTTAGTACTGATTTTGCTGTATTCCATAGGCTATGGTATATTCACTTTCCATCTTAATTTATTGTAAGAAATTTTTAAATTTCCTTTTCAATTTCTTCATCAACCCCCTGGCAATTCAGGAACATGTGGTTTAATTTTTACGATTCTGTAGTTTCAAAAATTTATCTTGTTATTTATTTCTAGTTTTATTTCATTGCAGTCAGAGAAGTTACTTGATGTAATTTTAATTTTGTGAGTACTTTTTTGTGGACTAACATACAGTTTATTTTTGTGAATAATTCATGTGCTGAGAAGAATGTGTATTCTGCAGCTGTTGTATAAAATAATCTGTAAATACTTATTACTACAATTTGGTATATAGTGCAGACTAAATCTGAGGTTTCTATTTTCCGTCTTATATCAGGATAATCTGTTGACTGCTGAAAGTGGGGTGTTGAAGTCTCCTGATATTATTGTATTGGGGTCTATCTCCCTCCTTAGGTCTAATAATATTTGCTTCATATATCTGGGTGCTCTAATGTTGGGTGCACATACACTTACAATTCTTATATTCTCTTGAGGAATTGAAGCCTTTATCAATATATAATAACCTCCTTTGTCATATTTTACTTTTTGTTTCAAAATCTATTTTGTATATTGTAAGCATAGCTACTCCTACTTTTTAAAATTTTTATTGGTATGAAATATTATTTTCCGTCTCTATTTTTAGTCTGCGTTTGTCTTTATAGGTAAAGTCTGTTTCGTGTAGACAATACATAACTGGATCTTGTTTTTTAATCTTTCAGCCACTCTGTGTCTTTTGATTGGAGAATTCAGTCCATTTACACACAATGTGGTTATTGATAAGTAAGGACTTATTCCTGCCATTTTGTTATTATTTTCTGTGTGTGTGTGTGTGTGTATTCTCTTCCTACTACATCCTTTCCTATCTTTCTATTATTGAAGTTGATTTTCTCAGGTAGTATGTTGCAATTTCTGGCTTTTAATTGTTGTGTCATTGTTATTTTTTTATTTGAAGTCACCATGAGGCTTGCAAATAATATCTTATACTCCAATGTTTTAAACTGATGATAACTTCATGCTGACAGCATGAATAAACAAAGAAACACAGAGAAAACTAATAAAAATTCTATACATTATCTTCATCCCCACACTTTTTAACTTTTTGTTGTTTCTGTTTATATATTTTGTACTGTCTAGGTCTTGAAAATTGTTATAGTTATTTTGATAGGATCATCTGTTAGTCTTTCTACTTAAGATATTACATATCACAATTACAGTGTCATAATATTCTGTTTTTTTCTGTGTAGTTACTGATACCAGTGAGTTTTGTACCTTCAGATGATTTTTTATTGCTCACTAACATCCTTTTCTTTCTGAATGAAGAACCCCCTTTAGCATTTCTTGTAGGACAGGTCTGGTGTTAATGAAATCCCTCACCTCTTATTTGTCTGGAAATGTCTTTATTTCTACTCTGTGTTTGAAGGATATTTTCACTGGATATACCATTGTAGGATGAAAGTATTTTTTGTTATTCAGCACTTTAAATATGTCATTTCACTCTCTCCTGGCCTGTAAGGTTTTCACTGAGAAGTCTGCTACCAAGCATATTCGAGCTTCTTTGTATGCTATTTGTTTCTTTTCTCTTGCTGCTTTTAGGATTTTCCTTTATCCTTGACTTTGGAAGTTTGATTATTAAATTACTTGAGGTATTCTTATTTGGGTTATATCTGCTTGGTGTTCTATAACCTTCTCATTCTTGGATATTAATATCTTTCTGTACACTTGGGGAGTTCCCTGTTAATATTCATTTGAATAAACTTTTTACCATAGTCTTTCTCTCTATGACCTTTCTAAGGCCAATAACTGAAAGATTTGCCCTTTTGAGGCTATTTTGTAGATGTTGTAAGCAAGCTTTATTCTTTTTTATTATTTTCCTTTTTGTGTCCTCTAACTTTGTGTTTTCTAATAGCCTGTCTTCAAGCTCACTGATTTTTAATTCTGTTTGATCATTTCTGCATTTAAGAGACTCTGATGCATTCTTCAATATGTCAATTGCCTTTTTCATCTCCAAAATTTGTGTTCAATTCTTTTTAATTTTTTCCATCTTTTTATTAAATTTATCTGACAGGGTTCTGACTTCCTTCTCTGTGTTATCTTGAATTTTGATAAGCTTCCTCAAAAGAGCTATTTTGAATTCTCTGTCTGAAAGGTCACATACGTCTCTTTCTCTGAGATTGGTCCCTGGTACCTTTTCTTGTTGACTTGGTGAGGTTATATTTTCCTGAATGGTCTTGATACTTTTGGATATTTCTCTCTCTGGGCATTGAAGAGTTAGGTATTTATTTTAGCCTTCACAGTCTGTGCTTGTTTGTACCTATCTTTTTGGGAAGGCTTTTTAGGTATTCAAAGGGAACGTGGGTTGTGTAATATGTCTTTTCTCACTTCAGTTGTATCTGTTTTAGGGGTTAACCCCAACCCAGTAATGTTGTGGCTCTCAAAGAGTCATAGAGGTATCATTTTGGTGGTCTTGGATACAATCTGGAAGAATTCTTTGGATTTCCAGGTGCATTCTTATTCTTTTCCCTTGATTTTCCGAATACAAATGGAGTCTCTCTCTCTCTCTCTCTCTCTCTCTCTCTCTCTCTCTCTTTCTACTGAGCTGCCTGAAGGTGGGGAAAGGTGACAGAAGCCCCACTTTGGTCACCATTGCTGGAAATGCACTGGGTAAGCCCTGAAACCAGCAAAACACTGAGTTTCAACCAATGTCCACAGCGACTACTGCCTGGTTACCACCTATGGTTCACTCCAGCCCCCCAAAACTCTACAACGAGCATGTGGCAAATCCAGCTAGACTGTGTCATTCCTCCTAGCCCTGGATGGGGCCATAGATGCTGTCAGGGTCCAGGTCCTAGATTTGGAAACCTTAGAAATCTACCTGGTGCTTTGTTCTACTGCAACTGAGCTGACATTCAAGCCACAAGTCTTTCTCACTTTTCCCTCTTTTTATGTCAAGCAGAAGTGCCTTTCTCCATGGGCACCAGTGCCCCAGACCTGTGGTGGTTATTGCCTGTGACCACCATCAACATTTACTCAAGTCCCAGGAGCTCCTTAGTCAGCTTGTAGCAAATGCTGCCAGTCATGAGTCTTCTTCAGGGCAGTGGACTCCCCTCTGGCCCATGGTAGGTCAAGAAGTGCTGTCAGTAGCCAAGACCTAGAATTGGTGGGAACCCCAGGAGGCTGCTTTTTGCTCTGTCCCACTGTGGCTGAGCTAGTACCCAAGCTGCAGGAGAGGCCTCTTTACTTTTTCCTCCCTTTTCCTCAGGAAGGAGTCTTCCCCCATAGCCACCACAGCTGGTAATGTGCTGGGTCACACCTGAAGCTAGCATCGTTCTGAGTCTTACCCAAGGCCCGAGATAAGTACTGCCTGGGTATTACTGATGATTATTCAGGCACAAAATGCTCTTTAGTCAGCAGGTGATGAATTCTGCTATGTATGGGTTGTTACCTTTGAGGCAGAGAGTTCCCTCCTGGCCCAGGGTGTGTTTAAATATGTCATCCTGGAGCAAGGGCCTCACGACTCTGCCTGTTGCCCTATTCTACTCTGGCTGAGCTGGTATCCAAGTTGCAAGGCAAAGTCCTCTTGACTCTCCACCAAGCAGAAGAAAGGAGTTTCTCTTGGAGCTGTGAGCTGCATTGTATAGGGTTGGAGAAGTGAGACAAACACTACCTTGCCCACACCAGCTGGTATCTCACTAAATGATGTGCCCCCCAAGTCCACAGGCCCCAGCACAGCACAGCACCTGGACTTGCCCATAAATTTCAGTCCTTGTGGTCTAGACTGTATTTCAAGTTTACTTAGGACCTCAGAGCATTTTAGCCCACGGTGGCAGGGCTTGCCAAAACTCAGTTTTCAACTGCTGAGATGGGCATTTTACCTCTGGCTAAGGCTGGTCCAAATGCTCTCTTGGTGGGCACTGACTGAATTCTGCTTCATCTTGTTTTCTGCACTGAGTTTCAGTGTAACATTCCACAATCACTGCACTCACTTTCCCTCCCCCAAGTGCATGGATTCTCTCTCCATACCACACGACTGCTCCTGGGATATGAGGAAAGGGTGGCATAATGGATTCAAGACAGCCTTTCCTACCCACTTCAGTGCCTGTTTATTTAATATGATGTTAAAATCAGGTACTGTGATTACTCATCTAATTTTTGGTCCTTATGAAGGTGCTTTTTTCTGTAGATACTGCAGGAGGGATGATCACTGGAGCCTTCTATTTAGCCATCTTGCTCTACCTTCCCCCTCACTCAATTTTAGCAGCCAAACACTGTCCCATAGGCTGCTTGCCAACCTTCTCTTTCCTGAAATCTGAAGTGTCCTTCCCTTTTCAGGTAAATTCCCATGTTTTTTATTGAATGAAAGCTCACAGTATTGATCTTCATAAACAATTTTGCTATTTCCAAATGCATGAGGCACTGCTTTGGATTTAATTTGCTCCTAATTTTCTAGTTTTCTAGGTTGTAAGTTTAGATTGTTGATTTTTAGACCTTTCTACTCTTCTATTACATGTATTCAGTGCTGTATGTTTTCCTCTAAGCACTGTTTTTGCTGAATTCCAAAAATTTTAATAACGCATTTTTATTTCATTCAAATATTTTAGTATTTCTCTTGACATTTCTGTTTTACTCATTTGTAATTTTGGAGTGTTTTGTTTAATCTCTACATATTTTGAGATTTTCCAGCACTTTGTTATTGATTTCTGGTTTAATGCTGTTCCTGTCTGAGAGCATACATTGTATGGTTTCTAATCACTTAAACTTGTTGTAATGTGCTTCATGGTCCAGAATGTAGTTTATGATAACTAATATGCCGTGTAAACTTGAAAATATGTTTTCTGCTGTTTTTGCATAAAGCATTTTATGAATGTTGTAGTATAATTTAAAAATATATTTTAGGTCTTTGTCTTTAGTTCCTGGCATACAGCTCCTAGAACCCTTGGAATCTTTGGAATCATAAGAGTGTCTTACATATGCTAATAAACTGATGAGATGGTTGAGAATTCCTAGACAACTTCAAAACGGGAGCTGGTCACCAGAAAGACAAAACCGTGTGATTATAAATTTGGTACCTTCAGCTCTACCCCCGACCTTTGGGGAAGGGAGAGGGGCTACAGGTTGAGTTCAATCACCAATGGCCTCTGATTTAATGCATCATGCTTCTGTAATTAAATTTCCATAGAAACCCTAAATGATGGGGTTCAGAGAGCACCTCGGTTGTTGTGTACATTGAAGTGCTAGGAGTGTGGTATATCCAGAGAAGGCGTGGAAGCTCCAGACCCTTTTGCCTACACTTTGCCCTATGGGTCTCTTCGATTTGACTTTTCCTGAGTTGTATCCTTTATAATAAACCCATAATAGTAAGGAAAATATTTCTGGGTTCTTCAAGTTGTTCTAGAAAATTATTGAAACTTGGAGGACATGGATAAAAGATGTGGGAACCTCTACATTTACTCTAAATCAGTCAGAAGTATGGGTGGCCTAAGATTTGTAATTGGAGTCTGAAGTGGGGGTAATGTTTTGGACATAAACCTTTTAACTTATAAGTTCTGATGCTAACTCCAGATGTCAGAATTGAATTGAATTTTGGGATATCCAGACTTGGTGTCAGTAAGTTGGAAAAGTAGTATTAAAAAATAAACCACATATTTGGTATTAGAAGGAAAATACAATCTTTTCTCATGTCAGCAAGATGGTAGAGTAGAGGATCCCGGCCTTTCTTTCCCCCACAAAAAAACAACAATTTGGCAGCTATTCACTGTTGACATAAAACGAAGGAGATGAGGCAAAAATTAATATAAATAGAGAGTTTATTTGGGCCAAACTTGAGGATTGCAACCTGGGAGCATAGATTCAAGTTGGCCTAAAGATACACTCTGATTAGTAGCAGTTACACATGGATATTTAAGGCAAAAAAGGGAGACAGGAAGTGGATGAATAAAAAGTTGTTTGTAAGGGAGTCTCATTGACTTACAGAAATAACGTTGATTAGTGATTGGCTATAAATTGTCAAGCTCTATGGTTTAGGTTATAGTGTCTGGTGCGGCATTATTAGATTAGTTTATAGCAACTTGTGGCAATATAAAGCAGTTCCAAGAGATGAATACATAGTTCAAGGGGGAACTAGAATGTGTTGGTTTCTCTTTTTAATGTTTTTTCTAAGACTGAAATTTTAAAAAAATCTTAAATTACTCAGATATAGGATTTTTTTTCTCAATAAAAAGAACTCAGTGGTCCACTTAAGAAGCTGTAACAATAGAGTGGGAAAGAAAACTCAATAGTAACTACACAAAAAGGGTAGAAAGAGCAGTTTCTTTTTGACTGAATTACCTCATCCTTCAGACCAGTACTGCATGGCACTGAGAAAGAACTCTCAGACTCCCTGGTTCCCCGTGCAGAGAAAAGAACAGTGTGAACTACAAACTTCCCTAGCCTTTCAGGCCACTTCCTGAATGACCAGCTTCTGTTTCAACCCACCCAGGTTGTTGGGGAGAATGGTAAAGCTGAGATATCCAGAGATGGCAGAAAACAAAGAAGAGACATGGGGTCTGATAGCTTAAGGCACACAGCAGGAGTCACGATAGTCCCCAGTTGCCTGTTCTGTACAGGACTCCAGCAGCTTGTTTTGCTGAAGACCTCGACAGCACTAATGGCCACCGTACATCCTCTGAAAATTTTACTACCAATGACATTCATGTTATTTGTTGTTGTGGGTCTTAGTGGCTTGCTCAGCACAGAACCCCAGCAGCTTTTACTGCTGAGGGAAACTATGGCTAGCATAGGTGCAGTAGATCCTGTGCACCTTTCACCACTGGGATCCCTGCAGTTTTCTGTCTACAAAGCTCACATTTGTTTAAGTTGCCACTTGTCTTTCTCTCCCCTCCTTGGAGCCTCCCCAGCTGCTGCTGCAACAGGTGCCCCAACCCATGGACTTAAAAGTGAAGGCTTTAGTTTCCATGTGCCTGAACCACCATCCCTCTCTCTCTATTCTCTCTTAAGTCACTACACCTGCTATAACTGCAGTGTCTGCAGCCACCACAGGCATTCCTTCAAACATCCCCAGGCCACCTGCTGTAGACTCAAGCTCCCAACACTGCATACATACAAGTGACTGAGCATACTGGGGTCTTGCATAACACTAGCCCTAGCCATCACAACTGCACATGCACAGGAACCTAGCCTCAGGCCCCTGGAACCTGCCCCCAGCCCTTTGATTGCATCTGCAGCTGGACCCTGCTGCTACACCTACTTGCAAGTCTCCAGTTTTTTCCACAGTTGCATAGACACATGCAACCAGCAGGAACATTATTACCAGCCTGCAGCTGGCCCCAACCCCCATGCACACACCTGTAGCTGGCTCCTGCAGCTTATTATGTGCCCACTGACAGCTCTGCGCAGTACCACTGCCTGACTCGGCTCCATGTCATAGCCATGGCATAGAAGCACTGCTGAGGACATAGAGGCACTGCTGGAGACACTTACAGAAGTCAATACTGTCATGGAAATTCAATAGTTCTTGTCATCAATGACCATGTAAAAAGTGCGACACTCCTCCCCATCTGGAGCCATTGTATGAGCCCATATTTGGTGCTGTGTGCCACTACAGTCTGCACCACAGTGTGCCCCAGTGTACCCCTGCCCCAGGTGAAGGTCATTACTTACTGAGGTCGGTTCATAAATTTCAGAAGAGGTATCTGCTGCTTCCGATGCACAGACTGTTGCAATGCAAGGTGGATCACAAAGAATAAGGGGGAAAGTGACACCATGAAAGAAACACAGTAAATTTCCAGTAACCAACTCCGAAGAATTATAGATTTGATGCCAATGTCATTTATCATAAAAATATAAAAAATCTTAATACGTACATGCAACTACACCAAAAAAACCCAATTAGCCAAATCTTGAGCAAAAAGATCAAAGTTGGAGGCATCACACTACCTTAACTTAAAACCAATTACAAAGCTATTGTAAACAAAGCAGCATTGTACTGGCATAAAAATGGGAACATTGACCAGTGGAACAAAATAGCACAAAAATAATCTTATGAAATCATGGTCAATTGATTTTTGATGAAGGTGCTAAGAACGTAAAATAAAGAATGAGCACTCTCAATAATAAATGGTGTTGGGAAAACTGAATAGTCACAAGAAGAAGAATGAGATTGGACTCTTATCTCCACTATATTCAAAAATCAAGTTAAAGTTGGCTAAAGACTTAAATGTAAAGCCTGAAAATTGTAAAGCTAAAAAAAAAAAAAAAAAAAAAAAGAAAGAAAAAAATGCTCCAAATGCTCCATGTCAGTGGTCTAGGCATAGATTTCTTGGACATGACCCCCGAAGCACAGAAAACAAAAGCAGAAATAAACATATTGACTTAGATAACACTGAAAAATCTACTGCACAGCAAAGAAAACAACTAATAGAATGAAGAGACAGCCCAAAGATTGAAAGAAAATATTTGCAAGACATTCATCTCATGAGGGGCAAATATCCAAAATATATAAGAAACTCAAACAACTCAATAGTCAAAATATGTCATGAAACTCAAAATACACCTACTAGGTACTCACAAAAATTAAAAGTAAAAAAGAAAAGTAAATCAAAGACATAGAAAAAGCCAACGCAGATAAAAAATACTCATTAAAACTGATCATAGAAGAAATAGAAATCAGAAACACAACAACATGTTACCTAATGCCTATTAAAATGACTAATAAAAAAAGATGAAAGATAACAACTGTTGGCGAGGGTGTGGAGATGAAAACACTCTTGTGCCTTTTGGTGAAAATCTAAATTAATACAGCCAACAAGGAAAACAGTATGGAGGTTACTCAGGAAAAAAATAGTTACCATACATTTCAACCACTGGGTATATATCCAGAAGAATTGAATATGTCTGCTTCTGAATATATATCAAAAGTTGTGCATGTCCATTTGTGAGTATATATCCAATGTAATTGAAACCAGTGTGCTAAAAAGATATCTGCACTTCCTATGTTCTTTGTAGCATTATTTGCAATAGCTAAGATATAGATACTACCTAGATGTTTGTCATGAGAATGGATAAAAAATGTGGTATATAAATGCAGTGGAATAGTATTCAACTATTTAAAAGGGAGAAATTATGTCATTTGCCACAACATGAATGAACCTGAAGGATATTATGTTAAGTAAAATAAGATAGGTACAGAAAGACAAATATGGCATGATCTCACTTATATGTGGAATCACTAAACATAGAACTCATAGAAGGAGAGAGCAGAATGATGGTTACCAGAGGCTGGGAGAGGTGGACAGATGGGAAAAGGAGAAATGTTAATCAAAGGGTAAAGGTTTCAGTTATACAATAGAGATAAACTTTAGTGATCTATTGCACAGAATAGTGATTATAATAAATAATAAGAAATGACATATTTCAAAATTGCTAGAAGAATAGAATTTAAATGTTTTCACCACAAAAAATGATAAATGTGTGAAGTGATTGTTTCATGAGACTTATGGAATCATTTCATGTTGTAAATGCATATCAAAATGTATTAGGGTCTTCCAGAAAGACAGAACCAATAGGATATATGTATATAGTAAAAAGAGTTTATTTGGGAGAATTGGTTCAATCAATTACAAAGCGATGTCTCATGGTATGCCATCTCCAAGCTGGCAAAAGAGAAGCTGGTAGCATGGTTAAGTCCAAGTCTGAAAGCTTCAAAACCAGGGAAGCTGACAGTGCAGCCCTCAGTCTGAGGCTCTGAGGCTGTAGGCCCGAGAGCCTCTGGGAGGCTACTGGTGCAAGTCCCAGGGTCCAAAATCTAAAAAATGTGGAGTCTGATGTCCAAGGGCAGGAGGAGAAGAAGCAAGCATTCAGCACAGGGAGCGAGAGAGAGAGAGAGAGAGAGAGAGATGGAGATTGAGAGAGAGAGAGATGGAGATTGAGAGAGAGAGAGAGAGAGATGGAGACTGAGAGAGAGAGATGGAGATTGAGAGAGAGAGAGAGAGCAAAAGGACTCAGCAAGCTGCTTTTCCCTGTTCTTCCACCTGCTTTGTTCTAGCGACACTGACAGCTGATTGGATGGTGCCCACCCACATTGAGGGTGGGTCTTCCTCTCTCAGTTCACTGACTCAAATGTCAGTCTCCTCTGGAAACACCCTCACAGACACACCCAGAAACAATACTTCACCTGCCATCTAGACATTTCTAAAGGCAGTCAAGTTGACATCTAATATTAACCATAAAGCACAACATCACATTTTACTCCATACATTTATATAATTATTATTTGTAAAATAAAGATAAAATTTAAAATAAAGAGTGACGGATCCAAGAATGGCCTGACTGATACTTCAAAATAATTTTTCTGAATAAGCTCAGCAAACTATAAGAGAACATAGATAGAAAATTTGGTGAAATGAGGAAAACATTTTAAGAACCAAAGTAGGTATTCAACAAATATAGAAAACATAAATAAGCACCAAACAGAAATTTAAAAAATTAAATGACTAAAATGTAAAAATGCAGTAGGAGCTTCAACAGTTGGCTGCATCAAGCAGAAGGAAAAAAATAGATGGACTCAGAGGCAGATCATTTAAAAACATCAAGTCTGAAGAGGAAAGAAGTATAAAAAGGAATTTTAAAAGCCCATAGGGTCTATTGGACCATATCAAAAAATATAATTTTGTATAATAGAGGTAACAGAAAAAGAAGAGAGAAAAATAAACAACAACAAAAAGCTTATTTAAAGAAATAGTAACTGAAGTCTTCTCAAATTTGATGAAAGATGTGAACATCCAGGTACATGAAGCTCAAAGATAGCAAATCATATTCAACAAAAATCATTAGATTAAAATACACCATAATTAAATTGTCAAAAATAAAAGACTAAGAGAATTTTGAAATCAGCAGGAGAAAGAATCATACAAGGAAATCTTCAGAAGGTTATGACCAGATTTCTCGGCAAAATTCTTACAGGCCATAAGAGAGCAGAATGGTATACTCAAAGTGAAGAAAGAAAAAAAGAAAAAAGGAGGAAAAGAGAGAGGAAAGAAAGAAAGAAAGAAATAAAGAAGAGCGAGAAAGAAAAAGAAAGAAGAAAGAGAAAGAAAGAGTAAGGAAGGAAGGAAGGAAAAGGAAAGAAAGAAAGAAAAGAAAGAAAAAAGAAAGAAAGAAAGAAGAAAAAAAGAAAGAGAAGAAAGAAAAAAGCAGGCCAAGAAAGAATACCCAATAAAGATACCCTTCAGACAAATAAGGAAATAAATAATGTCCCAGACAAACAAAAGCTGGGGATGTTTACCACCACTAGACACACCTTTCAAGAAATGCTAAAGGGATTACTTCAAGCTGAAATAAAAGGCTACTAACTAGTAAAATGAAACCACATGAAAGTAGAAAATTCACTGGTACAGGTACATATCTAGTAAAATTCAGAATACTCTACTTCTATAGTGGTGGTGTGTAAGTCACTTAATTCTAGCGTAAAGGTAAAAAGACAAAGCTATTAAAAATAACTGTAGCCAAATTGACTTGCTAATGAATACACAACATAAAAAGGTGTAAACATCAAAAGCATAAGTACATATGGAGTTTACCATGGAGAAATTTTTGCATGTGATTGAAGTTATCAGCTTGAAATACACTGGTAAATCTATAAGATGTTTCAGGTAAGCCTCATGGTAACCATAAATCAAAATCCTATAGTAGATACACCCAAGATAAAGAGAAAAGAGTCAAAACATACCACTGCAGAAAACTCTTAAGTCAAAAGAAGACAGCTACAGAGTAAGAAAGGAAAAACAGATCCACAAGACAAGCAGAAAACAATTAACAAAATGGCTGTAGTAAAATCTTACCTATGAATAATTACTTGAAATTTAAATTGAGAGCTTTATCTAACCAAAAGATATAGAGAGAGTGAATGGATCAAAAAAGATAGACAAAGTATATTCATATATATGTATATATATTCATATATATATACTTTTGGAATATAAATTGTTCTTGTTTACATGGACAAATTGTATAGTGGTGAAGTCTGAGATTTTAGTGCACCCATTATGTGAATAGTGCACATTATGCCCAATATGTTGTTTTTTATCCCTAACCCCCTCCAACCCTCCTTTCTTTTGAGTCTCCAATGTTCATTGTACCATTCCGTATGCCTTTGTGTACCCATAGCTTAACTCTCACTTATGAGTGAGAAGTCACAGTGTTTGCTTTTCCATTCCTGAGTTACTTCACTTAGAATAATGGCTTCCAGTTCCATTCAAGTTGCTGCAAAATACATTATTTTGTTCTGTTTTATGTTACATTCCACGATGTATATGTAACACATTTTCTTTATTCACTCATTGGTTGATGGACATTTAGGTTGGTTTCATAATATTGCAATTGTGAATTTAGTTGTGATAAACATATGTGCAAAGGTGTCTTTTTGATATAACAACTTCTTTCCCTGACAAATTATATTCAGACCACAGCAGACTCACTTCACCTTAAAGGACACAAATAGATTAAAAATGAAGAAATAGAAAGCATTTCATAAAAATTGAGATAAAAATAAAGAGGAAGAATACCTATGCTAACAACAGAAGAAAAAACCTTTAAGTCAAAAATTGTCACATGAGGAAAAAATAGCCAACTTATAATGAGAAAATGGTCAGATCATCAAGAATACATAACAAGCCAGGTTCAGTGGCTCATGCCTGTAATCTCAGCACTTTGGGAGGCCGAGATGGGTGGATCACTTGAGCACAGGTGTTTGAGACCAGCCTGGGCAGCATGGTAAAACCCATCTCTAAAAAAGTATACAAAAATTCTCCACATGTGCAGGTACATGCCTGTAGTCCCAGCTACTTGGGAGACTGAGGTGGGAGGATCACGTGAACCTGGAAAGGTTGAGGCTGCCATGAGCCTTGATCATGCCACTGCACTCCAGCCTGGACAACAGAGTGAGATACCGCCTCAGGGGGAAAAAAAGAAAGAAAAGAAGTACACATAACAATTGCAAATATATGCACATAAAATCAGAACATCTACATATGTCTAATCTGAAGGGAGAAATATACAATATAATAAAAAGTAGAATATTTTAATATTCCAGTTTAAACAACAGATAGATCATCCAGACAGAAATTCAATAAGGAAACACTTGACCTAAAGTATACTTTAGGCCAAATGCACCTAACAGAAATATACAGAATATTCCATTCAACAACAGCAAAATACATATTTTTCTTAAGCGTACATAGAAAATTCTCCAAGACAGATAGCCACAAAAAACTTAGCAAATGTAACAGGATTTAAATAATATTACAAACCACTTCAGACTAGGAGGAAAACTGAAAAATTTACATATATCCAGAAATTAGAAAGCACACTCCTGAACCACCAGTAGGTCAAATAAGAAATCAAAAAGGGAAATCTAAAAATACCTTGAGACAAAAGAAAATGGAAACAAAATATATCAAAACCCATAGGATGCACCAAAAGAAGTTTTAAGAGAGATGTTTATAATGACAAATGCCTACATTAAGAAAGTAGAAAAGATCTCAAATAAATAACCTAACATTACACCTCAAGAAACTAGGAAAAGAAAGACAAACTGTATTCAAATTTAGCAGAAGAAAGAAAACAATAAAGATCAGAGCAGAAATAAATAAAAGAAAGAATAACAAAACTATAGAAAAAATCAACAAAAGTAAGAGTTTCATAAAAATATAAACAAAATTGACATACTTTTAGCTAGACTGCAAAAAGATCAAAAACTCAGATAAAATTAGAAATGAAGCTGGAGACATTACAATGGATGCTTCAGAAATAAAAAAGGATCAAAGGTGCTATTATGAACAACTGTATAACAACAAATTGGATAACCTAGAATAAATTGAGGTTTCTAGACACATACAATCTACCAAGATTGAATTACAAAGAAATAGAAAGCCTGTTAACAGACCAATAACAAATAAGATTAAAGTAGTAAATGAAAATGTTTATACAAAGAAAAGCCCAGTACCAGATGTCTTCATGTCTGAATTACACCATTCAAAAAAATTCATACAAATTCTTCTTAAACTCTACCAAAAAATATAAATGTAAGTAGAAGGCATACTTCTAAATTTGTTTTGTGTAGCTTTCTCCAAAATGGCTGACAATAAGTATTTCTAGTATGCCTCATCCAGTTAGGTGAAAAAAAAAATAGTATGTAGACTATCACACTTTGAATATATTATCCAAGAAGAAACAGAAGAGTTCAACATAAAAGTGAAAGGAAACTCTAAATTCCAGGAAGGAGAAGAAAAACAGACAACTTGCAAGGCCTGGACCAGGTGAAAACTGGGAGAGTCTCCACCATGGGAGAGGGTCTTTCTCTGTCTTTCTGTGGTTCAGTTTCTCATTGAGGAATCAATAAATCCAGGCCACAGGAGAGCACCTCTATTCTCTCAAGTCCTGAATTCTAACTGAGGGAGTGGCCAGGAGAACGTGAGATGAAACTGCTTGAGGGAGTGTCTCACACACTCTGACAGACCTATGCATTTACATTAAGATACCATTCTCAATCCTAGCCCTTAACAAACTGTGTGTGGCCCTGGAAATGAGAGGCACCAGTCTTTGGCATTAGACTCAAGCTGTAGCTTGTGGAAGTGGGACTTGAGTGAAGGAGGGACTCTTGGAACCAGAACTGAGAAGTTAGCATGATATACACTCCAGCCACTGGTGCTGAAGCCGAGCTCTTCCCCACGACCTGAGAAAGATGAGAGTTGCTGCTGAGGCTTGGCCTTGAGCAAGACAGTGTCTCCTATGGCCTGGGGCTGAATTATGGGTGGGCTGGATGTGCCAAAACTGACTGACCAGCCTACTCAGCAGCCTCACCTGGGACATGGGAGGAAGACCTGCCAGGACTAAGGTGTGAAATGGACAAAAACTGCCCACCGACTAACCAAAGCAATGTTCACAGACTGGCCATATTTGCAACCCATGACAAGACCTCAGAACAGCAGCAGTCATCCCTGACCCAAGCATTTTCCCAGGGACCTGAACATCACTTCAACCCCAAGTCACAGCTGGTGCCTGCACTTACCACTGGGGGGCCTGAGTGCAAGCTTGCCAATCTGGTTCCAGCTGGCATCATCCCCTCACTGAAACAGTATGTGGGGTCCAAGCTCCTGGCTTTCCACAACCCAGTTTACCTCCTGGAATACCTGAGCATATCTTACATGGGGCAGAAGTAAGGCAGAAATTCTACCACTACCATTGCAACTGGTTCCTGTCTGCTACTGCCATCTACTGGCCTAGAGACCAGCCTGGACAGCCCATGGCAACAACTGGTAATAAAGAGCATAGCACTCAGGAACTAGAAGAGTAAATCACTACCACTGTAACTGCCATTGCTCATGCCACTTTGTCTGCTCAGAAGATTGTAAGCACACTCACCAATTCAGTACCCTGCTACTACAACAAGCATATGAGAAAGCCACCCAGAGGCCCGAGGTTTGACCTATCTGGAACTGCGAACACAGGTGCCAGCATACACTGCTTCAGGTCATAAGAATAGACATGATTACCCAATGACTACTACCACCAAAACATGAAGAAAGGCCCATCAGGCATTCAAGTCCCCAGTACAACCTCACCACAGCCTCCACCAATACCACACCCTAACACACTGAGGACTCCACAGATGTAGACAAGGAAATCAAACATAATCTTCACCACTGCTTGCACCCAGAAGCAAAGCCAAATAGCCCTACACAACCATCATAGTCATATCTTCAAGAAAAAAGTATCATTTCCCCAAAGAAAATAAATCCAAAATGAAAAGTGACTGTTGCTCCAGATGTACAGAAATCAATGTAAAGATATAGCAATCATGAAAATGCATAGTAATATGACACGCTCAAAGGAATCTTAACCAAAAATAAAATCTCAAAATGCCAGATAAAGAATTCAAAGCATTGATTTTAAAGCAGCTCAATGAGATGGAAGATATATCTAAAAACCAATTAAAAGAAATCAGAAAATCAATTCAGAATATCAATGAGAAATTTACCAAGGAGATAGATATCTTTAAAAAAAGGAAATAGAACTTCTGTAACTGAATAATTTATTTACTAAAGAAATTAAAAATACATTTCAAAGCTTCAACAATAGACTAAACCAAGCAGAAGAAATAATCTCAGAATTTGAAGACAGATTTTTTGAAATAGTCCAGTCAGACAAAAATAAAAATAAATGCACACAAAATAATCCACAAAACTTTTGAGATGTTTGGAACGACATAACGTGACCAAACTTACAAATTATCAGTATTCCCAAAGGAGAAGACAGATAACTATTTTTAGTAAACATATTAAACAAAATAATTGATGAAACCATCTCATATCTAGCAAGACATTTAGACACACAGATAGAGGAGGCCCAATAATACTCAGGCAAATACATTGCAAAAAGTTCCTCACCATGGCATATTGTAATCAGACTGTCCAAAGGCAAAGTGAAAGAAAGAATTCTAAAATCAGCAAAAGGAAAGGGTCTATTCCCTTATAAAAGAAACCCTATCAGACTAACAGTACACTCCTCAGCAGAAACCATACAGGACAGAAAAGAATAGAATAGTATATTCAAACTATGAGAAAGAAATCAGACAGTCAATATTTTGTATCTGGCAAGATTAAACATTATAAATGAAGGAAAAAAAAGTCTTTCACGGACAATCAAACATGGAGGGAATTCAACAGCAGTAGACCAGCCCTATAAGACATGCTTAAAGGATTTCTAAACATGGAAATATAAGGACAATATTCACCATAATGAAAACACATGAAAGTATAAAACTCATTGGTAAGGCAATCACAGAAGAGGAAGAGAAAAGAATCAAATGACAACACTACACAATTCTACCAAACCACAAAAACAGAAACAAATACATAATTAAGAAACCATAAAAGAATTTACAATATGACAGGAACAAAATGACACGTATCAATTAACTTTACTTCCAAATGGATTAAATGCGTCACATAAAATATATATATAAGTGGAATAAATAAACATAATTCAAGTGTATCCCACTTATAAAAAGTTTGCCTTAACTGTGCAGACACATATAGACTAAAAGTGGTGGAAAAAGATATTCTATACAAACAGAAACAAACTTTGATCAGAAACAGCTATACTTACATGAGATAAAATAGACATTAAATTAAAAAAAGTAACAAAAGACAAAGAAGGTTGTTATAGAATGATAAAAGGATCAACTCAGAAAGAGCGCATAATGATTCTAAGTATATGCACTCAACAGCTTGCACCCAGAAAAGAGATAGACAGAAATACAATAATAATTGAGGACTTCAATACACCACTCAAAGCATTAGACAGAACATCAAGACAGAAAATTAAAAAAAAATATCGACTTAAATTGGACTTTAGACAAAACAGACATAAAAAGCATTTACAAAATATTCTACCCAATAACTGCAGAATGGACATTCTTTTCATGAGCACATGGAAAATTCTTCAAGATAGACCCTATATTATGCCACAGAATAAGTCTTAGCAAATTTTAAAAAATCAAAATTGTATCAAGTATCTTCTCAGACCACAGGTGAATAAAATTAAAAATCAATATCAGAAGGAACTTGGAAAATGTAAATATATGGAAATTAAACAACATGTTTATAATAACAATTGGGTTCATGGAGAAATTAAGATGAAAATTCTAAAAACCTTGGAACAAATGAAAATGGAAACACAGCATACCCAAGCTTGTGGGATACAGCAAAGGCAATGCTAAGGGGAAATATTATATCATTAAATGGCTATGTCAAAAATATTTAAAATTAACAAATTAGCAACCTTATGTTACAACTCAGAAGATACAAAAGCAAGAAACCATACCCAAAATTAGTAGAAAACAGAAATAAAAATCAGAACAGAAATAAAAGAAGCAGACGCCTAATAAATATTTTAAGGAACAATGAAACTGAAAGTTGATCTCTGAAAAGATAAGCAAAGCTAGGAAACCAACAGGAAGAATGACCGAAAAAGAAAAGAGAAGATCCAAGTAAAGAAAATCAGAAATATTTTTTAAAAGACATTACAACAGATAACTCAGAAATACAAAAGATCATCAGAGACAATTATGAACAGCTATAAACTCACAAACTAGAAAACCTAGAGGAAACGGACAGATTTGTAGAAACAAATAAGCTCTCAAGATTTAATCAGAAAAATAGACAACCTGAACATACCAATAATGAGTAGCAAGATTGAATCAGTAATTACAAATCTCGCAACAGAGAAAATAACAGGACCAGATGGATTCAGAATTGAATTCTACGAAATGAACAAGCTAATACTGATTTTTCTGAAGCTATTGCAAAATATTCAAGAAATTCTCCCTACTTCACTCTATGAGGCCGGCATCACCCTGATACCAAAAACAGGCAAGGACACAACCAAAAAGGAAAACCACTGATCAATATCCCTGAGAAACGTACACACTATAATCAACAAGGTACTAGCAAACCAAATGTAGGAGCACATCCAGAAAGACAAAACACTATGACCAAGTGGGTTTTCTATCAGGAAGGCAAAGATAGTTCAATATATGCAAATCAATATATGTGAATTTATTGATATAACCTTTGTAACTTAGGGAATTAAAAAGATAAGGGCCAAGGCTTGGAAAACAAACCCTGCAATGCTGAAGAAAACAAGCAATGGGGAAAGAACTTTTTATTCAATCAATGGTGCTGTAATAACTGGCTAGCTATATGTGGAAAAATGAAATTGGATTCCTACTTTACATCGTATACAAAAATAAACTCAAGATGGATTAGATATTTAAATGTAAGACCTTAAAAGATAAAGATCCTAGGAGGAAACAGGAAATATCCTTCACAACTTAGGCCTTGACAAAGAGTGCTTGACCAAGTCCCCAAAAGCAATTGCAATAAAACCAAAAATTAATAACCAGCTAACATCATAATGACAGTATCAAATTCACATGTAACAATATTAACCTTAAATGTAAATGGGCTAAATGCTCCAATTAAAAGACACAGACTGGCAAATTGGATAAAGAGGCAAGACCCATCAGTGTGCTGTATTCAGGAAACCCATCTCATGTGTGGAGACACGCATAGGCTCAAAATAAAGGGATGGAGGAAGATCTACCAAGCAAATGGAAAACAAAAAAAGGCTGGGGTTGCAATCCCAGTCTCTGATAAAATAGACTTTGAACCAACAAATATCAAAAGAGACAAAGAAGGCCATTACATAGTGGTAAAGGGATCAATTCAACAAGAAGAGCTAACTATCCTAAATATATATGCACCCAATACAGGAGCACCCAGATACACAAAGCACACCCTTAGAGACCTACAAAGAGACTTAGACTCCCAAACAATAATAATGGGAGACTTTAACACCCCACTCTCAACATTAGACAGATCAACGAGGCAGAAAGTCAACAAGGATATCCAGGAATTGAACTCAGCTCTACACCAAGTGGACCTAGCAGACATCTACAGAACTCTCCACCCCAAATCAACAGAATATATATTCTTCTCAGCACCACATAACACCTATTCCAAAATTGACCACATAGATGGAAGTAAAGCACTCCTCAGCAAATGTAAAAGAACAGAAATTATAACAAACTGTCTCTCAGACCACAGTGCAAACAAACTAGAACTCAGGATTAAGAAACTCACTCAAAACCGCTCAACTACATGGAAACTGAACAACCTGCTCCTGAACGACTACTGGGTACATAACGAAATGAAGGCAGAAATAAAGATGTTCTTTGAAACCAAGGAGAACAAAGACAAAACATATCAGAATCTCTGGGACACATTCAAAGCAGTGTGTAGAGGGAAATTTATAGTACTAAATGCTCACAAAAGAAAGCAGGAAAGATCTAAAATTGACATGCTAACATCACAATTAAAAGAACTAGAGAAGCAAGAGCAAACACATTCAAAAGCTAGCAGAAGGCAAGAAATAACTCAGATAAGAGCAGAACTGAAGGAGATAGAGACACAAAAAACCCTTCAAAAAATCAATGAATCCAGGAGCTGGTTTTTTAAAAAGCTCAACAAAACTGATAGACAGATAGCAAGACTAATAACGAAGAAAAGAGAGAAGAATCAAATAGACGAAATAAAAAATGATAAAGGGGATATCACCACCAATCCCACAGAAATACAAACTACCATCAGAGAATACTATAAAACCTCTATGCAAATAAATGAGAAAATCTAGAAGGAATGGATAAATTGCTCAACACATACAGCCTCCCAAGACTAAACCAGGAAGAAATTGAAATTCTGAACAGACCAATAACAGGCTCTGAAACTGAGGCAATAACTAATAGATTACCAAGCAAAAAAAGTCCAGGACCAGACGAATCCACAGCTGAATTCTACCAGAGGTACAAGGAGGAGCTGGAACCATTCCTTCTGAAACTACTCCAATCAATAGAAAAAGAGGGAATCCTCCCTAACTCATTTTATGAGGCCAGCATCATTCTGATACAAAAGCCTGGCAGAGACACAATCAAAAAAATGAATTTTAGACCAACATCCCTGATGAACATCAATGCAAAAATCCTCAAATCAATACTGGCAAACCAAATCCAGCAGCACATCAAAAAGCTTATCCAACATGATCTAGTGGGCTTCATCCCTGGGATGCAAGGTTGTTCAACACACGCAAATCAATAAACGTAATCCAGCATATAAACAGAACCAAAGACGAAAACCACATGATTATCTCAATAGATGCAGAAAAGGCCTTTGACAAAATTCAACAGCCCTTCATGCTAAACACTCTCAATAAATTAGATATTGATGGGATGTATCTCAAAATAATAAGAGCTATTTATGACAAACCCACAGCCAATATCATACTGAATGGGCACAAACTGGAAGCAATCCCTTTGAAAACGGGCACAAGACAGGGATACTCTTTCTCACCACTGCTATTCAACATATTGTTGGAAGTTATGGCCAGGGCAATCAGGCAGGAGAAAGAAATAAAGTGTATTCAATTAGGAAAAGAGGAAGTCAAATTGTCCCTGTTTTCAGATGACATGATTGTGTATCTAGAAAACCCCATCATCTCATCCCAAAATCTCCTTAAGCTGATAAGCAACTTCAGCAAAGTCTCAGGATACAAAATCAATGTACAAAAATCACAAGCATTCCTGTACACCAATAGTAGACAAAAAGAGAACCAAATCATGAGTGAACTCCCATGAACAATTGCTTCATAGAGAATAAAATACCTAGGAATCCAACTTACAAGGGATGTGAAGGACCTCTTCAAGGAGAATTACAAACCACTGCTCAATGAAATAAAAGAGGATACAAACAAATGGAAGAACATTCCATGCTACTGGGTAGGAGGAATCAATATCCTGAAAATGGCCATACTGCCTGAGGTAATTTATAGATTCAATGCCATCCCCATCAAGCTACCAATGACTTTCTTCACAGAATTGGAAAAAACTACTTTAAAGTTCATATGGAAACAAAAAAGAGCCCTCATTGCCAAGTCAATCCTAAGCCAAAAGAACGAAGCTGGAGGCATCATGCGACCTGACTTCAAACTATACTACAAGGCTACAGTAACCAAAACAGCATGGTACTGCTACTCAAACAGAGATGTAGATCAATGGAACAGAACAGAGCCCTCAGAAATAATACCGCACATCTACAACCATCTGATCATTGACAAACTTGACAAAAACAAGAATTGGGGAAAGGATTCCCTATTTGATAAATGGTGCTTCAAAAACTGGCTAGCCATATGTAGAAAGCTGAAACTGGATCCCTTCCCTGCACCTTCTACAAAAATTAACTCAAAATTGTTTAAAGACTTAAATGTTAAACCTAAAACCATAAAAACTCTAGAACAAAACCTAGGGAATTCCATTCAGGATATAGGCATGGGCAAGGACTTCATGTCTAAAACACCAAAAGCAATGGCAACAAAAGCCAAAATTGACAAATGGGATCTAATTAAACTAAAGAGCTTCTGCATAGCAAAAGAAACTACCATCAGAGTGAACAGGCAGTCTACAGAATGGGACAAAATTTTTGCAATCTACTCATCTGACAAAGGGCTAATATCCAGAATTTACAAAGAACTCAAACAAATTTACAAGAGAAAAACAAACAACCACATCAACAAGTGGGTGAAGGATATGAACAGACACTTCTGAAAAGAAGACATTTATGCAGCCAACAGACACATGAAAAAATGCTCATCATCACTGGCCATCAGAAAATTGCAAATCAAAACCACCATGAGATACCATCTCACACCATTTACAATGGCAATCATTAAAAAGTCAGGAAATAGCAGTTGCTGGAGAGGATGTGGAGAAATAGGAACACTTTTACACTGGTGATGGGACTGTATACTAGTTCAACCATTGTGAAAGACAGTGTGGTGATTCCTCAAGGATCTAAAACTAGAAATACCATTTGACCCAGCCATTCCATTACTGCGTATATACCCAAAGGATTATAAATCATGCTGCTATAAAGACACATGCACACGTATGTTTATTGTGGCACTATTCACAATAGTAAAGACTTGGAACCAAGCCAAATGTCCATCAATGATAGAATGGATTAAGGAAATGTGGCACATATACACCGTGGAATACTATGCAGCCATAAAAAAGGATGATTTCATGTCCTTTGTAGGGACATGGATGAAGCTGGAAACCATCATTCTCAGCAAACTATTGCAAGGACAGAAAACCAAACACCGCATGTTCTCACTCATATGTGGGAATTAAACAATGAGAACACTTGGACACAGGAAGGGGAACATCACACACCGGGACCTGTTGTGTGGTGAGGGTAGGGGGGAGGGATAGCATTAGGAGATATACCCAATGTAAATGAGAAGTTAATGGGTGCAGCACGCCACCATGACATATGTATACATATGTAACAAACCTGCACGTTGTTCACATGTACCCTAGAACTGAAAGTATAATAATAAAAAATACTTAACTCTAATTACAATGAAAGGAAAAAACAAGTAAATTACAAGGAGAAAACTAAAAAATTTTACACATTAGCTCCATCCTTTTCACTTTTTACTTTTTGTTATATTTTTATATTTTCTATATGTTAAAAAACTTTAGATAAATTTCTTTTTCTTATTCTTAAATATATGTGTGATTTACATACTGCGATTCTGCTGTTAGACTATGCTGTATTTGTCTGTGTACTTACATTTCCCACTGAGTTTTACACCTTCAAATGATTTCTTGTTGTGCATTAGCATTCTTTTATTTCAGATTAAAGAACTTTATTTAGCTGTTTTTGTAAGATAGGTATTGATGACTTCCCTCAGCATTTGTTTGTGAAAGTGTGCATTTCTGCTTCATGTTTTAATGGTACCTTTACTGAGTATAAATCTCTAAGTTGAATTTTTTTTTCCTTCAGCACGTTGAATATGCCATCCCACTCCCTCCTGACCTCTGTGGTTTCCAATAAAAAGTCTGCTAGCAGATATATTAGAGCTTTCCTTTATTTGTTATTTGCATCTTTTATTAAACTACTTTTTTGACCCTTTCTTCCTTCTTGACCTTTGAAAGGGCGATTATTACATACCTTGAAGTACTCCTATTTTAGTTGAATTTTCTTGTTGTTTTTTAACCTTCTTGTGCCTGAATATTCACCTCTTTGTCTAAATTTGTGACATTCTCTGTTATTTTTTGTTTCAATAAACTTTCTATCCTTATCATTTTCTCTACATTCTCTTTAAGGCCAATAACATTTAAATTTCCTTTTTGAGGATACTGTATATAAGAAACTTTCTGTTTCTTATTCTTTTTTGTCTAATCTGACTGTATATTTCCATATAGATTGTCTTCAATCTAATTCTTCTACTTGATTAATTCTGCTGTTGAGACACTCTGATTTTTTTTTTAGTTCATCAGTTACATTTTTCTGCCCCAGAATATGTGTTTGATTTTTTAAAAATTACTTCAATATCTGTTAAATTTCATTGATGGAATTCTAAATTCCTTCTCTGTGTTATCTTGAAGTTTCTTGAGCTTTCCCAAGACAGCTCTTTTGAATTCCCTCTTAAAGTTTACATATTGCTGTGATTCTAAGATTAGTCACTAGTGTTTTAGTTTGTCTTGGGAAAGCTTCTTATTTACCTTATAGTTCGCCGTTCATGTAGCTTTGAACACCTACATAAACAGCTAAGTTAACAGCAAACTATAATGTAAATAATAAGTCCTAACATATGGAGTGAAAGTCTAAGTTCAAAAGTCCCTGTAGAATTGATTTTAAACCTTAAGGGATCTAGGTGAATAACCCAAAGGACCAATCAGAGACAAGGTTCTTAGGGAAAACCTGTTGTAGCTATGTCACTTGTTGGGAGAATTTTTTTTTCCTATTCAAGTTTCAACATCTCTGAATGTGTTCATATAGGTGAAGCAAGTGTTGTTTAATACTGTGTATACTTCCCCTTGTTTAGCCAACAGAAAATCTAGTGGTTCCTAATTGCCTAGGACTACCTAACAACTTAAAGGACCTTTTCTGAGCCATAAGACTATTTGCTTTTTTTTTTTTTTTTTTTTTTTTGGCAATTATCCTTAAGATACCAGATACGTTTCTGACCATATCTTTGAGGGCATATACTCCATAACTAGAAACCAGGATCCCTAAAATGTTGTTAAGACAGTGATGGACCCACTATTTTAAAGGAGGATCTGACCCTATGCTACAAACAAAAGTATAGCCAGAAGACAACACTGTAATAATCTTCCCCAGGGTCTGTTTATTGATAGACTCGCTCATGGGGAGCATAGTTATTAATGGGATTGAGCCATGAATCTTTTTTTACAGGCTCCCCCAGAATTTATTTATGTGCTATCCCATCTGTAGATCTTCTTGGCATGGTAAAAATATTTGGATTAAAGGTTGTTAGAGAGACAGATTGGTATAAACAGAAAAAAAACTTAAATATATCATTCTGTATCTTCTTTGGTCAGTTTCTTAGTCCCCAAAATCGATCAGTTTAGTTAAACAGCAGTGTCTGATTCCGGAAGATGGCATTGAAGATGGGTTAGGCCTCTATCTTTAATGAAGGCAAACAGATATCTAATAAGAGGCATTTCTATGAAAACAGAAGAAAAACAAAAGTTATGTTAGAGAACAATGCTTAAACCAGTTTCCTTAAAGTATGGAGGGCTGACATTTGAAGTGTTCAGACATTAGACTAAAAGTATCTTTAGTTAAAGAAGAAAAAGGCAGTAACAGTCTGACTTTTTTTTCTTGCCTGCATTATAATAAATGAGCTTTAGCTTGCAGGGCCTCAAGAAAGAGGTAATAGCAATTCCATTGAGTCCGAGTAAGAAACAAGAAAGACAAATTTGAAAATGTAAATTTGGAGTCTTGTAGCCAGGAAAGAACTCAGGTTTCAGTTTAAATTGTAGAAAATAACAAAAACTGAAAAACAACAAACAAGGCTAGACTCTGATAACAGCTATATTATAGTTTTCTTTTGAAAAATATTTTGTCTCTCTCCAGTCCCCATTTTTACCAGACAATTCATAGCAAGGCCAATTTATTTGCAAAATATGTTTTAGCCTTATTATATTTGCCTGATTATTTGTGCAAAGTGCAGCAAGAATAGTTATTTGACATATAGCCTCTTTTTAACAAAAGAATGGCTTTGCTGGAACTATTTTCAGAGGAAATCTCAGATTAGACTTTTTTTCATAGAAAATCTCAGATTAGAACTTTCAAAAGATACCATTGGTAATTAGGTTAATTCCTCTTTTTGATGTCCCAAAATAAATTGGGGTTTCTAGAGCTGTCACAAAGTAACATTCTTTACTTGTCACAGGTCAGTGACCCTGTAAGGAAACTGTATAGACAAAGTGGAGGTCAGTTTCCCCAAGATGGCTGTTATTGGTTATATAAAGTCAATTTTAATTCCTCAAATCAGCCTATTCATATCTGAAAATATGCCATTCAAGGCAAAACCTTAGTAAAATAACTAGTGTCTCCAATTGTGTCCTGTCAAAAAAGAAAACAGATTATTATTGAACTTGAGCAGATAGCTATATTGTCATAAATTAAGAATACTCACAAATACATTCTGAGTTCTCGTGAATCAGATAAAGAGAAAGAAGTATGTCTTAAATTTTGTTCACAGCAGTATACTTAACTGTTAAAAGCTGTGTATAGCAAAAAAGAAAAAAGTTTTCTTGACACTGAAAAAAAAACCAAAAATCAGCAATGTTTCAAACAAAAAGTTATACAAAGACTGTTTCAGTCTTTATTAATTCAGTCCATGCAATTAACTTTGATTATACTCAATATTGGGCCAGCAATCCTTATGAACATGTCAGCTTTCAATGACAGTCCTGGAAATGTTTTCTTTATTCCAATGAGACAATCTCCAAAGTTATCAGAAATATTCATTCAAGATGGCTGACTAGATGTAGCCAAGAGGAACATCTGCCACTGAGATACTGGGACATCAGGAAGACTGGCACACTCCCAGCAGATCTTTGGAGGGAAGACATTGAGAGTCAATGAAGGGAGGACACAGATGCTAAGCTGATAGGGGAGAAAACTGGGAACTCTGAATGGGGGGACCAAGCACCAGAACTTGTTCCTTGCCTCCAGTTACTCCTGTGGAAGGCGTGAGTTGAACAGGTGAAGAGTGGCATGCTCTCATTATATACCTCCAGAATCTGGGCAGCAGGAAACCCCAGGATCCTCATGGACACTTGAGCTGGCAGTGAGAGCTGCTGCTGACAGATAATAGGAGCAGGAGTGTAGCCTGGATGAAGACCACCATGTTTGGTGTGGGAACATCTACAGTGGAGTGTGGCCAGGGACACCCATCCCCCAATGCTTGACATACTCCTCTAGGACACTCTGCCAAAGGGTGACTGTTGGACCTGGACACAATGGGATGGTCTTGCCTGTGAGATGAGACCAGTCCAATCTGAGCACCCTCCTGTCTGCTGGCTTCTCCCAGGGCCCAAGCCTGGCCACACACATAGGCAGCACAGTCATGGATGCCACTCCAAGGTGCTTCCCAGGAGCCCTCATCATAGCTCCTTCACCAGCGGACCACACCAACTGCTGGAGACCTCCAACAGAGAAGCCCCTGCCAACATGCCTCAGTCCATCCACACCCTCCTTCCACTATAGGCTCCCCTACAGCACATTCCTGGCATGCACTCACCCACAGCCATCCTCCTATTGCTTTGCCAGGGTGCACATGCAGGTAGATCTCACCTTCCCTCTCCAACTGGTGCACATGTGTACATGCACCTTGCTGTACCACTGCTGCAGACATAAGCACAACCTGCTGACTTCCCCTCCACCACCGCTGCAACCAGCATGAACACATGCACAGATGCTAGACATGCCACACCCCTGCATCACAACCACCAATGCTGTGAATGCGCTATGTCCACACATGAACACTGTCGAACCAGCTGCCCCCATATCAACACTGCTGCCAGGACAAATGTGTACACAGATGCTGGTAACCCCACCAAACCCTGCACGGAGGATGACAGTCCTATGCCTGAGAGTGCCCTGCCCCCACCACTGCCACCGCTGGCACAAGGGTGTGCACAGACACTAGCAATACTCTCCCTGCTGTGCCCCACAACTAGCACTGCTGACACAAGTACCACAGCCACGCTTCCACTGGTACTACACACCAGTTGATGTGCATGTAACCAGCCACACAGCCAAAGCTATTGGCATGCATGAGCAAGCACATATTTTGCTGCTACTGCCCCAACAAAGCACTTCAGCCGGCACAACCCATTGGAGTGTTGTGGCTATCAGGCCAGGAACACCTTGGCTCCTCCAGTGGTGCATGTTTGTAACCTCAAGTGGTTAGAGAACAAAACCAGGGGCCTGGTATCAGCCCCCCACCCCAAGTATTAGAGCACACAGTCCAGGAGTGCTGAGCTGAGCCTGGGCCATATAAAATCTTGTAGAACAAGCTCAGTATACTGGACACAAGTTATACCACAATCAAACCCCCAAGGGCACCAAAGAAAATAAAAGCAAAAAAAAAAAAAAATCCAAAAGAAAGCAGCTTCAAAGATTGAAGAAACATGAGACCACTCAGATGAAAAGAAAAGTGGTGCAAGAACTCCAGGAATTTAAAAAGCCAGAATGTCTTCTTACCTCTGAATTGTCACACTAGTTTCCCAGAAATGGTTCTTAACCTGGCTGAAATAGCTAAAATAACAGAAATAGATCTCAGAATATAGATAGGAATAAAGATTATCAACATCCAGGAGAAACTCAAAATCCAATCCAAGAAATCTAAGGAATATAATAAAACAATGCAGGAGATAAAAGGTGAAATGGCCAAATGCATCTGAAAGAGCTGGAAAACTCACCCCAAGAATTGCATAATGCAATCACTAGTATTAACAGCAGAATTGACAAAGTTGAGGAAAGAATCTCAGAGCTTGAAGACTGGTTCTCAGAAATAACTCAGTCAGACAAAAATAAACAAAACTGATATAGAAGAATGAACAAGACCTCCAATAATATGGGATTAGGTAAAGATTCAAAATCTGTGATTCATTGGCATCCCTTAAAGATAGAGAGAAAGCTGGTAGTGTGGAAAACATATCATCTCCCAAATTTTCTCAACTTCACTAGAGAGCATCACATACAAATTCAGAAAATGCAGGGAATCCCTGTGAGATACTATAAAAAATGAGCATCCCCAAGACACATAGTCATCAGATTCTCCAGGGCAAAGGTGTAAAAAAAAAAAAAAAAAATTAAAGACACCTAGAATAAGGCGAGTTACCTACAAAGGGAACTCTGTCAGGATAACAGAGGAACTTAAAGCAGAAACCCCACAAAGCAGAAGAGATAGGGGACCCATATTAAACATCTTAAAGAAAATAAATTCCAACCAAGAATTTCGTATCCAGCCAAACTAAGCTTTATAAACCAAGAGGAAATAAGATCCATCTCAGACAAGCATATGCTCATTGTTACCACCAGACCTGTGTTACAAGAGGTTCTGAACGGCATGCTAAATATAAAAAAGACTGTTACCAGCCACCACAAAAACGCACTTAAGTACATAGACAATTGACAGTATGAAGTAACCACACAAGAAAATCTTCATAATAACCAGCTAATGACACATTGACAAGATCAAATCTGCACATATCAATATTATCCGTGAATGTAACTGGGCTAAATGCCCCAATCCAAAGGCACAGAGTGGCAATTTGGATAAAGAAACAAGATTCACCTGTATGCTGTCCAAAAGAGACCCATGTCACTGCAATGACACCAATAGGCTAAATGTAAAGAGATAGAGAAAAATCTACCAAACAAACTGACGACAGAAAAAAGCAGGAGTTTCTATTCTAATTTCAGACAAAACAGACATTAAACAAACAATGATCAAAAAGACAAAGAAGGACATTAAATAATGGTAAAAGGTTCATTACAACAAGGAAATCTAAGTATCCTAAATGTGAAATATACAGCCAACACAGGAACACCCAGATTTATAAACCAAGTTCTTAGAGACGTTTTAAGAGACTGAGATAACCACACAATAATAGTTGGAGACTTCAACTCCCCAGAAACGATATTAGGCACATCATTAAGGCAGAAAACTGACAAGTATATTTAGATCTGACCTCAACACTTGACAAATGAGCCTAAAAGTCATCTACAGAACCCTACACCAAGGCACATCAGAATATATATCATTCTCATCTGCAAATGGCACATACTCTAAAATCAACCACACAATTGGACATTAAAAAATCCTCAGTAAATACAAAAAAAGAAGTCATACCAAACACACTCACAGACCACAGCACAACAAAAATAGAGAACAATAAAAAGAAAATGGCTCAAAAACATAAAATTCCATGGAAATTAAATAACCTTCTTTTGAATGACTTGTGGGTAAACAAAACTAATGAAAACAAAATTACATCATATAAGAATCTCTGGGACACAGCTAATGCAGTGTCAGAAGGGAAGTTTATAGCACTGAAAGCCTACATCAAAATGTAAGGAACATCTCAAATTTACAATCTAACATCGCATCTGGAGAAACCAGATGAACAAGGAAAAACCAATCCCAAAGCTAGTGGAAGACAAGAAGTAACCAAAATCACAGCTGAACCGAAGAAAATTAAGATGTGAAAATTCATACAAAAGATCAGTGGATCCAGGAGTTTGTTTGTTTGAAAGAATAAATAACATTGATAGAATACTAGCTAGACCAATAAAGATAAAAAGAGAGAATAGTCAAATAAATTTAATCAAAAATGTTAAAGGAGACCCTACAGAAATAAAAAATAAAACCCTCAGACCTCCTCTATACAGAAGATAAATTATTGGAAACATAGACCCTCCCAAGACTGAACCAAGAACACAGGGAATACCTGAACAGAATAATAATGAGAATAGAAATTGAATTAGTAATAAAAAGCCTACTAACCAGAAAAACCCCAGCAGCAGATGAATACAATGCAGTATTCTAACACATGTATAAAGAAGAGCTGGTACTATTCCTACTGAAACTATTCCAAAAAGTTAAGGAGACACTCTTCCCTAACTTATTATATGAGGCCAGCAATATTGTGAGATCAAAACCTGGAAGAGACACAACAACAACAACAACAACATGGAAAACTTCAGGCCAATATCTTTGATGAACAAAAAAGCAAAAATCCTCAACAAAATGCTAGCCAAACAAATACAGCAGCACATCAAATATCTAATCCACCATGATAAATTAGGCTTTATTGCTGGGATGCAAGGGTGGCTCAACATACACAAATCAATACATGTGATTCATCACATATACAGAACTAATAACAACCACATGATCATTTCAATATATGCAGAATAGGGTGTTGAGAAAATGTACCATCCCTACATGCTAAGAACATTCAACAAACTAGTCATTGAATAAACATAACTCAAAATAAAACATACCATCAACACACATTTATTACAAACCCACAGTCAACATACTGAATGAGTAAAAGGTGGAAGAATTTCCTTTGAGAATTGGAACAAGACAAGGATGCCTACTCTCACCACTCTTATTAAACATAGAACTGAAAATCCTAGCCAGAGCAATGAGGCAACGACAACAACAACAACAACAACAACAACAAAATAAAAGGCATCCAAAGAGGAAGAGGGAAAGTAAAATTATCTCTGTTGAAGATATGATTCTGTCTCTAAAGATCCCCATAGTCTCTGCCCAAAAGCTCCCAGATTTGATAAAAATTTCAACAAATTTCAGGATACAGAATCAATGCAGAAAAATCAGTGGCATTTTTTGTACACCAAAAACTTCCAAGCTCAGAGCCAAATAAAAAACCCAAAACTGTTCAAAATTTCAACAAAAAGAATAAATACCTTGACATACAGCTAACCAGGGTGGTGAAATGTCTCTACAATGGGAATTACAGAACACTATTGAAAGATATCAGAGATGACACAAACAATGAAATTATGCTCATGTTCATTGCAATTAAATTATGCAATCTATGTTCATGGATAGTAAGAATCAATATTGTTAACATGGTCATACTGCCCAATGCAATTTACAGATTCAAGGTTATTTCTACAAAGTTACTAATGATATTCACAAATTAAGAAAAAAACCCTAAAATTCATATGGAACCATAAAAAACTCTGAATATCCAAAGCAGTTCTAAACAAACAAACAAACAAAAAGCTTGAGGCATTATGCTACCTAACTCACCTATACTACAAGACTATAGTAACCAAAAAAGCATGGTTCCAGAACAAAAACAGTCACACAGATCAATGGAAAAGAATATAGAACCCAGAAATAATACCTCACACCTACAACCATCTGATCTTCATCAAAGTCAATGAAAGAAGCAATGGGAAAAGAAACTCGAGTTCACTAAATGATGCTTAGATAACTGGCTAGCCCTATTCAGAATATTGAAACTGGACCCATTGCTTATACTATATACAAAAATTAATTCAAAATAAATTAAAGACTTAAATGTAAAACTGATATAAACTCCCTGAAAGTTAACCTAAGAAATATCATTCTGCACATGGGTTCTGGCAAGGATTTCATGAAGGGAATGCCAAAAACAATCGCAACAAAAGCAAAAATTGACAAATGAGACCTAATTAAACTAAAGAGCTTCTGCAAAGCAAAAGAAACTATCAAAGAATCAACAGACAACCTAAAGAATAGGAAGAGTATTTGCAAAATATGAATCCAACAAAGTTCTTATACCCGGAATACATAAGGGACTTAAATTAACAAGCAAAAAGCAAACAACCGCATTAAAAAGTGGGCAAAGGACACAAATAGACACTTTTCAACGGAAGACATCCATGTGGTCAAGAAGTATTTGAAAAATATGCTGAATATCACTAATCATTAGAGAAATGCAAATAAAAATCACAATGCAATACCATCTTACATCAGTTAGAATGTTTATTATTAAAAAGTTAAAAAAAAACAATGCTGGTGAGGTTGCGGAGAACAGGCAATGCTTATACACTACTCGTGGGAATGCAAATTAGTTCAGCCATTCTCAAAAGGCATGTGGTAATTTCTTAAATAATTTAATACAGAATTATAATTTGACACAATAATTCAGTGGTTGGGTATATACCCAAAGGAATATAAACTATTCTATAATAAAGACACATGGACATGTATGTTAACTGAAGCACTATTTAGAGTAGCAAAGACATGGAATCAACCTACATACCTGTCAATGGTAGACTGGATAAAGAAAATGTGATGCTTATATACAATGTAATACTACACAGCCCTAAAAAAGAATGAGAGAATGTTCTTTGCAGGAGTATGGATGGAGCTGGAGGCCATTTTCCTAAGTAAACTATCACAGGAACAGAAAACCAAATACTGCATGTTCTCACTTATAATTAGAAGCTAAATATTGAGTACACATGCACAGAAAGAAGGGAATAAAAAACACTAAGGTCTACTTGAGGGTGGAGGATGGGAAGAGAGAGAGAATAAAAAACTACCTATTGGGTATTATGCTTATCACCCCTGTGATTAAATAATTTGTACACCAAACCTCCATGACATTCAATTTACCTATATAACAAACCTGCACATGTACCCCAGAATCTAAAACAAAGATTAATAAAATAGTAGAAACATGTATTCAAGAGCACCTGCCAAAATTCTTCAGCTGATTATAAAATGTCATTTTGAAAAGGAGTAAAGTGAAACAATTGTGGATGACTAAAGTCTTAAAACAGACATGGTTAAAGACACAGTTGACAAATAAATTTGGTATTTTTGTGGTATGCAATTTAAGATAACATTTATAATTATTACTGATAACATACATTAAGTTTGATAAAAATTATAGGAGTCTAGTACAATTCTGAAATGCACATCAATAACACATTCATACAAATAAAACCCAAAGAAAGCCAAACACCATTTCAGGCTTGATTGTGCTTCCTGTATGATTTTATCATACTAAATAAGCAAATATGTCTCTTTTGGACTTCGTGGGGACTAGTACCTAAAATGTCAATGAGGTCAAAAGGACTAGATTAAGAACTGGATTTTGGAAATTTTGCCAAATATCAAATGTTTAAAACACTTGATACCACAAAATAGGTTCACAGATCATTTTTTTTTTACCTGAAGTAATATCTCAAAAATTTTGAAAAGGTAAAACCCTTTACTCTTTGACAGAGAGAAAACTCAGCTTTCCAAACAGCAAATCCCAATAAGATAGCATGAGGCCATTTGAATCTATTTCATCTCTCTTCCCTCTTTCCTTTTTCTTTTCCTGCTGTTTACTCAAAAGGCAAGCAATAATCATTTTCTCTTAATATTACATGAAGATCTTATTCAACCAATTTTACTTTTGTGTTAGTGCATTATTAATGTCAAAGCTAATTTTAATAAAGCCTTATTAAAGCCAATCCAATCCATTAAATAAGTTTGAACAAAAGGTAAGGTTTCCATACACTTTGCCTAACCATATCTATATATTTAAAGAAAACATCAATGCTCCAAGAAAACTCTGTTCTTCAAACACAGTAGCTCAAATTCTGAGTCTGTATCAGTGTGCTTTTTATATTAATGTTCTATTTATGGAAAAACTAAGTAATCTTCAAATTTTAGCCAACTTGCTCACATACAGAAGTTTCTCTACAAGATCAATCCTCTACAAGATTTTCACGACTTGCTTAAACCTTCAATTTAATCCTATCATTTTAAAAACTTAAAACATTCTTTAAAACCTCTAAATTAGTCATTTCTTTCCCTTTAACAACAAAAAAAACATATTTCCATGCCTTCTTATAACCTTTTACCAAAACCACCTTCAACTCTTCTTATAGTAATCTTTTAGTAGTCTTCTTTAGTAGTCTTTTTCCAGAAAAAGAGGTCCAGATCCAGACTGCAAGAGAGGCCTCTTGCATCTTGCGCAGGAAGAAATTTAAGGTTAATCACAAGTTCAGTAAGCATAGACAGTTTATTGAAAGCTAGTCTATTACAGAGTAGGGTGTCCTCAGAAAACAAGTAGAGGAATCCACCATCTTCGTTTTAAGTTTTCCTTATATAGGGGTCTTGCCTATGTAAAGACTAAGTTAAGTGTGACTACATGGGAGTAGACAGAGAGCATGCCAGAATTTATTATTCTGTTGATTTAAAGAAAACTATCATTGACATTCTAGTGTGTAAGCACATCAAAACATAATTATAATTATCTTGAAAGCATATATTGTTTCAAATATTGCAGCATCCGGACATTTTGTTGTCATAGGAGCTTATCTTTGTAGGCATTACTAAGTTGTTTCCTTACCTGTAAACATAACAGTGGGTCGTGACTGGCAAGGAATGTGCCTTGTTAGTTTCAAGATGGAGCTGAACTTTAAGTGACATTACTCTGGCTCTACTGGGTTCCTGCTTCCCAACAGTCTCAATTACATTAGTTACAATGTTAGCTCTTAGCAACTTTTATTTTTAGTGAAAAACCTGGTAAGTAAGCATTTTTAGCCATATTTTAGATTGCACTCCTCAGGACAAGGACAGAGCTGCAAACAATGTCTGACTCTTCCCAGCATAGCCAGGGAACACAGCTAATTCCACACATCCCCAGGCCTTACCTAGAATATAACGGCTGTAAAACAATGATCAAAAATGTCATAGAAGTAGTTTATAACCTTAAAATGTCTAGCAAAAACATTATCCGACCTGCCTAAGTCAGACTAAATGTCTAAATTCTGAAGATATTTATATTTTATTTTGCCAATAATTTCAAAACTGTATTTACCAAAGATTGCTAAGGTCATGTGAATTTAAAGGTATTTAAAGTTTATATTTTTCTGATAAAATATTTAAGTGCTTCTTTCTATTAAGCCAATTAATTATTCTAGTCAACCAATTAATTAGAGCTCTTTCATATATTTTGGTAATGAAATATAACACACAATGACACATACAAGTACACAGACTAAAGCAGATCTTATAGAGTTATAAGATTTTTCATTTGCCAGCTAACTTCCAGAAAGTTGTATTTTGGCTTCTTAACTTAATTTGTTTCTTAGATTACTGACTTCAGGATGGAGCCTTTTCTGTTTTTCCCAATAGATCCCAGTCTGTCAGAAATTATTTTAGGTTCTCTCATGTTCACATTGAGAATAGCAAGAGGGAGGGACAGAGAGAATCAAATGGAGAAACAGACAGAATTTTGTTGACTAAGAAGTTTTTGTTGTTCCCGAGCAAGGACAGAGGTTTTAAAACTACACACACACACACACACACACACACACACACACACACACACATCAATTTCAATTAAGTCTATTTTTAACTCTACAGGTCTTAAAAAGATATTCTGTCAAATCTCTTATCAGAGTTTCAAGTCACAGAAATCATAAACCTGAAAGAATTCATTTTCTCAACTGGGAATTGAACCTACACTTCCAAATAAGGGTACCAAATCCTAACTACTAGACCAGAGTATGGGGCAGTCTCTACCATTCTGTGCAAGGGAGATCTACAGCAGGCAGTTGTGCGCTTGTAAAATCTTGCAGGGGAGACAAACACTAATGATGGGTGTAGCAAATACTCTGATATCAGTATATAAATTTCATCCTATAGTCTTTTAGTTAGGTCCTTTATAGGAAACACACGATTTTCTTGTTTTTTTTTTTTTAAATTATACTTTAAGTTCCAGGGTACATGTGCACAAAATGCAGGTTTGTTACATATGTATACATGTGCCATGTTGGTATGCTGCACCCATTAACTCGTCATTTACGTTAGGTATATCTCCTAATGCTACCCCTCCATGCTCCTCCCACGCCATGACAGGCCCCAGTGTGTGATGTTCCCCTTCCTGTGCCCAAGTGTTCTCATTGTTCAATTCCCACCAATGAGTGAGAACATGCAGTGTTTGGTTTTTGTTCTTCTGATAGTTTGCTGAGAATGATTGTTTCCAGCTTAATCCATGTCCCTACAAAGGACACGAAATCATCCTTTTTTATGGCTGCATAGTATTCCATGGTGTATATGTGCCACATTTTCTTAATCCAGTCTATCATTGATGGACATTTGGCTTGGTTCCAAGTCTTTGTTATTGTGAATAGTGTCACAATAAACATACATCTGCATGGGACTTTATAGCAGCATGATTTATAATCCTTTGGGTATATACCCAGTAATGGGATGGCTGGGTCAAATGGTATTTCTAGTTCTAGATTCTTGAGGAATCACCACACTGTCTTCCACAATGGTTGAACTAGTTTACAGTCCCACCAACAGTGTAAAAGCATTCCCATTTCTCCACATCCTTTCCAGCAACTGTTGTTTCCTGACTTTTTAATGATTGCCATTCTAACTAGTGTGAGATGGTATCTCATTGTGGTTTTGATTTGCATTTCTCTGAAAGTCGGTGATAATGAGCATTTTCTCATGTGTCTGTTGGCTGCATAAATGTCTTCTTTTGAGAAGTGTCTGTTCATATCCTTCGCCCACTTTTTGATGGGGTTGTTTGTTTTTTTCTTGTAAATTTGTCTGAGGTCTTTGTAGATTCTGGATATTAGCCATTTGTCAGATGAGTAGATTGAAAAAACTTTCTCCCATTCTGTAGGTTGCTTGTTCACTCTGATGGTAGTTTCTTTTGCTGTGCAGAAGCTCTTTAGTTGAATTAGATCCCATTTGTCAATTTTGGCTTTTGTTGCCATTGCTTTTGGTGTTTTAGACATGAAGTCCTTGCCCATGCCTATGTCCTGAATGATATTGCCTAGGTTTTCTTCTAGGGTTTTTATGGCTTTAGGCCTAATATTTAAGTCTTTCATCCATCTTGAATTAATTTTGATATAAGGTGTAAGGAAGGGATCCAGTTTCAGCTTTCTACATATGGCTAGCCAGTTTTCCCAGCACCATTTTTTAAATAGGGAATCCTTTCCCCATTTCTTGTTTTTGTCAGGTTTGTCAAAGATCAGATGGTTGTAGATGTGTAGTATTATTTCTGAGGGCTCTGTTCTGTTCCATTGGTCTTTATCTCTGTTTTGGTACCAGTACCATGCTGTTTTGGTTACTATAGCCTTGTAGTATAGTTTGAAGCCAGGTAGCGTGATAACTCCAGCTTTGTTCTTTTGGCTTAAGATTGTCTTGGCAATGTGGGCTCTTTTTTGGTTCCATATGAACTTTAAAGTAGTTTTTTCCAGTTCTATGAAGAAAGTCATTGGTAGCTTGATGGGGATGGCATTGAATCTATAAATTACCTTGGGCAGTATGACCATTTTCAAAATATTGATTCTTCCTATCCATGAGCATGGAATGTTCTTCTCTTTGTCTGTGTCCTCTTTTGTTTCATTGAGCAGTGGTTTGTAGTTCTCCTTGAAGAGGTCCTTCACATCCCCTGTAAGCTGGATTCCTAGGTATTTTATTCCCTTGAAACAATTGTGAATGGGAATTCACTCACTATTTGGCTCTCTGTTAGTCTGTTATTGGTGTATAAGAATGCTCGTGATTTTTGCACATTGATTTTGTATTCTGAGACTTTGCTGAAGTTGCTTATCAGCTTAAGGAGATTTTGGGCTGAGTCAATGGGGTTTTCTAAATATACAATCATGTCATCTGCCAACAGGGACAATTTGACTTCCTCTTTTCCTAATTGAATACACGTTATTTCTTTCTCCTGCCTGATTGCCCTGGCCAGAACTTCCAACACTATGTTGAATAGGAGTGGTGAGAGAGGGCATCCCTGTCTTGTGCCCCTTTTCAAAGGGAATGCTTCCAGTTTTTGCCCATTCAGTATGATATTGGCTGTGGGTTTGTCATAAATAGCTCTTATTATTTTGAGATATGTCCCATCAAAACCTAATTTATTGAGAGTGTTTAGCATGAAGGGCTATTGAATTTTGTCAAAGGCTTTTTCTGTATCTATTGAGATAATCATGTGGTTTTTGTCCTTGGTTCTGTTTAGATGCTGAATTATGTTTATTGATTTGCATATGTTGAACCAGCCTTGCATCCCTGGGATGAAGCCAACTTGATCACAGTGGATAAGCTTTTTGATGTGCTGCTGGATTTGGTTTGCCAGTATTTTATTGAGGATTTTCGCATCAGTGTTCATCAGAGATATTGGTTTAAAATTCTCTTTTTTTGTTGTGTCGCTGTCAGGCTTTGGTATCAGAATGATGCTGGCCTCATAAAATGAGTTAGGGAGGATTTCCTCTTTTTCTATTGATTGGAATAGTTTCAGAAGGAATGGTACCAGCTCTTCTTTGTACCTCTGGTAGAATTCGGCTGTGAATCCATCTGGTCCTGGACTTTTTTGGTTGGTAAGCTATTAATTATTGCCTCAATTTCAGAGCCTGTTATTGGTCTATTCAGGGATTCAAGTTCTTCCTGGTTTAGTCTTAGGAGGGTGTATGTGTCCAGGAATTTATCAATTTCTTCTAGATTTTCTAGTTTATTTGCATGGAGGTGTTTATAGTATTCTCTGATGGTAGCTTGTATTTCTGTGGGATCGGTGGTAATATCTCCTTTATCATTTTTTATTCCATCTATTTGGTTTTTCTCTCTTTTCTTCTTCATTAGGCTTGCTAGTGGTCTATCAATTTTGTTGATCTTTTCAAAAAACCAGCTCCTCGATTCATTGATTTTTTGAAGGGTTTTTTGTGTCTCTATCCCCTTCAGTTCTTCTCTGATCTTAGTTATTTCTTGCCTTCTGCTAGCTTTTGAATGTGTTTGCTCCTTCTTGTCCAGTTATTTCAATTGCGATGTTAGGGTGTCAATTTTAGATCTTTCTTGCTTTCTCTTGTGGGCATTTAGTGCTATAAATTTCCCTCTATACACTCCTTTAAATTTGTTCCAGAGATTCTGATGTGTTGTGTCTTTTTTTCTCATGGGTTTCAAAGAACATATTTATTTCTGCCTTCATTTCGTTATGTACCCAGTAGTCATTAAGGAGCAGTTTGTTCAGTTTCCATGTAGTTGAGAGGTTTTGAGTGAGTTTCTTAATCCTGAGTTCTATTTTGATTACCCTGTGGTCTGACAGACAGTTATAATTTCTGTTCTTCTACATTTGCTGAGGAGTCCTTTACTTCCAACTATGTGGTCAATTTTGGAATAAGTGAAATGTGGTGCTGAGAAGAATGTATATTCTGTTGATTTGGGGTGGAGAATTCTGCAGATGTTTATTAGGTCTGCTTGGTGCAGAGCTGAGTTCAATTCCTGGATATCCTTGTTAACTTTCTCTCTCGTTGATCTGTCTAATGTTGAGAGTGGGGTGTTAAAGTCTCCCATTTTTCTTGTGTGGGAGTCTAAGTCTCTTTGTAGGTCTCTAAGGACTTTCTTTATGAATCTGGGTGTCTTGTATTGGGTGCATATGTGTTTAGGATTGTTAGCTCTTCTTGTTGAATTGATCCCTTTACCATTATATAATGGCCTTCTTTGTCTCTTTTGATCTTTGTTGGTTTAAAGTCTGTTTCATCAGAGACTAGGATTGCAACCCCTGCCTTTTTTTTTTTGTTTTCCATTTGCTTGGCAGATCTTCCTTCATCCCTTTATTTTGAGCCTATGTGTGTCTCTGCACGTGAGGTGGGTCTCCTGAATACAGCACACTGAGGGGTCTTGACTCTTTACCCAATTTGCCAGTCTGTGTCTTTTAATTGGAGCATTTTGCCCATTGACATTTAAGGTTAATATTGTTATGTGTGAATTTGATCCTGTCATTATGATGTTAGCTGGTTATTTTGTTCATTAGTTGATGCAGTTTCTTCCTAGCCTCGATGGTCTTTACAATTTGGCATGTTTTTGCAGTGGCTGGTACCAGTTTTTCCTTTCCATGTTTAGTGCTTCCTTCAGGAGCTCTTGTACAGCAGGCCCAGTGGTGACAAAATCTCTCAGCATTTTTTTTCTGTAAAGGATTTTATTTCTCCTTCACTTATGAAGCTTAGTTTGGCTGGATATGAAATTCTGGGTTGAAAATTCTTTATTTTAAGAGTGTTGAATATTGGCCCCCACTCCCTTCTGTCTTGTAGAGTTTCTGCCAATAGATCCGCTGTTATTCTGGTGGGCTTCCCTTTGTGGGTAACCTGACCTTTCTCTCTGGCTGCCCTTAACCTTTTTTCCTTCATTTCGTCATTGGTGAATCTGACAATTATGTGTCTTGGAGTTGCTGTTCTCAAAGATTATCTTTGTGGGGTTCTCTGTATTTCCTGAATTTGAGTATTGGCCTGCCTTGCTAGATTGGGAAAGTTCTCCTGGGTAATATCATGCAGAGTGTTTTCCAACTTGGTTCCATTTTCCCTGTCACTTTCAGGTACACCAATCAGAGGTAGATTTGGTCTTTTCACATAGTCCCATATTTCTTGGAGGCTTTGTTCATTTCTTTTTACTCTTTTTTCTCTAAACTTCTTGCTTCAGTTCATTCATTTGCCTTCAATCACTGATACCCTTTCTTCCAGTTTATCGAATCAGCTACTGAAGTTTGTGCATTCATTGCATAGTTCTCATGCCATGGTTTTCAGCTCCAAGATATCATTTGAGGCCTTCTCTACATTGGTTATTCTATTTAGCCATTCGTCTAATCTTTTCTCAAGGTTCTTAACTTCTTTGCCATGGGTTCGAACTTCCTTCTTTAGCTCAGAGAAGTTTGATCATCTGAAGCCTTCTTCTCTCAATTTGTCAAAGTCATTCTCCATCCAGCTTTGTTCTGCTGCTGGTGAGGAGCTGTGTTCCTTTGTAGGGGGAAAAGCACTCTGATTTGTAGAATTTTCAGCTTTTCTGCTCTGTTTTTTCCCCATCTTTGTGGTTTTATCTGGCTTTGGTCTTTGATGATGGTGACGTACAGATGGGGTTTTGGTGTGGATGTCCTTTCTGTTTGTTAGTTTTCCTTCTAACAGACTGGACCCTCAGCTGCAAGTCTGTTGGATTTTGCTGGAGGTCAACTCCAGATGCTGTTTGCCTGGGTATCAGCAGCGGAGGCTGCAGAACAGCAAATATTGCTGAACAGCAAATTTTGCTGCCTGATTGTTCCTCTGGAGGCTTCATTTCAGTGGGGTAGCCGGCCATGTGAGGTGTCAGTCTGCCCCTACTGGAGGGCTCCTCCCAGTTAGGCTACTCGGGGATCAGGAACCCACTTGAGGGGGCAGTCTGTCTGTTCTCAGATCTCAAACTCCATGCTGGGAGAAGCACTACTCACTTCAAAGCTGTCAGACAGGGATATTTAAGTCTGCAGAGGTTTCTGCTGCCTTTTGCTTGGCTATGCTTTGCCCCCAGAAGTGGAGTCTACAGAGGCAGGCAGGCCTCCTTGAGCTGCGGTGGGCTCCATCCAGTTCGAGCTTCCCAGCTACTTTGTTTACCTACTCTAGCCTCAGCAATGGCGGGTGCCCCTCCCAGAGCCTCACTGCTGCCTTTCAGATTGATCTCTGAATATTGTGCTAGCAATGAGTGAGGCTCTGTTGGCATGGGGCCCTCTGAGCCATGTGCAGGATATAATCACCTGGTGTCCTGTTTGTTAAGACTGTTGGAAAAGTACAGTATTAGGGTGGCAGTGACCTGATTTTCCAGGTGCCATCCGTCACCACTTCCCTTGGCTAGAAAAGGGAATTCCCTGACCCTTTGCACTTCCCAGGTGAGATGATGCCTTGCCCTGCTTCTGCTCATGCTTGGTGGCCTGCACCCACTGTCCTGCTCCCACTGTCCGACAAGGTACCAGTGAGATGAACCTGGTACCTCAGTTGGAAATGCAGAAACAACCCGTCTTCTGCATTGCTCATGCTGGGAGCTGTAGACTGGAGCTGTTCCTATTTGGCCACCTTGGAACTGACCCCTCTAGTGTTTCTTTCAGCCCCCAGCCATCTGAAAACAAGAGACATTTTAGAATTACACCATACCCACATCTCTTTTTATCAAAATTGGGAAATGTATTTAGAATTAGAAGATAAAATAGAATTGAATGATGGGAATGAATATAGAGGTGCCCCAAATGCTGTATTCCCAGAGACAGGAGTTCTCACTCTGCACTAGAGTCTCCAGAAATTAGGAAAAGGATAGCCCCCCAATTTTATTTCACCCTCAAAGGCATCACATAGGTGGCCACTGGCAAATCTGTTTTCCTGGAAAAAAAAAAAAAGCACTGGCAACCATGACAAAGAAAACTAAAACTGTGGGATACCTTGTTGTTTTTATGCATGTTGATTTTTTGTTTGCTACTTCCTGATATTGATCTAGAAAAGCAATATTCTTTTTAAAGAAAGAGAAAAAGTGTAAGAAGCCCTATGTCTCCAAAGTCAGAGGTATTCTGAAATGAGGGAGACACTTTAGTAAAATCAATGAAAAGACATTAAGATAGAGAGTAGAACAATGGTTACCAGAAGCTGGGAATGGTATATGGGGGCAGAGGGAGTGGGTATGGTTAATGGGTACAAAAAACACTTATAAATAATGAATAAGACCCAGCAGGTGATAGCACAACAGGGTGACCATAGTCAATAGTAATTTAATTGTACATTTTAAAATAACTAAAATAATTTAATTGGATTGTTTGCAATATAAAGGATAAATGCTTGAGGAGATGTACACCTCATTCTGCTTGATGTGATTATTACACATTGCACGCTTGTATCAAAGCATCTCATGTACTCCATAAGTATATGCACCCACTAGGTATCTACAATGATAAAAAATAAAGGAAAATAAAAGTCTGATCATTTTAATTCAAAAATTGCAATTTACAATTTCATGGAGAAAACAAAAATTGTTTAATAAACAAGGGTGGTTAAAAATGGTACCTGAAAAATTGTGGACAAAACCCTTTACTGATATTGGGAACTTTTTCTTGGCTGCCAAAGTTAAAATTCAGATAGATGCATCAAAACCTCTTCTGAACCATAAACAAAACATTCAAATATGAGAAGCCTTAAATAAGATAAGATATACAATTTTAGACTATATAAAAAGAAGCTTGATTACTCCTTATCCAAGCCTACATAACATTCCACTTCTCCCTGTAAGAAAACAAAACAGTGGAAGATAGAGATTTATACAGGATTTGAGAGTGATTAATAACATAGTTTTCCCTTGATACACAGTACTATGAAACTCCCATATGTTGTTTACTGCAATTTCAAGTGAATGTTAGTTCTTTACTGTAAGAGATCTATGTAGTATATTCTTTAGCATTCCTGTAGATAAAGATAGTGATTTCTCCTTTCCTCTACTTTGAAAGACAGACAGTACACATGGACATTCATATCAAAGGGATATACTGAGAGCCCAAATTATTTTTCACGAATATTAAAAGAAGACATTTCAGATGTAGAATTTCCTAGGAAATCCAACTTGATGTAAAGTACATGCATTACTTACTTCTCAGCTCAGTGGATAAGCAAGGCTCCATAGAGAATCGAATTTGCATATTACAACAATTAGCTTCAAAGGGACACAAAGTCTCAAAAGAAATCTTCATTTCTGTCAAAAACAAGATATTTAGGTAACCTAATATCAGAGGAAGTCCTCTTCATCAGTCTGGATAGACTAAAGGGAACAACGGACTTCTTTACTCCAAAAACTAACAAACAACTGAGAGGATTTGGAAGATTGGAAGGATACCATAGATATCGGATTCAAAAATTCTTCCTACAACCTAAACCTTTATATATACTTTTAAAACAAGATAAATCAGACTCCTGGAATGAACAGAAGAAAATTAGTTGACATTCGAAGAAATGAAAAGAAGCTTCCTAGAATTAGAGAGGAGACTCTCCTTAATTTTTTGGAATAGTTTCAGAAGGACTGGTATCAGTTTTTTGTATGTCTGATAGAATTTGGCTGTGAATCCATCTGGTGCACCGTTTTTTGTTGTTGGTAGTGGTTTTTTTTATTACTCATTCACTTAAAGAAGTTGATATTGGCCCATTGAGGGTTTTAATCTCTTCCTGCTTTAACCTTGGAGATTGTGTGCTTTCAGGAATTTATCCATTTCTTCTAAATTGTCTAATTTGTGTGTATGGAGTTGTTCATAGTAGTCTCTAAGGGTCTTTTGTATTTCTGTGAGATCAGTTGTAATATAGCATTTGTTATTTTTTATTGTGGTTATTTGGACCCTCTCTTTTTCTTTGTTAACCTAGCTAGGAATCTATCCATCTTAAATATTTTTTGAAGAACTAAATATTGGTTTCATTGACCTACTGAATGAATGTTTGCATCTGAAATTCATTAAACTCTTCTCTAATTTATTTCTTTTCTTCTGCTAGCTTTGGGGTTGGTTTGTTCTCTTTTTTCTATTTCCTTTAGGTGAAAAGTTAGGTTGCTAATCGGACATTTTTCTATCTTCTTGGTGGAGGCCTTTTAGGGCTATAAACCTTCCTCTTAAGACTGCTTTGGCTGTATCCCAGAGATTTTGGTAAGTTGTGTCCATCTTTTCATTAATTTAAAATATTTTTAAATTTTGGCCTTAATTTCAATGTTCACTCAGGAGTTATTCTGGAGAAAGTTCTTTATTTCCATGTATTTGTGTCTTTATAAGAAATCATCTTAATATTGGCTTCTATTTTTATTTCACTGTGGTTTGAGATTGTGCTAGATATTTTATTTTAAAAAATGCAGTGAAAAGGGAACACTTCTACGCTGCTGGATGGAATGTAAACTAGTATAACCACGACGGAAAAAGTGTGGTGATCTTTTAAAGAACTTAAAGTAGAACTACCATTTGATGCAGCAATCCCACTACTGGGTATCTACACAGAGGGGAAGAAGTCATTATATGAAAAAGATATTTGCACACGTATGTTTATAGCAACACAATTTGCAATTGCAAAAATGTGGAACCAACCCAAATGCCCATCAATCAACAAGTAGATGAAGAAACTATGGTATATGTGTATATATATATATATATATGATGGAATACTACTCAGCCATAAAAAGGAATGAATTAATGGCATTTGCAGCAACCTGGATGTGACTGGAGACTATTATTCTAAGTGAATTATCTCAGGAACTGAAAACCAAAGATCATATGTTCTCACTCAAAAGTGGGAGCTAAGCTCTGAGGATTCAAAGGCACAACAGTGACAAAATGGACTGGGAACTCGTGGGGGGGAAGGACGGAAAGGGGGTGAGGGATAAAAGACCACAAATTGGCTTCAGTGTATATTGCTCAGGAGATGGGTGCTCCAAAATCTCACAGATCACCACAAAGAACTTATGTAATCAAATACCACCTGTTCCCCCAAAACATATGGAAATAAAAAGTTAAAAATAAATAAATAAAAATAAAATTTAAAAAATTTTTGAGACTTGCTTTATGACTGAGCATGTGATCTATCTTAGAATATATTCTGTGTGCACATGAGAGGAATGTATATTCTGTGGTTGTTGGATGGAGTGTTCTGTAGATCCCTATTTTGTCCAAGGGGTCAAGTGTTGAGTTGAAGTCCACCGTTTCATTGTTAGTTTTCTGCCTTGATTATTTGTCTAAAATTCTTAGTGGGGAGTTGAAATCTCCCACTATTATTGCGTGGTTGTCTAAATCTTTTGATAGGCCAAGAATAACTGGTTTTATGTATCCAGGAGCGCTGATGTTGGGAGCATATATATTTAGGATATTTAAGGCTTCTTGTTAGGTTGTACCTTTATTATGTAACGTTCTTCATTATTCTTCTTAATTTTTACTGGCTTAAAGTCTGTTTTATCTGATACAAAAGTAGCTACTCCTGTGCTTTATTGTTGCATGTTAGACATTTATCCATCATTTTACTTTGAGCCTGTGTATGTCATTACATGTTAGATGAATTTCTTGAAGACAACATGTGGTTGGTCTTATCTTTTTGTCCAGGCTGCCATGCTGTGTCTTTTAAGTGGGGGTCTTTAGCCTATTTACATTCAAGGTTAGTATTAATATGTGTGATCTTGATCCTGTCATCCTGCTGTTAGCTGGTTGCTATGTAGACTTGCATAGTTGCTTTATAGTGCCTGTGGGCTATGTGCTTAATTATGTTGTTGAGGTAGCACATGTCATTATTATGATTCCACACTTAGCACTCCCTTAAGGACCTCTTATAAGGCTAGTCTAATTGAAACTTATTCTCTTTGCATTTACTTGTCTAGGAAGGATTTTATTACTTCTTCACTTATGAAGTTTCTTTGATGGGCTATGGAATGCTTGGTTGGAATTTCTCTCCATTAAGGATGCTGAAGAAAAGCCTCCAATCTCTCCTGGCTTGTAAGGTTTCTATTGAGAGGTCTGCTGCTAGCCTAATGATGTTCCCTCTGTAAATGACCTGCCCCTTTTTTCTAAATACTTTTAATATGTTTTTTTCTTTTACAATGATCTTAGTGAATCTGATCACTATGTGCCTTGGAGATGGCCCTCTTGAATAGTATGTAGCTGAGGTTCTCTGTATTTATTGCATTTTCATTTCAACCTCTCTAGCAATATTAGGGAAATTTTCATGAGCTACATCTTCAAATATATTTTCTAAGTTGCTTATTCTCTCTCTTTCTCTCCCAGGAATGCAAACGAGTTATAGGTTTGGTCTCTTTGCATCATCCCATATTTCTTGGAGGTTTGTTCAATTTTGTTAACCCATTTTTTTTTTTATTTTTGTCTAACTAGGTTTATTCAAATAACTGATCTTTGATGTCTGATATTCTTTCCTCGGCTTTGTGTATACTGATGTTAATATTTCTGATTGTATTATAAAATTATTGTAGTGAATTTTTCAGCTCAAGAAGTTCTGTCTTTCTTAAAAATGGTTATTCCATCTTTCAGCTCTTAAATTGTTTTACTGGATCGCTTGGCTTCCTTAGGTTGAATTTCAATTCCTCCTCACTCTCAATGAGCTTCCTTGCTATCCAGATTCTGAATTCCATATATGTCATTTCAGACAATTCAGACTGGATAATTGCTATTGCTGAGCTAATTTAAAGGTAAGGGGACACTCTGGTTTTTTGAATAACCAGAGTTGTGTTGATTCTGTGAGAGTTGGTGTTCCTTTAACTGTGGTGTAAATTGAATAGTTAGCTTCATTTCTGAAAGCTTCAGAGGGCTAAGGTTCTGTTCAGGGTCTTTGCTAGTCCTGGTCTAGTGGTTAGCTAAGGCTAGAGTGTCTCAGAGAGGGATGCGGAGTCCCAGGGAATTGGCTCTTATGGCCAGGCTTTGCTATAGCTGTTCCATGAATAAAAGTCCATGCTTGCTTTAGCTCCATCTTTGTCTAATCCACAGGGAGATTCCTCTTTCAGCCCAAACATCTAAGCCCATCCTCAAGTACAACTTTAAAAGTATTGAATATATAAATAATAAGTGAATAGCTACTAATCTTCTCAAAACCATTTAAAGAAATATGTGAAGCAGAATTTTATTAAATTTCGATAAGTATATTTGACTTTCTACCTTTTGACTCATCATATTGATATACACTGGTTTTGCACAGCCTCTGTTGAATGACTGAATGCATGGAAACATCTATTTTCTCTGTATGGGGCATTTTTCTCAACTCTTTACATTCTTAACTCCTATTCATTCTTAAGGTCTCAATATACACATTAGTTTTTTTAAGATTATTGCCCTACCTCCCCTCTGCAATGGGGTCAGGTTTTTCTACTAAGATATGCTAGAACACTCTGCATTTCCTGTAACAAAAGAAATATGTTATTAATTTCGTGTTCACCAACCATAGATTAAATATCAATGAGAAAGTGCAAGAAATACTTGACATTTTGCTGATAAAACATGATGAAGACTGATTTTCAATAATATAAATGAATAAAGTTTTTACATAGAATTCAAAACAGGCAATTAGAAGTAGATCCTGTTTCATATTATTAATATTTTCAGTCTAAGAGATATGCTGAGGATGGACAAGACAGGAAAGCAAGCAATTAATATTCTTGACTGTAATAAGTCGTTGTAGCATATCATACTGTGCAGATGAAATATAAATTATATATAACAGCTCAGTTCTGTGCTACACGAGATACCTGGTAAATTTATTGAGCTTCTGTTTTTTTTTTTTTTTTAAAAGCCTCATAACTCAGCAAAGACAATATAAAATTTTAACAAAATATAGGCATTATTTTTTACAAAATTTGGACCTTCAGAAATTATTCAAATCACTATTAAGGCAATGGCATCATTGTGATATTAAATCTTATATATGTAAACTTACTGTTATATGTACATCAACCAATCTGGTAGACAGTAGGAAAATATATCTGGCCCAGCCAAAACCATATTTATCTCAAATACTCAAAAATGATTATAACAAAACTGACATGCAGCAAATTATAATATTATGCATAAAAACATTAATAACTACATTGGCACATGGGTAGTTTCATGGGGATATGGAAAATTAAAGATAATTTAACCTCATTATATTTGAGGAAAATATACTAGAATGAGGCCTAATTTAGTACTAGTCAACAAGAACTGTTGAGGTAAACTGACACTTACCATGTGAAATACTGTATTGTGAGTTTGGTGAAAATAAAGATGTTTCAGAGTACTTAAAAGATTACAGTCTAGTAGGGGAGAAAAATTGACAATTTCAATCATAACCTTTTGTGATGATCAATAATGAATGAGGCTTTTTTTGGGTGTCATTTTCTCCCTTCCTTCCTTCTATAAATAATAATGAGGCATGAGTGTCAAATCCTCCCTTCTATAAATGACAAAACAGGCTGAGATTGGTTAGGCAACTAAGCTAATAAGCAGCAAGGCAAGAATCATACCTAGGTCTGGCTCCAAACCTGACTCCAAAACCATTTCCCTTTTATTCACTCTGACTATATATTATTTATGTTATATAAGGTAGATGAGCATTCCATTCTGACTATACATTGCTTGTGTTACATAATTTTAGATGAGACTGCCATTCTTGATGTCACAGACATCCTCCTATCACCTGGAAAATCCAGGTAACCTATAGTAGGATAGGATTCATGTGAAGTGATATAATACTCTGAATAAGACCTCAGAAGGTGTATGTGTCCAGAGATTTGTCCATTTATTCTAGGCATTCCAGTTTGTTAGTTTATAATAGTCTCTGATAATCCTTTGTGCTTCTGTGGCATCTGTTATGATGTCTCCTTTTTCATTTCTGATTTTGTTCCTTTGGGTATTTTCTTGGGTATTCTAGCTAGTGGTTTATCAATTTTGTTTATCAATCAAAAAGATAAACAAAGAGAATCAACTTTTTGTTTTACTGACACTCTGTATTGATTTTTTGGTCTCTATTTCATTTAGTTCTGCTTTGATATTTGTTATTTTGTTTCTTGTACTCATTTGGGGTTTGGTTCTTGCTTTTCCATTTCTTTGAGGTGTATTGTTAGATTGTTTATTTTATTTTATTTTATTTTATTCAGATAAGATCTTTCTCTGTTGCCCAGGCTGGAGTGCAGTCGTGCAATCATGGCTTACTGCAGCTTTGACCTCCCAGGCTCAAGTGATCCTCCCACATCTTCCGGCCAAGCAGCTGGGACTTTAGTTGTGTACCACTACTCCCAGATAATTTTCTTATTTTTATTTTTGTAAAGACAGGGTCTTGCTTTTTTTTCCCAAGCTAGTCTCAAACTCTTGGGCTCAAGAAATCCTCCTACTTCAGCTTCCCAAAGTGCTGGGATTACCAGGTGAGCCACTGTGCCCAGTCTTTTTCTACTTTTTTGATGTAGGTGTTTATTGCTATAAACTTCCTTCTTAGCACTGTTTTGCTGTATCCCATAGGTTTTGGTACATTGTATTTTGATTTTCATTTGTTTCCAGAAATGCATTTTCTCCTTTATTTCTTCCTTGACCCAATGGTCATTCATGAACATTTTGTTTGTTTGTTTATTTATTTTGAGACAGAGTCTTGTTTCCTCACCCAGGCTGAAGTGCAGTGGCCATGATCTCGGCTCACTGCAACTTCTGCCTCCCGGGTTCAAATGAGTCTCCTGCCTCAGCCTCCTGAGTAGCTGGGATTACAGTCACCCACCACCATGCCCGGCTAGCTTTTTTGTATTTTTAGTAGAGAGGGGGTTTCACCATGTTGATCAGTCTGGTCTTGAACTCCTGACCTCAAGTGATGCACCAACCTCGGCCTCCCAAAGTGCTGGGATTACAGGCATGAGCCACCACGCCCAGTGAGCATTTTGCTTAATTTCCATATTTCTGTACAGTTTCTAAATTTCCTCTTGTTATTGATTCCTAGTTTTATTCAATTGTGGGCTGAGGAGATACTTGATAAGATTTATTTTTAAAATTTTTTTATTTGTAAAAATTTATAAGTTACATGTGAAATTTTGTTACATGTATATAATGTGTAGTGATCGAGTCAGGGTATTTAGGGTGTCACTCAAGTACAATTTTTTTTAAACTACAGTTACACTTCTCTGCTGTCAAGCATTAAATTTATTCCTTCTATGATTTGTACATCTTAATCCACTATTTTTTATCCTCCACCCTCAGCCCCAATCATCCTTCTCAGTCTCTGTTATCTATCTTTCCACTCTATATCTCCATGTGATAAAATTTTCCAGCTCCCATATGTAAGTGAGAACATGCAATATTTATGTTTTTGTGCCTGGCATATTTCATACGTTCTTCAGTCCCAACCTTGTTGCTGAAAATAACATGATCTCATTGTTTGTTTTTAATGGCCAAAAAGTATTTCATTGTGTATATATTGTACACTTTTTTATTCATTCACCTGTTGTTGCACACTTAGGTTGATTCCATATCATTGTGTTTTTGAATACTGCTTCATTAAACATGAGAATGCAGGTATCCCACTGATATATTATTTTTTTCCTTTGGGTAGATACCCAATAGTAGAATTGCTGGAACCTGAGCAGAGTCTGGCACCATGCTTCATGTAAATCCTACAGAATAATGAGCCAATTAAACCTCTTTTCTTTAAAAATTACCATCTCATATATTTCTTCGTAGAAGTGCAAGAATTGCATAGCACTCCCACTTATTTATCATTTTCTTTATTTGGACATTCTCTTTTCTTTTGTTGGTTACTCTAGTTAGCACTTTATCAATCTTGTTTATCTTTTTGAACAACCATCTTTTTTGTTTTATGAATCCTCTGTTTTTTTTACTGTCTACATAATTTAGTCCTGCTCTGGTCTATGTTATTTCTTTTCTTCTCATAATGTTGGGCTTGGTGTGTTCTTGTTTTCTTAGTTCATTGCAGTGCATTGTTAGATTGCTAATTTGTAATCTTTTATACTTTTTTTTAATATAGGCATTTATTGCTATAAAGTTTAGTCTGAGCACTGCTCTTGCTGTGTCTCACAAGTTTTGGTATGTTGTGTTTCCATTTTGATTTGTTTCAACAAATTTTTTGACTTCTATCTTAATTACTCTGTTGATCCCATGGTTATTCAGAACCTGTTGATTAATTTACGTGTATTTATATGGCTTCCAATGTTTCTCATGCTATTTATCTCTAGTTTTATTCCATTTGGTCTTATAGTATACTTTATATGATTTTAATTTTTTCAATATGTTGAGATCTTTTCGTGGCTTAACCTACAGTGTAAAATTCTGGAGAATGTTCTACGTGCTGATAAAAAATTTATGCTCAGTAGTTCTTAGATATAAAGTTCCATAAATGTCTATGAGGTTCCTTTGGTCTAAAGTGCGGTTTAAATCCAATTATTCTTTTTTAAATTTCTGCCTAGATTATGTGTTTAATTCTTAGAGTAGTATGTTAAAGTCCTCAACTAGTAGAGTATTGAAATCTTTTCTTTGACTTACATATAATATGTGCTTTATACATCTGGGTGTTCCAGTGTTTGGCACATATATGTTCATAAAATCTGAATAGACTAATAATGAATAATGAGATTACATCAGTAATAAGATGCCTCCCAAAATAGAAAACTCTAGGAATAGTTGGCGTCACTACCAAGTTCTTCCAAACTTTTAAAGAACTAACACTGCACTTTTCCAAAAAATTGAGGAGGATGGATTCTTCCTAACTCATCCTATGATGCCAAGGTTACTACAATACTGAAACCAGACAAAGAAGCTAAAAAAAGGAAACTACAGGTCAATATTTCTAATAAATATAGATGCAAAAACAGTCAGGCTCCTCTGCTACAGGCATGCTGGAGTTTGCTGGAGGTCCACTCCAGACCCTGGTTGCCTTTGTATCACCAATGGAGGTTGCAGAACAGCAAAGATTGCTGCCTGTTCCTTCCTCTGCAAAGTTTGTCCCCAAGGGGCACCTGCCAGATGCCAGCTGAAGCTCTCCTGTATGAGGTATCTGTTGACCCCTGCTGGGAGGTGTCTCCCAGTCAGGAGGAATGGGGTTCAGAGACCCACTTGAGGAGGCAGTCTGTCCCTTAGCAGAGCTCGAGCGCTGTGCTGGGAGATCTGCAGCTTTCTTCAGAGCCAGCAGGCAGGAAGGTTTAAGTCTGCTGAAGCTGCACCCACAGCTACCCCTTCCCCCAGGTGCTCTCTTTCTGCACAGCAAAAGAAACTAACAGAGTGAACCAGCAATCTACAGAATGTGAGAAAATTTTTGCAATCTATCCATATGACAAAGGGCTAATATCCATAATTTACAAAAAACTTAAACAAATTTACAAGAAAAAAGCTTTCCCATCAAAAAGTGGGCTAAGGATATGAACAGACACTTCTTAAAAGAAGACATTTATACGGCCAAATAACATATGAAAAAAATCTCATCATCACTGGTCATTAGAGAAATGCAAGTCAAAACCACAATGAGATACCATCTCATGCCAGTTTGGCGATCTTTAAAAAGTCAGGAAACAACAGGTGCTGGAGAAGATGTGGAGAACTAGGAATGCTTTTACACTGTTTGTGGGAGTGTAAATTAGCTCAACCATTGTGGAAGACAGTCTGGTGATTCCTCAAGGATCTAGAACCAGAAATGCCATTTACCCAAAGGATTATAAATCATGCTACTATAAAGACACATGCACGTGTATGTTTATTGCAGCACTGTTCACAATAGCAAAGACTTGGAACCAACCCAAATGCCCATCAATGATAGACAGGAAAAAGAAAATGTGACACACATATACACTATGGAATACTATGCAGCCATAAAAAAAGGATGAGCTCGTCCCCTTTGCAGGGACATGGATGAAGCTGGAAACCATCATTCTCAGCAAACTAACACAAGAACAGAAAACCCAATACTGCATGTTCTCACTCATAAGTGGGAGTTGAACAATGAGAACACATGAACACAGGGAGAGGAATGTCACACACTGGGACCTGTCAGGGAGTGGGGGGAGGGATAGCATTAGGAGAAATACCTAATATAGATGACGGGTTGGTGGGTGCAGCAAACCACCATGGCACATGTATACCTATGTGACAAACCTGTACATTCTGCACATGTATCCCAGAACTTAAAGTATAACAAAAAAATAAATAAATAAAAACAAAATGAAATTCAGAAATTGCCACAGTACATTATCTACAAAACATCCTACATTTATATTTGTCCAATTGTCTTAACACTATCTTTTTTAAAAATCTTACTTTTCCAATTTGAGATCACACATTGAATTTAGTTATCATGGGTCTTTATTCATCTTTATTCTGGAGCAGTTCCTTAGCCTGTCACTGGCATTAATTCTTTGACATATTTGAATAATGTAGGCCCTTAATTTTGTAAGATGTTTATAAATTTGGTTTCTTCTGATTATTTCTTACAATTAGATTCAGGTGATGCATTCTTGTCAGGGACATCATAGATTTGTTGCTCAGATTAATGTTGGCTATTTGATTATGATGGTGTCTACCATATATCTGCACTCTACAGGTAATATTCCCCACTCTTGAAATTAATAAGTGGTAAGTGAAAAGATATTTTGAGACTAAAAATATTCTGTTTGTCAAACTTTTATCCAGTGGTTTTAGGATCCATTGATGAGCTATGTATGAATTAAGTATTATTTGATGGTTTCAAAACAATGACTTTCTAAATCCATTATATATATGATTATATATATGATATATGATATATAACATATATATGATTATATAATATATATAATCATACGTGTAATGTTGTTCTAGGACCTGTTGCTTCTAGGATCTCTTAGTGAACAAAATTATAAAACATTTTTGGGGGATATTGGAAGAGCTTTCCTTACCATGGTCTCATTACTTACATACCCCCCTCCAGTTTCCCGCCAGCCATACTAACTTACAGCAGCATGTCCTTGCCTTCTTCACTGTAGCTTCTTCTAACTGGAATTCCCTTACTTAATGGCCTGCCTCGAAAACACGTAACTCTCCATTTGTCAGTTTCAGCAACATCTCTTCTCTAAAGTTTCTTAAGATCCCCTCATTAGCACTGGACATTCCCTTCTTTAATTTCCCTGCTGTACCCAAAACAGACACGATTCCAGCATTTAGGAAACTTTATTGCACTTATCCATTTACATGTCCTAATTTTCCAGTAACATAAAAGCAAGAAGCAAATATTACCATTTTAGTAAGACCAACAGTTAGAGAAGGAAATAAAAGTAGAAAGAATAACTAAATGAGTCAATAAATTCCCCAGTTGTTTCTCTGCTTGTCTGCTGGTGCTTGATTTCACCCAATTAATAGAAACACCACCACACGAACACAAACACACACACACATTAACCTTGCAGAAGGTCCTCCTAAAACTTTCCTGGACAGACCCAGCCCCCAAAAGTTTTCTCCAAGTACTGGGCCACAGCCAGGGTCAGATGATCATTAAAGGGTCCAGCCACAACCTGGATGCCTAAAGGGAGTCCTTTGGCATTCAGTCCCAGTGGGCATTGGGTCACAGGCAAACCCAGGGCACTGAAGACACCTGAAGAAAACAAACAAAATAAGTGAGAAATCAAGACCTGTTCCTGAAAACGTATTTTTTCAATTATTTTACCAATAATAAATAGGTGAAAATATATAATTATAATTTACTATCTACTTAGGACTTAATAATATTTAGGAACTTTATCTGTATTAAATATTTGACATCACAACAAGCTCATAATATAGAAGCTATTAATTATCACTATTTTTCTGATGAAATGACTGAAGAATAGAGAAGTTAGATAACATATCCAAGATCACTTGGCTAGCAAAAGCTGTAATTGAAATCTGAATGCAGAAAGTGTGAATAATAGCCTAAAGTTCTTTCACATGACGTTATTTCTAATTTGTTTTCCATAGCACTTTCAGAAAAATCAGAGTAAATTATAAAGTAGAATAATATATTCTTAAATATATGGATTTTCTTTTAAGCTATAAACATTTTGTAATATCATTTCACACTAATCTAGAGTTGTGATTTGTCATTATTTACCTCATTCATGCTGTTATAAAACTTTATTGCAGCATAATTTATATAAAATAAGATTCCCCGTTTCAAATGTACAGTTTAATGATTGCTAATAAATTTACAGAATTGTGCAAGCATCACCACAATCTAGAAATCTCCATTTCTCTATTCCCCCAATCCCCAGTATCCAGTAATTAAATTTTTATCCATATAGATTTCCTATTCTGAACACTTTCTAGAAATTGAATTATATAATATGTAACATTTTTTGTCTGATTTCTTCCACTCTGCACAATGTTTTCAAGGTTTATATAAATGGTTCTTTTATGGACAAAGACTATTCCATTGAATAAATATACCAAATTTTGATTATCTATTCACCAGTTACTGGACAGTTGGACTAATACTTTTGGCTATTACTAATTATGCTGCAAAAATCAGCAATATAATTACACATTTGTTTATGTCTTTGTATGAATATTTATTTTCATTTCTTGAGCATATATATACATATAAAGATGAATGAAATAGTTGAGTCTTATGACAAATTTACATTTAACATTTTAAGAAAATGCCAAATTGTTTTCCAAAGAGTCTGCACCAATGTGACAACAGTCTTACCAGAAATGTATGAGGGTCCCAGTTACTCCACATGCTCATTAACCCTTATCCTTTTGGTTTATAACTATTTTAGTGAATGTGCATTGATAACTCCTTGTGATTTTAATATGCATTTCCCTAATGAGTAATTATATTGACCATTCTCTCACGCACTTATGGGCAATTAGTATGTTTTCTTTAGGGAAATATCTATTGAAATCCATTGTGCATTTTAAGTTGGGTTATCGTCTTATTATTGAGTTGTAAGAGTTTTTCATATGTTTGGAATATAAATCCCCAGGCGTTATATAATTTGCAAATATTCTCCCCTGGTCAGTGTCTTTCCTTTTTACTTTATTGTTATATTTTGAAATATAGTTTTTTTTTTTAATTTTGGCAAATTCTAATTTATCATGCTTTCTTTTATTGCCTGGGCTTTTGAAGCTGTATCTAGGAAACCTTTTATCTCAAGGTCATGAAGATGTACTCATGTTTCCTTATAAAAATATTAGAGTTTTAGCTTTTACATTTAGGTCTCCTATTTATTTTACATTAGTTTTTGTATACGGTGGGTGTGTGGAAAGGCTCCAACTTTATTCTTTTGCACGTAGATATCCAGTTGTCCTAGAACCATTTGATGAAAAGACTATTAATTCTTCATTGAACTGTCTTGAAACCTCCTTTATTAAAAGTAAATTGAGAGGAAAGTAAAGAGAGTGATGTCAGCAAGATAACGGAATAGGAGGAGTTCTGCAGTTCCAGTCCCCGTCACATAAATCCAACTACTAACTATCCGCAGATAAGAATACTTTCATGAATATCCCTGAATTTGGGAGATAGCCCCTCCAGCCACAGAACAGATAACAGCTGCATTCAAAGGGTAAGAGGAATGGTTTCATTTCGCATCACCCTCTCTCAAGCTGTAACAGTGCCAAAGAAGATTCCCCTGGGCTCTTGTTTCTGTAGGGGAAAAGAGAGCTGTAAACATATATCCAGCTTCCTCATCATTGTGGGGTGCTTTACAGGAAGCTCACTCTTGTCTCATTCCATGACAAACATTGGGAGTACCAGCAGAGCTAGGGCACCTGAGATTTGTTAGAAACAAAGAAAAAGGGTGGGGTTCACAATGATGAGCACATGGATTTTGGCAGTGGCTCTTCACTTTTGTCAATGAAGGTGCCAAATGATAGAAAACAGCCAACAGGACTGCCCTGCAGGAACCATAGTGCATGAGTTTGCTTAGCTGAAGTCCCTAGCCAGCTTCCTTATGTAATGTCATTTCTCTCCTTGAGCCTTTTCCAGGCTGGGAGGCAACTGTAGAGCATCTGGCCCCACCCAACCCCACTGACTGTATGACAATCCCACTAACACTTAATATTCTCTTTAAGGCTTCCTCAGGCCAGAAGGCAAGTGCTGATCCATGAATATCTGTGAAAGGAAGTACCTAATGTGTCTTGTCCCAGGTGGCTGAACAGTAACCCCAGAGACCTCCTCGAGCCTAAGAGCACCAGCACATGGCCCTGACTGACTACAGATTCCAAACAGCAGTACTGTTTTACTGGGGAAGGCAGCATGCAATGCAATCTGATCAGAGGTGATTGCAAAGGATAGCCATCAGCACTGCCAAATTAAAACCCAGCTAGTTGTCTCATCAGACTACAAAGCACAGCTCACCATTCCACTCAACCTCAAACTATAGGCAGCAGCTCACCCCAGCTAGAGAACCCAAGAGCAAGGTCAGCTGTCCAGGGTTGCTATCAGTTGGTCCACCAAAAATCCCAGGTTAGAATAAATACTGAAAGATTATCATTGCCAAAGAACACCTACAAAGGCTGAAAGAGGTGGCCATGTACCCAAACACATAGGCACCAAAACAAGAACACAAAAATTACAAATAATTTTTTAAAATCACAAAATAAACTAATAAACCTCTAATTATGGACCCTGAATAAATAGAGATCTATGAAATGACTGATAATGAATTCAGAAGTAGTTAAGGAATGTTATAAGTAGAATTATTTAAGGAAAGGTAAGGTAGTTAAAGAAAGTATAAGAAAAAATAATGAAGAAGGTCTGAGAATTATGGGACGCTATCAAAATAACCAATGTTTAAGTAACAGAAGTTATGCCATCCCTCCTTCCCCTGGGCTAGGGAGGAAATGGGAAAGCTAGGCACTTCTGCAGCCTTCAGCACAGATACCACAGCTGAAGTACAAAGAAGCAACAGGTTTGCTGCATGCCACACAACTCCCCACTTATACTGCTTCACACCAAATGGGGTTTGCAGGCTCCAGGTCACCAGTGCACCTTCCCCTGCCCCTGCTTGAAGACTGTGGCCATGGCTTGGCATTTCTTTGATAGCCCAAATCCCACAGATTGCTGCCAACCATTTTGCAGCCACCACTGCCACTAACTTTGCCCCTGACACCTCTGGGCCAGGGAGAGAGTAGGGAGGCCTGGCACCTACCTGTGCATGCCTCCCACAACAAAATCCAACACTGCATCTGTAGGAGGAAAGTGTGGGTGTAACACGTGCCTCACAGCTCCCACTTTCCATTTTTCCAACTTTGGGGACTTGCCCTACCCAATGAAAGGTCCACATCATGGCTGGCTTGCCCCCAACTGAATATTTCAGCTGCAGCCCAGAGCCTCTTGGAGAGCCCAATAACCACAGGCCAGTTATCCACCCTCAGGTTCCCACCACCTGACTGGTCTGCCTGACCTGCCTGAGAGTTCAGCCAGTGACCCAGGGACCAACCCAACTCTCCCCATTACACAGACAGCACTGAACTCTGGGCTGGCTCAACCCAGGTCCAGCCCCTTCAGGACTCGTAAATGTCATCCAATTGGCCATCTAGGGGCCTGGAGACTGGTGAGCTACCTAGCCCAGTCTAACACAGCTAGTACCTATCCAGTCCTCCTGGCACCTGAGGTCAGACTAACCTAACTAGCTTACACCACCACAAATGACACTCACCACATGGGCTGAAAGGCAGACCTCTCACTTCCACGAAGCAGCAACACTAATATGTCAAAGAAGATGTGAGCCATAAAGCTGTCTGTATTTGGGTTGAGTGAGTAAATATATTCTGCTTCAAAAACACCTCCATGGAGAGTTGCAAGAGAGGCATTCTCCCTGGCTCTCAGACACACTGTGGCCTGGAGAGACAACAACGTGCATCTGAAGTGTACATGATGAGCCCTACAACAAGGGCGTGAAAAGGGAACAGATTGTGTTCCTGCCTATTTACGACATGAAGGCAGTGCATCCCCCTCACTTCCAGCAGAGGCCTAAGTGTTTGTACCAGGAGTTCCCCCAGCCACCCCTATCAAGACTAGTGCCTGTAGTCATCATTGGAGTATTTGTGGGCAAGCCAAAGGGTCCAAATCAGATCAGGTGTGTCTCCCCAGCCACAGTTAAGAAGCAAGCTCAGGGCATAGGGAACACCACGATCTAGCTCATTACCTGAAACAACAGAGATGAAATACCCATCTTCTTGTGCCACATCTGTGTCTTACCCTTAAGTGCTACCCCCTGGCCAGCAGGTCAAAGTGAAAAGCGCAATAAAAAAGTTGCCAGTGGCTGGGCGCAGTGGCTCATGTCTGTAATCCCAGCACTTTGGGAGGCCGAGGCGGGTGGATCACTTGAGGTCAGGAGTTCGAGACCAGCCTGACCAACATGGAGAAATCCCGTCTCTACTAAAAATACAAAATTAGCTGGGTGTGGTGGCACATGCCCATGCCTGTAATCCCAGCTACTTGGGAGGCTGAGGCAGGAGAATCGCTTGAACTCGGGAGGTGGAGCTTGTGGTGAGCTGAGATTTATTGTGCGCCATTGCATTCTGGCCTGGGAAATAAGAGCGAAACTCCGTCTCAAAAAAAAAAAAAAAAAAAAAAAAAAAAAAAAGTTGCCCCCAGTGCACAGGAAATAGGAGCAGAGCCAAGGACTCTACCCAGAATACTACACAGTAACATTCTCAGGAGGGAGGAAGAAAAAATAGGGAAAGAAAAATACCATCTGAACAAAAATAAATTTCAAAAGTAAGTGACAATACCTCCAGATGAGAAGAACTCGGCATAAGAAATCTGGCACCATGAAAAAGCTGAATGTTGTGATATCAACAAGAGTCAAACTAGCTTTCTAGCAATGGACCTTAACCAAAATGGAAACTCAGAAATGACAGATAAAGAATTCAAACTGTGGATTGTCAGGATGCTCCACAAGATCCAAGACAAGACTGAAAACCAACCAAAAAGAAAATATGAGGGCAATTCAGGATATGAAGGAAGAGATAAATATATTTTTTTAAAAAATCAAACAGGACTTCTGGAAATGAAAAATTCACTTAAGGAATTTCAAAATAAAGTTGAACACTTTAATAATAGACTAGACCAAGTAGAAGAAAGAATTTCAGAGATTGAAGATCAGTCTCTCAAACTAAACTGGTCAGACAAAAATAAAGAAAAAAATAATTTTAAAAAATGGAACAAAGTCTTTGTGAAATATGGGATTATGTAAAGCAACAAAACCTATAACATATTGGCATTTCTAAGAGAGAGGAAGAAAAACATAAACAACCTTGAAAACATACGTGAGGAAATAATTCAGGAACATTTTGCTAATCTTGCTAGAAAGATATCCACATACAAGAAACTCAGAGAACACCTGTGAGATATTATTTAAAATAAACATTATGAAGGTATATAGTGATCAGACTATCTAAAGTAAATAATAAAGAAGAAAACATTAAAGATAGGTAGAGAAAAGGATCAAAGCACCTATAAAACAAAACCAATCAGGCTAAGAGTGGACTTCTCTGCAAAAATCCCAAAACTCAGAAGAGACTGGGGGCTATTTTAACTCCTTTAAAAAATAAAAACCTGCAGCCAAAAATTTTATATCCTGCCAAACTCTTTCATAAATGAAGGAGAAATAAAATATTTCCCAGACAAGCAAAAAAAAAAAAAAAAAAAAATTGAGGGAATGAAGCCAAGATGGCCGAATACAAGCAGATCTGGTCTGCAGCTCCCATTGAGACCAACGCAGAAGGTGGATGATTTCTGAATTTTCAACTGAGGTACCCAGTTCATCTCGTAGGGACTGGTTAGGCAGTGGGTCCAACCCACAGGAGGGTGAGCAGAAGCAGGGTGGGGCATTGCCTCACCCAGGAAGTACAGGAAGTTGGGGGACCTCCCTCTCCCAGCCAAAGGAAGCTATGAAGGACTGCGCTACCCAGCTAGGTTACTATGCTTTTCCCATGGTTTTCACAATCTGCAGATCAGAAGATTCCCTTGTGTACCTACACCACCGGGGCCCTGAGTTTCAAGCACAAAACTGGGTGGCTGTTTTGACACTGAGATAGCTGCAGGCATATTTTTGTCATATCCCAGTGGCACCTGGAACCCCAGTGACACCTGGAACCTGAGTGAGACACAACTGTTCACTCTCCTGGAAAGGGGTCTGAAGCCAGGGAGCCTAGTGTTGTTGCTCAGCAGGTCCCACTGCCAGGGAGTCCAGCAAGCTAAGAACCACTGGCTTGAAATTCATGCAGCCAGCACAACAGTCTGAGGTTAACCTGGGACAATTGAGCTTGGTGGGGGGAGGGGCATTCACCATTACTGAGGATTTGGTAGGCAGTTTTCCCCTGAAAGCACTGAGGAGGCTGGGAGGTCTGGGCTGGGCACAGCAAAGTGGCTGTGGCCAGACTGAATCCCTAGATTCTTCCTCAGTGGGTAGGGCATCCCTGAAGGAAAGGTAACAGCCCCAGTCGGGTGCTTACAGACAAAACTACCATCTCCCTGGGACAGAGCATCTGGGGGAAGGGGTAGCTGTGGGAGCAGCTTCAGCGGATTTCATCATTCTGGCCTGCTGGCTCTGAAGAGAACAACTAATCCTGACAAGAGGGATTCTCCCAGCACAGTGCACCAGCTCTGCCAAGGGACCGAATGCCACCTCAGCTGGGTCCCTGACCTTGTGCATCCGACTGGGAGAGACCTCCCAACAGGGGTCGAAGGACACTTCATACAAGACAGCTCCAGCTGGCATCAGGTTGGTGCCCCTCTGGGACAAAGCTTCCAGAGGAAGGAGCAGGCAGCAATATTTGCTGTTCTACAGCCTCCACTGGTGATACCCAGGAGAACAGGGTCTGGATTGGACGTCCAGCAACCGCAGCAGACCTGCAGAAGAGAGGCCTGACTGTTAGAAGAAAAACTAATAAACAGAAAGCAACAACATCGACATCAACATAAAGAACCCCACACAAAAACCCCATCCAAGGTTATCAGCTTTAAAGATCAAAGGTAAATAAATACATGAAGATGAGGAAAAAAAACAGCACAAAAGCACTGAAAATTCCAAAAACCAGAAAGCCTCTTCTCCAAAAGATTGCAACTCCTCTCCAGCAAGGGCACAAAACTGGATAGAGAATGAGATTGACAAATTGACAGAAGTAGGCTTCAGTATGTAGGTAATAACAAACTCCTCTGAGCTAAATGAGCATGTTCTAACCCAAGGCAAGGAACCTAAAAACCTTGATAAAAGGTTACAGGAAATGCTAACTTAAATAACCAACTTAGAGAGGAATATAAATGACATGATGGAGCTGAAAAAAAGCATGAGAACTTCGTGAAGCATACAAAAGTAACAATAGCCAAATAGATCAAGTGGAAGAAAGGATATCAGAGATTGAAAATCACCTTACTGAAATAAGGCAAGATTACAAGATTAGAAAAAAAAAAGAGTGAAAAGGAAAAAAAAACAAAGCCTCCAAGAAATATGGGACTATGTGAAAATAACAAACCTACGATCGACTGGGGTCCCTGAGGGTGATGGGGAGAATGGAATCAAGTTAGACAGCACACTTCAGGATATTATCCAGGAAAATTCCCCAACCTAGCAAGACAGGCCAACATTCAAATTCAGGAAATACAGAAAACACCATTAAGATACTCCTCAAGAAGAGCAACCCCAAGACACCTAATCGCCAGATTCTCCAATATTGAAATGAAGGAAAAAATGTTAACAGCAGCCAAAAAGAAAGGTCAGGTTACCTACAAAGGGAAGCCGAACAGACCAATAATGGATTAATCTGCAGAAACCCTACAAGCCTAAAGACAGTGGGGGCAAACATTCAACTTTCTTAAAGAAAATCGTTTCCAAACCAAAATTTCACATCCAAACAAACTAAGCTTCATAAGGGAAGGAGAAATAAAATCTTTCAAAGACAAACAAATACTGAGAAACTTTGTCACCACCAAACCAGCCTTAAAAGAGCACCTGAAGGTTTTCGACGTGCTGCTGGATTCGGTTTGCCAGTGTTTTATTAAGGATTTTTGCATCAATGTTCATCGAGGATATTGGTCTAAAATTCTATTTTTTGGTTGTGTCTTTGCCCGGCTTTGGTATCAAGATGATGCTGGCCCCATAAAATGAGTTAGGAAGGATTCTCTCTTTTTCTATTGATAGGAATAGTTTCAGAAGGAATGGTACCAGTTCCTCCCTGTACCTCTGGTAGAATTCGGCTGTGAAACCATCTGGTCCAGGACTCTTTTTGGTTGGTAAGCTATTGATTATTGCCACAATTTCAGAGCCTGTTATTGGTCTATTCAGAGAGTCAACTTCTTCCTGGTTTAGTCTTGGGAGGGTGTATGTGTCGAGGAATTTATCCATTTCTTCTAGATTTTCTAGTTTATTTGCATAGCGGTGTTTGTAGTATTCTCTGATGGTAGTTTGTATTCCTGTGGGATTGGTGGTGATATCTCCTTTATCATTTTTTATTGCGTCTATTTGATTCTTCTCTCTTTTCTTCTTTATTAGTCTTGCTAGTGGTCTATCAATTAAAACTTATCCACCATGATCAAGTGGGTTTCATCCCTGGGATGCAAGGCTGGTTCAGTATACGAAAATCAATAAATAAACAGAACCAAGACAAAAACCACATGATTATCTCAATAGATGCAGAAAAGGCCTTTGACAAAATTCAACACCTCTTCATGCTAAAAACTCTCAATAAATTAGGTATTGATGGGACGTATCTCAAAATAATAAGAGCTATCTATGACAAACCCACAGCCAATATACTAAATAGGCAAAAACTGGAAGCATTCCCTTTGAAAACTGGCACAAGACAGGGATGCCCTCTCTCACCACTCCTACTCAACATAGTGTTGGAAGTTCTGGCCAGGGAAATTAGGCAGGGGAAGGAAAAAAAGGGCATTCAATTAGGAAACGAGGAAGTCAAATTGTCCCTGTTTGCAGATGACATGATTGTATATCTAGAAAACCCCATTGTCTCAGCCCAAAATCTCCTTAAGCTGATAAGCAACTTCAGCAAAGTCTCAAGATACAAAAATCAACGTACAAAAATCACAAGCATTCTTATATACCAATAACAGACAAACAGAGAGCCAAATCATGAGTGAACTCCCATTCACAATTGCTTCAAAGAGAATAAAATACCTAAGAATCCAACTTACAAGGGACGTGAAGGACCTCTTCAAGGAGAACTACAAACCACTGCTCAATGAAATAAAAGAGGATACAAAAAAATGGAAGAACAATCCATACTCATTGGTAGGAAGAATCAATATCGTGAAAATGGCCAAACTGCCCAAGGTCATTTATACATTCATTGCCATCCCCATCAAGCTACCAATGTCTTTCTTCACAGAATTGGGAAAAACTACTTTAAAGTTCATATGGAACCAAAAAAGAGCCCACATTGCCAAGTCAATCCTAAGCCAAAAGAACAAAGCTGGAGGCATCATGCTACCTGACTTCAAACTATACTACAAGGCTACAGTAACCAAAACAGCATGGTATTGGTACCAAAACAGAGATATACATCAATGGAACAGAACAGAGTCCTCAGAAATAATGCCACATATCTACCACTATCTGATCTTTGACAAACCTGAGAAAAGCAAGAAATATGGAAAGGATTCCCTATTTAATAAATGGTGCTGGGAAAACTGGCTAGCCATATGTAGAAAACTGAAACTGGATCCCTTCCTTACACCTTATACAAAAATTAATTCAAGATGGATTAAAGACTTAAACGTTACACCTAAAACCATAAAAACCCTAGAAGAAAACCTAGGCATTACCATTCAGGACATAGGCATGTGCAAGGACATCATGTCTAAAACACCAAAAGCAATTACAACAAAAGCCAAAATTGACAAATGGGATCTAATTAAACTAAAGAGCTTCTTTAGCAAAAGAAACTGCAATCAGAGTGAACAGGCAACCTACAAAATGGGAGAAAATTTTCACAACCTACTCATCTGACAAAGGGCTAATATCCAGAATCTACAATGAACTCAAACAAATTTACAAGAAAAAAACAAACAACCCCATCAAAAAGTGGGCAAAGGACATGAACAGACACTTCTCAAAAGAAGACATTTATGAAGCCAAAAAACACATGAAAAAATGCTCACCATTACTGGCCATCAGAGAAATGCATATCAAAACCACAATGAGATACCATCTCATACCAGTTCGAATGGCAATCATTAAAAAGTCAGGAAACAACAGGTGCTGGAGAGGATGTGGGGAAATAGGAACACTTTCACACTGTTGGTGGGACTATAAACTAGTTCTACTATTGTGGAAGACAGTGTGGTGATTCCTCATGGATCTAGAACTAGAAATAGCATTTGACTCAGCCATCCCATTACTGGGTATATACCCAAAGGATTATAAATCATGCTGCTGTAAAGACACACGCACATGTATGTTTATTGTGGCACTATTCACAGTAGCAAAGACTTGGAACCAACCCAAATGTCCAACAATGATAGACTGCATTAAGAAAATGTGGCACACATACACCATGGAATACTATGCAGCCATCAAAAGGATGAGTTCATGTCCTTTGTAGGGACACGGATGAAGCTGGAAACCATCATTCTCAACAAACTATTGGAAGGACAGAAAACCAAACCCTGCATGTTCTCACTCATAGGTGGGAATGGAACAATGAGAACACTTGGGCACAGGAAGGGAAACATCTTACACCGGGGCCTGTTGTGGGGTTGGGGGAGCGGGGAGGGATAGCATTAGGAGATATACCTAATGCAAATGACGAGTTAATGGGTGCAGCACACCAACATGGCAAATGTATACATGTGTAACAAACCTGCACATTGTGCACATGCACCCTAGAACTTAAAGTATAATAATATATATAAAAAGAAAATTTAGAACATAGCAATAAACAAAAGAAAGTATAAATCAAAACAAAAACAGCCACAGTAAATGTTTTAGTTTATAGTAGTCCAGATTTTTTTCTACTAAGTAAATATATGATTATTAAAAGCTGTACCCATTACAGCTTAATATCCTGCTTTGTTGATGAAATAATTTTTCATGAATATGTAGCAGTGTAATTATATTATTGTGTCTTTTAAGCCAATACTATAACATAAATAACATATTATTAAAAATTAAAAAACAAATAACTAAGATCAGAGCAGAACTGAAAGAGATTGAGACATGAAAAACCCTTCAAAAAAATCAATGACTCCAGGAACAGGTTTTTTGAAAAGATTAACAAAATAAATAGATCACTATATAGACTAATAATGAAAAAAATAGAGAACAAACAAATAGACATAATAAAAAATGATAAAGGCGATATCACCACTGATTCCACAGAAATACAAATTACCATCAGAGAATACTGTAAACACCTCTATGCAAATAAACTAGAAAACACAGAGGAAATGGATAAATTCCTGGACACATACACCCTCTGAAGACTAAACCAGGAAGAATTAGAAACCCTGAATAGACCAATAACAAATTCTGAAATTGAGGCAGTAATTAAAAAAAAAAAAGTCCAAGAACATCAATTTAAAAAGCCCAGGACCAGACAGATTCACAGTCAAATTCTACCATATATACAAAGAGGAGCTGGTACCATTCCTTCTGAAACTATTCCAAACAATAGAATAAGAAGGCCTCCTCCTTAATGCATCTTATGAGGCCAGCATCTTCCTGATAACAAAACCTGGAAGAGACACAACAAAAAAGGAAAATTTCAGGCCACCATCTCTGATGTACATCAATGTGAAAATCCTCAATAAAATACTGGCAAAACGGACTCAGCAGCACATCAAAAAGCTTATAAACCATGATCAAGTCGGCTTCATCCCTGGGATGCAAGGCTGGTTCAATATATGAAAATCAAAACGTAATCCATCAGATAAACAGAACCAGTGACAAAATCCACATGATAGATGCAGAAAGGGCCTTTGATAAAATTCAACACCCTTTCATGCTAAAAGCTCTCAATAAACTAGGTATTGATGGAACACATCTCAAAATAATAAGAGCTATTTATGACAAACTTATAGCCGATATCATACTGAATGGGTAAAAGCTGGAAGCATTCCCTTTGAAACCCAGCAGAAGACAAGGATGCCCTCTCTCACCACTCCTATTCAACACAGTATTGGAAGTTCTGGCCAGGGAAATCAGGCAAGAAAAATAAATAAAGGGTATTCAAGTAGAAAAAGAGGAAGTCAAATTGTCTCTGTTTGCAGATGACGTTATTGTATATTTAGAAAACTTAATTGTCTCAGCTCAAAAACTCCTTAAGTTGCTGATAAGCAACTTCAGCAAAGTCTCAGGATACAAAATCGATGTACAAAAATCCCAAGCATTCCTATACACAAACAATAGACAAGCAGACAGCCAAATCATGATTGAACTCCCATTCACAATTGCTACAAAGAGAATAAAATACCTAGGAATACAACTTCCATTAGACGTGAAAGACCTCTTCAAGGAGAACTACAAAACACTGCTCAAGGAAATAAGAAAGGACATAAACAAATGGAAAAACAATTCAAGCTCATGGATAGGAAGAATCAATATCCTGAAAATGGCCATATTGCCCAAAGTAATTCATAGATTCAATGCTATTCCCATCAAGCTATCATTGACTTTCTTCACAGAATTAAAAATAACTACTTTAAATTTCATATGGAACCAGAAAAGAGCCCATTTAGCTACGGCAATCCTAAGCAAAAAGAACAAAGCTGGAGGAATCATGCTACCTGACTTAAAACTATACTACAAGGGTACAGTAACCAAAACAGCATGGCACTGGTATCAAAACAGATATATAGATCAATGGAACAGAACAGAGACCTCAGAAATAACACCACACAGCTACAACCATCTGATCTTCAATAAACCTGACAAAAACAAGCAATGGGGAAAGACGCACTATTTAATAAATGATGCTGAAAAAACTGGCTAGCCATATGCAGAAAACAGAAACTGAATCCCTTCCTTACATTTTATACAAAAATTAACTTAGTATGAATTAAAGGCTTAAATGTAAAACCCAAAACCATAAAAACCCAGAAGAAACCCTAGGCAATACCATTCTGGACATAGGCATGGGCAAATACTTCATGAATAAAACACCAAGAGCAATTGCAACAAAAGCTGAAGTTGACAAATGCAATCTAATCAAATTAAATAGCTTCTTCTCAGCAAAAGAAATTAGCATCAGAGTGAACAGATAACCTACAAAATGGAAAAAAAGATTTGCATGCTACCGATCTGACAAAGGTCTAATATCCACAATCTACAGGGAATTTAAATTTTCAAGAAAGATACAAAAAATCCCATCAAAAATTGGGTGAAGGATATGAACAGACACTTCTCAAAAGAAGACATTTATACGGCCAGCAGATATATGAAAAAATGCTCCTTATCACTGGTCATTAGAAAAACACAAATCAAAACCACAATGAGATACCATCTCACGCCAGTTAGAATGGCGATTATTAACAAACCAGGAAACAACAGATGCTGGTGTGCCTGTGGAGGAATAGAAATGCTTTTACACTTTTAAATTAGTTCAATGATTGTGGAAGACAATGTGGCAATTCCTCAATGATCTAGAACCAGAAATACCATTTGACCCAGAAATCCCATTACTGCATATATACCTGAAGGATTATAAATCATTCTACTATAAAGACACATGCACACATATGTTTATTGCAGCATTATTTACAATAGCAAAGACTTGGAACTAACCCAAATGTCAATCAGTGATAGACTAGGTAAAGAAAACATGGCACATATATATCATGGAATACTATGCAGCCATAAAAAAGAACAAGCTCTTGTCTTTTTCAGGAACATGGATGAAGCTGGCAGCCATAATTCTCAGCAAACTAACACAGGAACATAAAACCAAATACCACATGTTCTCACTCATAAGTGGGAGTTGAACAATGAGAACACATGGACACAGGGAGGGGAAAATCACACACTGAGGCCTGTTGGGGGCGGGGGACAAGGGGAGGGAGAGCATTTGGACAAATACCTAATAAATGCAGGGCTTAAAGCCTAAATGATGGGCGGATAGGTGCAGGAAACCACCATGGCACATGTATACCTATGTAACAAAGATGCATATTCTACACGTGTATCCCAGAAGTTAATGTAAAATTTTAAAAAAATCACCACTAGATTGGACATACAAAAAATGCTTAAATGAATTGTAAACATGAAAACAAATGGAAGATACTCACTGTCAGACAAAGACACATAAGTACAAAGTTCACAGATCACACAAAGCAATTACACAATGGAAACTCCAAAATAACTAACACTATTGTAATAGGAAGAAAACCTCACATATCAATATTAATCTTGCATGTAAATGGCATAAATACTCCACTTAAAGGATACAGAGTCACAAAATAAGACCCAACCATCTGCAGTCTACAAGAGACCCACCTACTGGCCAAAGGCACAATGAGACTCAAAGTAAAACGGTGGAAAAAGATACACCATGCAAATGAAAAACAAAAGCAAGCAGGAATAACCACTTTCATATCAGATAAAACAGACTTTAGATCAACAATGGTACTAAAATATAAATAAGGTCATTATATATTAAGAAAAGCTCCAATAAAAGAAGATTTATTTATTTAAATTATATATGCAACAGACACTGGAACATCCAGATTTATAAAAAATATACTTCTAGACCTAAGAAAATAGATTGATAGCAACATATCAATAGTGGGACTTTAACACCCCACTGATATCACTAGACAGATAATCAAGGCAGAAAATCAACAAGATTTAACTGGATTATAGATCAAATGGACGTAGTAGTCATTTACACTATAGCATACACAACAACCACAGAATATACATTCTGCTCACTTGTGCATGGAACATTCTCCAAAATTGAACATATGCTTGGCCAGAAAGCAAGTCTCAACGCATTCAAAAAGGTAAAATAATATCAAGTCTCTTCTCAGACCACAGTGGAATAAATTTAGAAAGCAATAACAAGAAAATCTCTCAAAACTATGCTAATACATGGAAACTAAACAACTTATTCTTAAATAATTTTTGGGTGAACAATGAAATTAAGGCAGAAATTTAAAAAAAATTGAAGTGTATAAAAACAGACACAATATAACAAAACATCTAAAACACAGCAAAAAAGTGCTAAAACGAAAGTTTATAGCATTAAATGCCTACATGAAAAGGAGAGAGAGCTCTAAAATTAACAAACTAATTCACACCTTAAGGAAATATAAAAACATGAACAAACCAAATCCAAAGCTAGCAGAAGAAAAGAAATAACATGGCCAGGATTAACTAAATAGGATTGAGACCACAAAAAGCTAAAAAGGATTAATGAAAGAAAATTTAGTTCTTTGAAAGCATTAGAAAAAAACTTGACAGACCCCTAGCAGGACTAATGAAAAAACAAAAAAGAAGCAGAGAAGATTCAAATAAGCACAATCAGAAATGATGAAGGTGATATTACAACTTATGCCATAGAAATACCAAAGACAATCAGGGACTAATATGGACAATTCTATGCACACAAACTAGAAAATCTAGAGAAAATTGATAGTTTCCTGGAAACATACAACTTCTCAAGATTGAACTAGCAAGAAATAGAAAACCTGAACAGACCACAAACAAGTAAAAAAAAAAATCTAGTCAGTAATACAAATCTTCCAACAAAGAGATCTAATCACTAATCTAATCAGTAATACAAATCTTCCAACAAACAAAAGAACAGGAACAGACAGATTCACAGTCAGGTTTTGCCAGATGTACAGAAAAGATCTGGTGTCATCCTACTGAGGCTATTCCAAAAAATCAAAGTGTAGGAATACCTCTCTAAATCATTGTACAAATCCAGTATCTCCACGATATTAAAAACATGAAAGAACACAAGAACAACAAAAAAACTACAGGACACTTGTTGATGGAGTTGTTTCTTTCTTGTAAATTTGTTTGAGCTCTTTGTAGATTCTGCATATTAGCCCTTTGTCAGATGAGTAGATTGCAAAAATTTTCTCCCATTTTGTAGGTTGCCTGTTCACTCTGATGGTAGTTTCTTTGGCTGTGCAGAAGCGCCTTAGTATAATTAGATTCCATTTGTCAATTGTGGCTTTTGTTGCCATTGCTTTTGGTGTTTTAGACATGAAGTCCTTGCCCATGCCTATGTCTTGAATGGTATTGCCTAGGTTTTCTTCTAAGCTTTCTATCATTTTAGGTCTAACATTTAAGTCTCTAATCCAACTTGAATTAATTTTTGTATAAGGTGTAAGGAAGGGATCCAGTTTCAGCTTTCTACATATGGCTAGCCAGTTTTCCCAGCACCACCTGTTAAATAGGGAATCCTTTCCTCATTTCTTGTTTTTGTCAGGTTTGTCAAAGATCAGATGGTTGTAGATGTGTGGTATTATTTCTGAGTGCTCTGTTCTGTTCCATTGGTCTGTATCTATGTTTTGGTACCAGCACCATGCTGTTTTGGTTACTGTAGCCTTGTAGTATAGTTTGAAGTCAGGTAGTGTGATGCCTCCAGCTTTGTTCTTTTGGCTTAGGGTTGACTTGGCAATGCGGGCTCTTTTTTGGTTTCATATGAACTTTAAAGTAGTTTTTTCCAATTCTGTGAAGAAAGTCATTTGTAGGTTGATGGGAATGGCATTGAATCTATAAATTACCTTGGGCAGTATGGCCATTTTCACGATATTGATTCTTCCTATCCATAAGCATGGAATGTTCTTCCATTTATGTGCATCCTCTTTTATTTCGTTGAGCAGTGGTTTGTAGTTCTCCTTGAAGAGGTCCTTCACATCCCTTGTAAGTTGGATTCCTAGGTATTTTATTCTCTTTGAAGCAATTGTGAATGGGAGCTCACTCATGATTTGGTTCTCTATCTGTTATGGGTGTATAAGAATGATTGTGATTTTTGCACATTGATGTTGTATCCTGAGACTTTGCTGAAGTTGCTTATCAGCTTAAGGAGATTTTGGGTTGAGACAATGGGGATTTCTAGATTTACAATCTTGTCATCTGCAAACAGGGACAATTTGACTTCCTCTTTTCCTAATTGAATACCCTTTATTCCTTTCTCTTGCCTCATTGCCCTGGCCATAACTTCCAACACTATGTTGAATAGGAATGGTGAGAGAGGTCATCCCTGTCTTGTGCCAGTTTCCAAAGGGAATGCTTCCAGTTTTTTCTCATTCAGTATGATATTGGCTGTGAGTTTGTTATAAATAGTTCTTATTATTTTGAGATACATTCCATCAATATCTGATTTATTGAGAGTTTTTACCATGAAGGGCTGTTGAATATTGTTGAAGCCCTTTTCTGCATCTATTGAGAAAATCATGTGTTTTTTGTCTTTGGTTCTGTTTAGATGCTGGATTACGTTTATTGATTTGCGTGTGTTGAAGCAGCCTTGCATCCCAGGGATGAAGCCCACTTGATCATGGTGGATAAGCTTTTTTATGTGCTGCTGGATTCGGTTTGCCAGTATTTTATTGAGGATTTTTGCATCAATGTTCATCAGGGATATTGGTCTAAAATTCTTTTTTGGTTGTGTCTCTGCCAGGCTTTGGTATTAGGATGATGCTGGCCTCATAAAATGAGTTAGGGAGGATTCGCTCTTTTTCTATCGATTGGAATAGTTTCAGAAGTAATGGTACCAGCTCCTCCTTGTACCTCTGGTAGAATTTGGCTGCGAGTCCATCTGCTCCTGGACTTCTTTTGGTTGGTAGGCTATTAATTATTGCCTCAATTTCAGAGCCTGTTTTTGGTCTATTCAGGGATTCATGTTCTTCCTGGTTTAGTCTTAGGGGGTGTATGTGTCCAGAAATTTATCCATTTCTTCTAGATTTTCTAGTTTATTTGCATAGAGGTGCTTATAGTATTCTCTGATGGTAGTTTGTATTTCTGTGGGATTGGTGTTGATATCCGCTTTATCATTTTTTATTGTGTCTATTTGATTCTTCTCTTTTCTTCTTTATTAGTCTTGCTAGTAGTCTATCAATTTTGTTGATCTTTTCAAAAAACCAGCTCCTGGATTCGTTGATATTTTGAAGGGTTTTTTGTGTCTCTATCTCCTTCAGTTTTTCTCTGATCTGAGTTATTTCTCTCCTTCTGCTAGCTTTTGAATGTGTTCGCTCTTGCTCCTATAGTTCTTTTAATTGTGATATTAGGGTGTCAAATTTCGATCTTTCCTGCTTTCTCTTGTGGGCATTTAGTGCTATAAATTTCCCTCTACACACTGCTTTAAATGTGTCCCAGAGATTCTGGTGTTTTGTGTCTTTGTTCTCATTGGTTTTGAAGAACATCTTTATTTCTGCCTTCATTTCATTATGTACCCAGTAGTCATTCAGGAGGAGGTTCTTCAGTTTCCATGTAGCTGAGTGGTTTTGAGTGAGTTTATTAATCCTGAGTTCTAGTTTGATTGCACTGTGATCTAAGAGACAGTTTGTTATAATTTCTGTTCTTTTACATTTGCTGAGGAGTGCTTTACTTCCAACTATGTGGTTAATTTTGGAATAGGTGAGGTGTGGTGCTGCGAAGAATGTATATTCTGTTGATTTGGGGTGAAGACTTCTGTGGATGTCTATTAGGTCCGCTTGGTGCAGAGCTGAGTTCAATTACTGGATATCCTTGTTAACTTTCTGTCTCACTGATCTGTCTAATGTTGACAGTGGGGTGTTAAAGTCTCCCATTATTATTGTGTTGGAGTGTAATTCTCTTTGTAGGTCTCTCAGGACTTGCTTTATGAATCTGGGTGCTCCTGTATTGGGTGCAGATGTATTTAGGATAGTTAGCTCTTCTTATTGAATTGATCACTTTTTTATTATGTAATGGCCTTCTTTGTCTCTTTTGATGTTTGTTGGTTTAAAGTGTGTTTCATCAGAGATCAGGATTGCAACCCCTGCCTTTTTTTGTTTTCCATTTGCTTGGTAGATCTTCCTCCATCCCTTTATTTTGAGCCAATGTGTGTCTCTGCATGTGAGATGGGTCTCCTGAATACAGCACACTGATGGGTCTTGACTCTCTATCCAATTTGTCAGTCTGTGTCTTTTAATAGGAGCGTTTAGCCCATTGACATTTAAGGTTAATATTGGTATGTGTGAATTTGATCCTTTCATTATGATGTTAGCTGGTTATTTTGCTCGTTAGTTGATGCAGTTTCTTCCTAGCTTTGAAGGTCTTTACAATTTGGCATGTTTTTGCAGTGGCTGTTACCAGTTGTTCCTTTCCATGTTTAGTGCTTCCTTCAGGAGCTCTTGTAGGTCAGGCCTAGTAGTGATAAAATCTCTCAGCATTTGTTTGTCTGTAAAGGATTTAATTTCTCCTTCACTTATGAAGCTTAGTTTGGCTGGATATGAAATTCTGGGTTGAAAATTCTTTTCTTTAAGAATGTTGAAAATTGGCCCCCACTCTCTTCTGGTTTGTAGAGTTTCTGCTGAGAGATCCGCTGTTAGTCTGATGGGCTTTCTTTTGTGGGTAACCCAACCTTTCTCTCTGGCTGCCCTTAATATTTTTTCCTTCATTTCAACATTGGTGAATCTGACAATTATGTGTCTTGGAGTTGCTCATCTCGAGGAGTATCTTTGCAGCATTCTCTGTATTTCCTGGATCTGAATGTTGGCCTACCTTGCTAGATTGGGGAAGTTCTCCTGGATAATATCCTGTAGAGTGTTTTCCAACTTGGTTCCATTCTCCCCGTCAGTTTCAGGTACACCAGTCAGACGTAGATTTGGTCTTTTCACATAGTCCCATATTTCTTGGATGCTTTCTTCATTTCTTTTTACTATTTTTTTCTGTAAACTTCTGTTCTCACTTCATTTCATTCATTTGATCTTCAATCACTGATACCCTTTCTTCCGTTTGATCAAATCAGCTAGTGAAGCTTGTGCATTCATCACGTCATTCTCATGCCATGGTTTTCAGCTCCATCAGGTCATTTAAGGACTTCTCTACACTGGTTATTCTAGTTAGCCATTCATCTAATCTTTTTTCAACGTTTTTAACTTCTTTGCATTGGGTTCGAACTTGCTCCTTTAGCTCAGAGAAGTTTGATCATCTGAAGCCTTCTTCTCTCAACTCGTCAAAGTCATTCTCCATCCAGCTTTGTTCCATTGCTGTTGAGGAGCTGCGTTCCTTTGGAGGGGGAGAGGTGCTCTGATTTTTAGAATTTTCAGATTTTCTGCCCTGTTTTTTCACCATCTTTGTGGTTTTATCTAGTTTTTGTCTTGATTATGGTGACCAACAGATGGATTTTTGGTGTGGATGTCCTTTCTTTTTGTTAGTTTTCCTTCTAACAGCGTAGACCATCAGCTGCAGGATTGTTTGAGTTTGCTGGAGGTCCACTCCAGACCCTGTTTGCCTTGGTATCAGCAACGAAAGCTGTGGAACAACGAATATTGCTGAACAGCAAATGTTGCTGCCTGATCATTCCTCTGGAAGCTTCATCTCAGAGGGGTACCCAGCTGTGTGAGGTGTCAGTCTGCCCCTACTGGGGGGTGTCTCTCAGTTAGGCTACTTGGAGGTCAGGGACCCACTTGAGGAGGCAGTCTGTCCGTTTTCAGATCTCAAACTGTGCTGGGAGAACCACTACTCTCTTCAGAGCTGTCAGACAGGGACATTTAAGTCTGCAGAGGTTTCTGCTGCCTTTTGTTTGGCTATGCCCTGCCCCCAGAGGTGGAGTCTACAGAGTCAGGCAGGCCTCCTTGAGCTGTGGTGGGCTCCACCCAGTTCAAGATTCCTGGCTGCTTTGTTTACCTACTCAAGCCTCAGCAATGTTGTGCACCTCTCCTCCAGCCTCGCTGTCACCTTGCAGTTTGATCTCAGACTGCTATGCTAGCAATGAGTGTGGCTCCATGGGTGTAGGACCCTCTGAGCCAGGTGCAGGATATAATCTCCTGGTGTGCCCTTTGCTAAGACCATTGGAAAAGTGCAGTATTATGGTGGGAGTGACCCGATTTTCAAGGTGCCTTCTGTCACCCCTTTCTTTGACTAGGAAAGGGAATTCCCTGACCCCTTGCACTTCCTGGGAGAGGCGATGCCTTGCCCTGCTTTGGCTCACTCTCATTGCACTGCACCCGCTGTCCTGCACCCACTGTCCAACACTCCCCAGTGAGATGCATCTGGTACCTCAGTTGGAAATGCAGAAGTCACCCATCTTCTGCGTCGCTCATGCTGGGAGCTGTGGACTGGAGCTGTTCCTATTTGGCCATCTTGGAACCCAAATCAACTTATTTAATAATAGATTGAAACTTGTTTGGAAAGTCTATCTTAATTATGTGGTGAGGGTAACAAAAATCATCATCATCAGCAACAAAAACAACAGCAGCAAAACCACCTCTGGAGAGCTTGTTTTTGAGACCTCTATAAGCCAAGATTCCTTGTACAAATCTTGATTATTAAAGCTCAAGATTCAGCATGGTCTGTGTATGTGATTAGGGCTCATAGGCATCTTGCATTATGAAATCAATCCTACATCCACAATGGTTGCCTACAATGTATTTATTTCACACCCTTAATGCTTGTCTGCATTCTTAGACTGTCACTGCCCTATACCTTTTGCCTTTCAATAGAAGCCTTGTGTATATACTCTGTGGAGACTGCTGAGTGCTTTCCAATATCTCAAGTGGGGAAAATAATAGATAGGAAATATCTTTTCCCATCCTTTTAGTTTCAATCTATTTGAATCTTAATTGTGTCCTTTGTATATAGCATACTGTTGATCCTTGATTTTTTGCATCCAGCCTGGCATGTTTGCCGTTTGATTGGAGTGTTTGTTCCATTCAAATTTAATGTTATTACTGAAATTGTTGTATTTATATACCTGATTTGCTACATGTTTTCTATATGCCTCGTTTTTTCTGTTCCTCTTTTACATACTTTTGTTATATATATATATATACTTTTCCAGTATATTATTTTAATTAAGATATATATACACATATATATACTTTTCCAGTATATTATTTTAATTAGTTTTGAGTTGTTAGGCTATATTTTGAGGTATTTTTAGTGACTGATTTATGGATTAAAACAGCCATCTTAACTCTTCAGAATCTATTAACTAATTTACAGTAAAATACAAAAAGTTTGCAGCAAAATAGCTGCATTCTCTAATCCTTTTCTGTGTTATTATAGTTATGTATACTATGTGTGTGTGGGTATATATATATATATATATATATAGAGAGAGAGAGAGAGAGAGAGAGAGAGATAATCCAACAATACAGTGCTATAGCTTTCACTTTATATAATGTATGTATGTGTTTTTATGTGTGCGTGTGTATGAAAGAAGACAAGAAAAAAGAGGAAAGTACATTTGTAGAGTCTTTTGCATTAACCTGCTTACCATTTCCAGTAGTCTTCATTCCATTTTTGGATTTCAGTTATGGTTGAGTGTCATTTTCTTGTTACAATATAGCTTTATTCCTTCTCCATTCCTTTGTGCTATTGCTGTCATATATATTACATTTATATATAATTCAAAACATACCATTTAATAATTGTTTTGGGTATTATTTTTAAAAGCAAGAGAAGAAATAATAATAAATTTGTAATTATTATGTCTTTTGTAATTACCTTCACCAGAGCTCCTTGATTTTTCATATGACTTTGAATTATTGTCTGGTGTCACTTTCTTTCACCAAGACAAACTCCCTGTAGTATTTCTTGTAAAGATGATCTCCTAGCAACACAATTCTCTTTCAGTTTTAGTTTATCTGCAAAGGTTTTTATTTTGTCTTAACATTTGAAAGATTCTGTGAATTATAAGAGTATTGGTTGGCTGTCTTTTATTATTTTAAAAATATCATCTCACTGTTTTCTGGCTTCCTTGTTTCTGATAACTCATCCATCACTGTTATTGTGGTTTCCTTCTAGTTGATGGGTAGGTTATTTTTCTTTGCTACTTTTGAATTTTTCATTTATTTAGGGTGGATATCTTTGCATTTGTCCTACTTAGAGTTTGTTAACTTCATCACATTTTCAGATATAATGTCCTCAAACTTTTTTTGATTCATCTTTTCTTACTCATCTCCCGTTCTGGAATTCTCCATATGCATATATTAGTATGCTTGATGGGTATCACAATGGTCCCTGAGACTGTTTATTTTTATTCTTTTGCTTTTCTCTCTGTTCATTAGATTAAATTATGCCAACTGATCTATCATTAAGCCTGCTGATTCTTTCCTCTTTATTCTTCCATTTAAAACATAATGTTGAGCTCCTCTAGTGAATTTTAATTTTAATTAATTTTCAACTTCAAAATTTCTATTTGCTTTTTCTTTCAAATAACTTTCATCTCTTCAATGATAGTCTCTATTTAATAAAATACTGTCATTCCATCTTTTGATTCTTAGAACATGGTTTTCTTTAGTTGTCTGAATATCCTTAAATATCCTCATTGTATTATTTGTCTTCTAAGTCCAAGATAAAAGAATGATTCTATTGCCTGATTTTGTTTTTGTTGTCATTGTTTTTTTTGTTAATTTCAACTTTTATTATATATTAAATGGTATACATCATGTAGATTTGTTACTTGAGTAAATTGTATGATGCTGTGGCTTGAGGTTCTAGTGATCCTATCTTCCAGGTCATAAACATAGTACCCAACATGTGGTTGTTCAGGTGGTTTCTTTTTTGCACGTTGATTTGTTAAGTTTTTTGTAGGTTCTGGATAGTAGGCCTTTGTTGGATGTATAGTTTGCAAATATTTTCTCCCATTCTGTTACTGTTTGTTGATTCTATTGGTAATTTATTTTATTGCACAGAAGCCCTTTACTTTAATTAGGACTCATTTGTCAATTTTTTTTTTTTTTTTTTTTTGCAATTGCTATTAGGAACTTGGCCATAAATTATTTGCCAAAACCCATGTCAAGAAAAGTATTTACTAGGTTTTCTTTCTTTTTAAAATTATTTTTATTTTTCTTTAAGTTCTGGGATGCATGTGATGAATGTGCAGGTTTGTTACATAGGTATACATTTGCTATGGTGGTTTGCTGCACCTATCAACCCATCATTTAGGTTTTAAGCCCCGCATACATTAGGTATTTGTCCTAATGCTCTTGCTCCCCTTTCCCCCAATGCCATAATAGGCCACGGTATGTGATGTTCCCATCCCTGTGTGTGTGTCTTCTTATTGTTCAACTCCCGCTTTTGAGTAAAAACATGCAGTGTTTGGTTTTCTGTTCCTGTGTTAGTTGGCTGAGGATTATGGTTTCCAGCTTCATCCAAGTCCCTGCAAAGGACATCATGAACTAATTCATTTTTATGGCTGCATAGTACTTTATGGTGTATATGTGCAACATTTTCTTTATCCAATCTATCATTGATGGGCATTTGGGTTGATTCCAAGTTTTTGCTAGTGTAAATAGTGCTGCAATAAACATATGTGTGGATCTGTCTTTATAGTAGAATGATTTGTAATCCTTTGGGTATATTCCCTGTACTGTGATTGCTAGGTCAAATGGTATTTCTTGTTCTAGATCCTTGAGGGATTGCCATACTGCCTTCCACAATGGTTGAAATAATTTACACTTCCACCATCAGTGTAAAAGCATTCCTATTTCTCCACATCCTGACCAGCAACTGTTGTTTCCAGACTTTTTAATGATCACCATTCTAACTGGGGTGAGATGGTATCTCATTGTGGTTTTGATTTGCATTTCTCTAATGACCAGTGATGATGAGCTTTTTTTCATGTTTGTTGGCCAGATAAATGTCTTTTTTTGAGAAGTGTCTGTTTAGCCAGTTTTCCCAGCACCATTTATTAAATAGGTAATTATTTCCTCATTGCTTGTTTTTGTCAGGTTTGTCGATGATCAGATGGTTATAGAAGTGTGTTCTTACTTCTAAGGCCTCTGTTCTGTTCTATTGGTCTATATATCTGTTTTGGTGCCAATACTATGGTGTTTTGGTTACTGTAGTCTTGTAATATAGTTTAAAGTCAGGTAGCATGATGCCTCCAGCTTTGGTCTTTTTTCTTAGGGTTTTCTTGGCTATATGGGCTCTTTTTTTGTTTCATATAAAATTTAAATTAGTTTTTTCTAGTTCTGTGAAGAGAGTCACTAATACCTTGATGGGAATAGAATTGAATCTATAAATTACTTTGGGTGGTATGGCCATTTTCATGATATTGATTCTTCCTATCCATCAGTATGGAATGTTTTTTCATTTGTTTGTGTCCTCTCTTATTTCCTTGAGCAGTGGTTTGTAGTTCTTCTTGAGGAGATCCTTCACGTCCCTTGTAAGTTGTATTCCTGGGTTTTTAAATTTTCTTTGTAGCAATTGTGAATAGGAGTTCAATCATGATTTGGCTCCCTGCTTGTCTATTATTGGTGTATAGGAATGCTTGTGATTTTTGCACACTGATTTTGTATCATGAAACTGCTGGAGTTGCTTATCACCTTAAAGAGTTTTGGGGCTGAGATGATGGGGTTTTCTAAATATACAATCATGTCATCTGCATACAGAGACAATTTGACTTCCTCTCTTCCTATTTGAATAGACTTTATTTCTTTCTCCTGCCAGATTGGCCTGGCCAGAACTTCCAATACTATGTTGAATAGGAATGGTGAGAGACGGCATCCTTGTCTTGTGTTGGTTGTTAGAGGGAATGCTTCCAGATTTTACCTATTTGGTATGATATTGGCTATGGGTTTATCATAAATAGTGCTTATTATTTTGAAATATGTTCCATCAATACCTAGTTTATTTAGAGTTTTTAGAATGAAGCGGTGTTTAATTTTATTGAAGGCTTTTTCTGCATCTATTGAGATAATCATGTGTTTTTTATCACTGGTTCTCTTTATGTGATGGGTTATGTTTATTGATTTGCGTATGTTGAACAAGCCTTGCATCCCAGTTATGAAACCGACTTCATCGTGATGGATAAGCTTTTTGATGTGCAGGTGGATTCGGTTTGCCAGTATTTTATTGAGAAATTTTGCATCCATTTTCATCAGGAATACTGGCCTGAAATTTTCTGTTTTTGTTGTGTCTCTGCCGGGTTATGGAATCAGGACAATGCTGGCCTCATAAAATGAGTTAGGGAGGAATCCCTCTTCTTCTATTCTTCGGAATCGTTTCAGAAGGAATAGTACCAACTGCTCTTTGTACCTCTGGTAGAATCCTCATGTGAATGCGTCTGGTCCTGGGTTTTTTTTTTTTTTTTTTTTTTGTAGGCTATTAATTACTGCCTTAATTTCAGAACTTGTTATTGGTCTATTCAGGGATGTGACTTCCTCCTGGTTTAGCCTTGGGAGGGTGTATGTGTCCAGGAATTTATCCACTTCTTCTAGATTTTCTAGTTTATTTGCATAGAGGTGTTTATAGTATTCTCTGATGGTAGTTTGTATTTCTGTGGGATCAGTGGTGACATTCCCTTTATCATTTTTTATTGTGTCTATTTGATTCTTCTCTCTTTTCTTCTTTATTAGTCTGGCAAGTGGTCTATGTATTTTGTTAATCTTTTTGAAAAACCAGCTCCTGTATTCATTGATTTTTTTTAAAGTTTTTTTGAGTCTTTATCTCCTTCAATTCTGCTCTGATCTTATTTTGTGTCTTCTGATTGCCTTTGAATTTGTCTGCTCTTTCTTCTGTAGTTCTTATAATTGTGATGTTAGGGTGTTGATTTTAGATCTTTCTCCCTTTCTGATTTTGGCATTTAGTGCTATAAATGTCCCTCTTAACACTGCTTCAGCTGTGTCCCAGAGATTCTGGTATGTTCTGTCTTGGTTCTCATTGGTTTCAAAGAACTTATTTATTTCTGCCTTAATTTTGTTATTTACCCAGTAGTCATTCAGGAGCAGGTTGTTGAGTTTCCATGTAGTTGTGTGGTTTTGAGTGAGTTTCTTAATCCTGAGTTCTAATTTGATTGCACTGTGTTCTGTGAGACTTTGTTATGATTTCCAATCTTTTGCATTTGCTGAGGAGTGTTTTACTTCCAACTATGTGGTCAATTTTAGAATAAGTGCTACGTGGTGTTAGGAAGAATGTATTCTGCTGATTTGGGGTAGAGAGTTCTGCAGATGTCTATTAGGTTTGCTTGGTTCAGAGCTGAGTTCAAGTCCTGAATATCCTTGCTACATTTCTGCCTCATTGATCCATCTAATATTGACAGTTGGGTGTTAAAGTCTCCCACTATTATTGTGTGGGAGTCTAAGTCTTTTTGTAGAACTCTGAGAACTTTTTTTTTTTTATTAATCTGGTGCTCCTGTATTGGGTGCATGTATGTTTAGGATAGTTAGCTCTTCTTTTTACATTGATCATTTTACCATTATGTAATGCCCTTCTTGTCTTTTTTGGTCATTGTTGGTTTGCAGTCTGTTTTATCAGAGACTAGGATTGAAACCCCTGTTTTCCTTTGCTTTCCATTTATTTGGTAAATATTCCCCCATCCCTTTATTTTGAGCCTATGTGCGTCTTTGCACGTGAGGTGGGTCCCCTGAATACAGCACAATGATGGGTCTCGACTCTTTATCCAATTTACCAGTTTGTGTCTTTTAATTGGGGCATTTAGCCCATTTACATTTAAGGTTAATATTGTTGTGTGTGAAATTGATTCTGTCATCATGATGCTAGCTAGTTATTTTGCACGTTAGTTGATGCTGTTTCTTCATAGTGTCATTGGTCTTTATATTTTGGTGTATTTTTGCAGTGGCTAGTACCAGTTTTTCCTTTCCATATTTAGTGATTTCTTCAGGATCTCTTGTAAGGCAGGCCTGGTAGTGACAAAATCCCTGAGCATTTGCTTGTCTGGAAAGGATTTTATTTCTCATTTGCTTATGAAGCTTAGTTTGGCTGGATAAGAAATTCTGAGTTAAAAATTCTTTTCTTTGAGAATACTGGCCCCCACTCTCTTCTGGCTTGTAGGGTTTCTGCAGAGACATCTGCTATTAGTCTGGCGGGTTTCCCTTTGTAGGTAACCTGACCTTTCTCTCTAGCTGCCCTTAACATTTATTCCAGCCTTTCAACTTTGGAGAATCTGAGGATTACCTGTCTTGGGGTTGCTCTTCTTGAGGAGTACCTTAGTGGTATTCTCAGTATTTCCTGAATTTGAATGTTCGTGTGTCTTGCTAGGTTGGGGAAGTTTTCCTGGGTAATATCCTGAAGTGTGTTGTCCAACTTGGTTCCATTCTCCTCATCACTTTCAGGGACCCCAATCCATCGTAGGTTCATTCTTTTCATATAGTCCCATATTTCTTGAAGGCTTTTTTCATTCCTTTTCATTCTTTTTTCTCTAATCTTGTCTTCACGCCTTCCTTGCATTGGTTTAGAACACACTTCTTTAGCTTAGATGAGTTTTTTATCACCCACGTTCTGAAGCCTACTTCTGTCAATTCGTCAAACTCATTCTGCATGCATTTTTGTGCCCTTGCTGGAGAGGATTTGTGATCACTTGGGGGAGAAGAGGCATTCTTGTTTTTGGAAGTTTCAGCATTGTTGTGCTGTTTTTTCTTCATTGTAGTGGATTTATCTACCTTTGATCTTTGAGGCTGGTGACCTTTGGATGGGGTTTTGTAAGGGTTTCTTTATGCTGATGTTGATGTTGTTGCTTTCTTTTTGTTAGTTTGTCTTTTAGCAGACAGGCCCCTCTTCCGCAGGTCTGCTGAAGTTTGTTGGAGGTCCACTCCAGAACCTATTTGTCTGGGTATCACCAGCAGAGGCTGCAGAACAGCAAAGATTGCTGCCTGCTTCTTCCTCTGGAAGCTTAATCCCAGAGGGGCACTGGCTTTATGCCAGCCAGAGCTCTCCTGTATGAGGTGTCTGTCAAACCCTGTTGAGAGGTCTATCCCAGTCACGAGGCACAAGGTTTAGAGACCCACTTGAGGAGGCAGTCTCTTCCTTAGCAGAGCTTGACCACTGTGCTGGGAGAAACCCCCTTGTCAGGATCTGCTGCTCTCCTCAGAGCCATCAGGCAGAAATGTTTAAGTTCACTGAAGCTGTGCCCACAGCCACCCTTTCCCCCCAGGTGCTCTGCCCCAGGGAGATGAAAGATTTATCTATAAGCCCCTGCCTGGGGCTGCTGCCTTTCTTTCAGAGATGCCCTGCCCAGTGAGGAGGAATCTAGAGAGGCAGTCTGGCCATAGCTGCTTTTGCCATGCTGTGTTGATTTCCCTTCAGCCTGTACTTTCAGGCCTTGTTAGCACTCTCAGGGGAAAACTGCCTAGTCAAGCCTCAGTAATGGCGGATGCCCCTCCCCCCACCAAGCTAGATCGTCCCAGGTTGACTTCAGAGTACTGTGCTGGCTGTGAGAATTTCAAGCCAGTGGTTCTTAGCTTGCTTGTCTCCATGGGAGTGGGAACCACTGAGCGAGACCACTTGGCTCTCTGGCTTCAGCCCCCTTTCCCTCTTTCCAGGGGAGTGAACGGTTCTGTCTTGGTGGAGTTCCAGGCGCCACTGGGAAACAACAAGAAAACAACTCTTGCAGCTAGCACAGTGACTGCCCAAACAGCCTCCCAGTTTTGTGTTTCAAACCCAGGTCCCTGGTGGTGTAGGCACAAGAGGGAATCTCCTGTTCTTTGGATTGCAAACCTGTGGGGAAAGCATAGTAAATGGGCTGGATAGCCCAGTCTCTCAGGGCTTCCCTTGGCTAGGGAACGGAGGCCCCCACTCCTTGCACTTCCCGGGTAAGGCAATGCCCAACACTGCTTCTGCTCGCCCTCCATGGTCTGCACCCACTGCCTAACCAGTCCCAGCGAGATGATTAGGTTACCTCAATTGCAAATGCAGAAGTCACTCCCCTTCTGCGTTGATCTCACTGGGAACTGCAGACTGAAGCTGCTATTCCTATTCAGCCATCTCGACATCCATCTTCCTAGGTTTTCTTCTAGGATTTTTTTGTTTTTTTTTGGATGGAGTCTTGCTCTGTCACCCAGGTTGGAGTGCAGTGGTGCCATCTCGATTCACTGCAACCTCTGCCTCCTGGGTTCAAGCGATTCTCCTGCCTCAGCCTCCTGAGTAGCTGGGATTACAGGGCACCTGCCCAGCTATCTGTCAATATTTTTATAGTTTGAGGTCTTACATTTAAATATTTAATCTACTTTAACTTAGTTTTCATATATGGTGACAGGTAGAGATCCAGTTTCATTCTTCTGCATACGGCAGGCAAACTATTATAGTACCATTTATTGAATAGAGAGTCCTTTCCTCCATTGCTTACTTTTGCTCATTTTGTTGAAGATCAGATGGTTGTAGGTGGCAGGTTTATTTCTGGGTTCTCAATTCTGTTTCCTTGGTCTATGTGTCTTTTTTTGCAGCAGTACCATGCTGTTTTGATTATTGTAGCCTTATAGTACATTTGGAAGTTGGGCAATGTGATGCTTCTGTATTGGCTCTTTTTGATTAATATTGCTTTAGCTGTTGAGGTTCTTTTTTTGTTCCAAATGAATTTAAAAATAATTTTGTCAAATTTTGTAAAAATGGCATTAATATTTTGATAGGAGTAGTGTTGAATCTGTAAATTGCTTTGGGCAGTATGGCCATTTTAACTATGTGGATTCTTCCAATATATGAGCATGAAATATTTTCCCATTTATTTGTGTTACCTCTGATTTCTTTTAGCTGTGTTTTGCAGTTCTGCTTGTAAAGATCTTTACCTCATTGGTTAGATGGGTTCCTAGGTATTCCTTTTTTTTTTTTTTGTGGCTATTGTAAATGGAATTCTGTTCTTCATTTGATTCTCACCTAGAACAATATTGGTGTATAAAAATGTTAGGATTTTTGTACATTGGTTTAGTATATTAAAATTTTAGTGAATTCATTTATCAGTTCCAGGAGACTTAGCAGAGTCTTTAGGGTTTTCTAGGTATTGAATCATATCAGTAAAGAGAGAGAGTTTGATTTTCTCTCTTTTTATTTGGGTGCCTTTTATTTATTCCCTTTCTTCATTGCGCTGGCTAGCACATCCAGTACTATATTGAATAGGAGTGGTGAAAGTGGGCATACTTGTCTTGTTCCAGTTCCCAAGGGGAACCGTTCCAGTTTTTGCTCATTCAGTATTACGTTGGCTGTGGGTTTGTCGTAGATGGCTTTTACTATTTTTAGGTATGCTACTTTAATGCTTAATCTGTTGAGGGCTTTTGTCATTAAGGGATGTTGGATTATATTATAGGCTTTTTGTGTATCTATTGAGATGATCATGTAGTTTTTGCTTTTGATTCTGTTTATTTGGTGAATCACATTTATTGATTTCTGTATGGTGAATCAACCTTGCATCCCAGAAATAAAACTTGCATGACTGTGTTGGATTAACTTTTTGATATGCTGGTGGATTTAGTTTGCTATTATCTTGTTGAGAATTTTTGCATCCATGTTCATCAGGGATATTGACTTGAATTTTTTTTTATTTTACTTTACATTTTGTCTCTGCCAGATTTTTGTATCAGAATGCTGCTGGATTCATAGAATGCATTAGGGAGAAGACTCTTCTTCGATTTTCTTGGGAAAGTGTGAGTAGGATTGGTATCAGTTTTTCCTTATATGTCTGGTAGAATTTGGCCGTGAATCCATGGTCCTGGGCTCTTTTTTGTTGGTAAGTTTTTTTATTAGTGATTCAATTTCTGAACTTGTTATTTATCTGTTCATGTCTTCACTTTTATCCCTGATTCTATCTTGGAAGGTTGTGTGTTTCTAGGAATTTATCCATTGTATCTATATTTTCTAACTTGTGTTCACAAAGGTGTTCTGTATAGTCTCTAAGGAACTATTCTATTTCTGTGGAATCAGTTGTAATATCATCTTTGTCATTTCTCATTGTGCTCATTTGGATCTTTATTTTTTATTATTCCTTGTTAGTTTAGCTAATGGTATATCAATCTTGTTTATTCTTTTGAAGGAGCAACACTTGTTTTCATTGATGTTTTGTATGGTCTTTTAGGTCTGAATTCAGCTCAGTTCTCTGATTTAGTTGTTTATTTTCTTCTACTTTATTCGGAGTTGGATGTTCTTTTTTCTTGTTTATCTGACTGTCTTTAGGTTGTTAATTTGACATCTTTCTAACCTCTTGATGAAGGTGTTTAGCACTACAAATTTGTCTCTTACCACTGCTTTAACTGCATCTCAAAGATTTGGTAAGCTGTGTCTCCTATTTCATTAATTTCAAAGTAATTTTTAATTACTGTCTTAATTTTGTTTTTTGCCCAAGAGTTATTCAGGAGAAAGTTGTTTAATTTCCATTTTCTGGTAGTTTTGAGAGATCTTGGTATTGATTTCTGCTTTTATTGCACTATGGTCTGAGAGTTTGCTTGGTATGGTTTTGATTTCTTTGAATTTATTGTGATTTGCTTTATGTCCAAGGATGTGGTGGACCTTAGAATATGTTCTGTGTATGGATGAGAAAAATATATATTCTGTGGTTGTTGTGTGGAGTACTCTGTAGAGGTTGATTGGGTCCAATTGATCAAATGTCAAGTTTCAATCCAGAATTTCTTTGTTAGTTTTCTGCCTCAGTGATCTGTCTAACTCAGTGAGTGGGATGTTAAAATCCCCCGTTATTATTTGTGGCTGTCTAAATCTTTCCATTGGTTAGGAAGAACTTCCTTTATGAATCCAGGTACTTCTACATTGGGTGTGTATATGTTTAGGATAGTTAAGACTTCCTGTTGAATTGAACTCTTTATTATTAAGTATTACCCTTCTTTGTCTTTTATGACCGTTGCTGGTTTAAAATTTGTTAATCTAATGTAAGAATAATGACTCCTGATCTTTTGTTGTTGTTGTTTTCTATTTGCTTGATAGATCTTTCTCCATCCTTTTACTTTGAACTTGTGGGTGTCATTGCAGTTGAAATGGGTCTCTTGAAGACAGTAGATTGTTGGGTTTTATCTTTTTATCTAGCTTGCCACTCTATGCATTTTAAGTGGTACTTTTAGACCCTTTACATTCAGGGTTAGTATTAATTTATGAGATTTTGATCCTGTCATCATGTTGTTGACTGTTTTTTAGACTTGACTGCATAGCTGCTTTATATTGTTTATGGGCCATGTGCTTGAGTGGATTTTTGAGGTAGCAAGTTTTGGTCCTTTATTTTCATATTTAGCACTCTCTTAAAGAACTCGGGTAAGGGTGGTCTGGTAATAATAAATTCCTTTAGTACTTGCTTGTCTGGGAAGAATTTTATTTCTCGTTTGCTTATGAAGTTTAGTTTCATGGAATATGATATTCTTGGTTGAAAATTCTTCACTGTAACAATATTGAAAATAGGCCCCCAATCTCTTCTCACTTGTAGGTTTCTTACAGAGAGTTCTTACAGAGAGTCTGGTGGGGTTTACTTTGTAGGTAACCTGATTTTTCTCTTTAGCTACTTTTAAGAGTTTTTCTTTTGAGTTGATCTTGGTGAATCTGATGACTATGTACCTTCCGGTTTGTCATCTTGTGTAGTATCTACAGGGGGTTTGTGTATTTATTGAATTTGTATGTCCTCCTCCCTGGGACGTTTGGGGAAATTTTCATGGACTATATCCTCAAATATGTTTTACAAGTTACTCTCTCTCCTTTTCTTTTGAAAACACCATGAGTCATACATTTGGTATCTTTACATAATCCCATATTTCTCAAAGGATTTTTTCATTTTCAAAAATTCTTTTTTCTTTATTTTTGTCTGACTGAGTTGATTGTATAAGCTGGTCTTCCAGCTCAGAGATTCTTTCTTCATCTTAATTTTTCTGCTGCTGATGCTTCAGATTCTATTGTGGAGATCTGGAAGTAAATTTTTCAGTTCCAAAAATTTAATTTGGTTCTTTCTTAAAATGGATATTTTATCTTTCAGCTACTGAATTGTTTTATTGGATTCCTTGGATTATGTTTCAACTTTCTCCTCATTCTCACTGAGCTTCCTTGTCATCCAGCTTCTGAATTCTATGTCCACAGTCAGCTCACTCTGGTTAAGAACCATTTCTGGGAGGCTAATGTGTACGTTTATAGGTAAGGGCAAACACTGGCTTTTTGAGTTGCCAGTTCTTGGATTCATTCTTTCTCATGTGTAAGGGTTGATGTTTCTTCACCCGTGAGATAAGTTGAGGATAGTCAGCTGGCTTTGTTTCTGGGTATATTTCAAAGGGTCATGACTTTGTACAGAATGTTTATTTCTGGCTGGATCTTTTCCTTAGTTTTCACAGGTGATACATACTTGCAAAATATTTTAGGTTTGCATTTTGACCTGAGATCCAGCAGGTGGCGCTTAAGAGTGCTAGCAGGCAGATAGGCTCTTCCTACTCTCTTTCAGGGCTCTTCGGTGTTCTGGCCAAGATGACAGTAGTCCTCTGTGGTGTGGGGGAGAGAGGTGACTCGCTCACCTAGATGGCTCCTGGGCTTTGGAGGAGCCCCCTTCGATCACTGGTTCCATGCCCTCACTTCTTTTGTTAGGTGTTCTGGTCCATGGGCTCCCTCAGGCAGGGACCACATTTAGTAGACAGGTCATATCCTTGCCAGGCTGGCCCTGTGGAACAAGGCACACCCCAATCCTCTGCCAGCCCATGAACCTGGGTATCTCCACTTCTCTCAGTGATCTGAGAACGAGGGCTCACCCTTGCTTGGCCACCACCAAGTCCTGATCATCTAAGAGCTGTGGGATGGGGTGGGGTCACTTAATCCCCTGTCTAGGTGCTTTCCGGGGGTTCAAGAAGTTGTGGCCACACACAGAGTTCAGGCAGATGTGGGAATGCTGGGCTGGAAGCTCTATCAGACATGGATTTCCTGGCTATGAGTGGCGGGTTTGGGTGCAGTTGCCTGACCTGCTGTTGGGTTATATTCTAGAGGCTGTTCCTGCCATCAGAGTTCAGACAGAAGTGGGACTGCTGGGCTGGAAGTTCTAGCTGCCTGGCTATGAGTGGTGGTGGGGGTTGTGGAATCACCTATCCTGCAGTTTTTCTGTTTCCCTGGATAACAGGAGGCTGTGTCCACTGGCAGAGTTCAGAAAGAAGAGGAACTGCTGGGCTGGAAGCTCTAGCAGGCATGGCCTGCTGGCTACAAGTGGCAGAGGTGGGCATTGTTGTTTGTGGGTCTCATTTTCCTTTTTTACTTGTATGCCTCATAAATTTTTGTTGAAAACTAGATGCTTTAGTTAATATATTTTATCAACTCTTGATTCTGATTTTTCTCTACCTCTGGGGTACGTTGCTGTGAATTTTGTTAGTATCACTGAAATTTTAGCTTTCAGGGAATTTTTTGTATCTAAGATCTTCCATATTCTGCTTCATGTAAAATCAGCCTCTCTTGGGCAGGGTTGAAGAGCTGCAAGTTCTTATGACCAGCCATGACCTTGTTTAGAACTTCCACAATAAGGTGCCACAGGTAATGGAAGCTGTTGGATGTAGCAGTATTCTCTACTTGCCCACAACAGATGCTGTGTAACATGGGTCTGGAAAGAATGGGAGTTGTCAGTCTTTAAGGTCTGCCTTGCCCTACCCAGTGTGAAAGTTTTGTACCTCAAAGCTGTATCTGAGAAGCGGAGGGGAAAACAGATCCCAGCTTAAATATCATAGACTCCAACTTTTCTTATTAGGAATCACTAATTTTTCTTGAATAAATGCTCCTGAATTTGCTTTATGCCATTTGATCATTTTTCACACTTGAAATGGTTGTTTCCAGTAATTTTTCCAGTTTTATTGCTGGTTTGCTTGAGAGAGAATTTGCTGAGCTTCTTACTCTGTTATTCTGGGATGTTCATTCTTATTTATATTTTTAATTATGTATTTGTTAGTTTAACAAAAAATAATTATGCATTTTGTGCAACAATGCAATGTCCTAGTCAATGCGGATTACATAGGTGAACAAGATAGAAACAGACCACAGCCTTTGAAGAGCTAACAATATAGCAGATTATTTTGTTAAGTAGAATCTTTGCTTAGACTACATGAACATTTCATTTTGTGTGTCTAGCTTATCAATTGGGGAGGTGACCAAGCCCACTCTGTTTAAATATCACAAAGTCAAGTTTGTTCTCAGAGAAAAAGAATGCTGTGATCAATTGTTAATGACTGGCATGGGTACAAGAGGGACTCTTGAGAGTGGCATGTTATGATTTTGCCAAACCTGACATATAAATCTTGAGTTTCACTCTAATGCTGGATGCTGAAGAGGTCACAAAAGATCTGCTTAGCATTCCTGGCACCAATATCAATGGGTTTCTCAGATGAGATCTTTAAAATGCTGTATGGCCAATGCTGTTCATCTCAGGATATAAATGGTCCAAGAGATCTTTGAGTACAGACACCTAAAGTGGGGAGAGGGGAGAAAGCCAGTGAAAGGCCACTTTTGTAAGCTGTTTCCTTCCATCTGTCCTGGTAATCACCTCTCCCAATTATTATGACATATAGGTGTTATGTTGATAATCGTGGTAGGACTAAAGTGGAAGAAAACTGTAAATAACTTCTTTGAGATACAATGATATGAAACATTGTTGATTGCATGTTATCAGGAAATAGCATAGGCTAATCAAATATTCAAAGAATCTGCAGGCTAGATTATTCTCTTTCATTACTGTGTTATTCCAGTGACATTATGCAAAGAAAGCAGGATGGGGCAGGGTGCCAAGACAAATAAATTTTTTTTGCAGTTTTTAGCATGGCTGTGAATGTTCTCCATGACATGCTTACCTTTTCAAACTCATGCTCCTCCTCTCACTCCTCTATTAAAAACTTACTCTCTCCAGTTAGTGTAGTGTTTATACCCTCTGTCCACAGTGTTCCTGTGTGTTTTTCTGTTCTATTGCTCATGGGGTTCGTACTGCGTGGACCATTGTAATACTTACTCAACATCCTTCCTCTGATTAATTTCTAGTTCTCCTTCAGGACCCAGATCAGGGGTCACCTATTCCAGAAAGCCTTCCTTTGTTTTCTTCTACTGAAATTCTCTGTTAACATTTGTTTGTCTCTTGTACTAAGCTAGGAGCTCCCTGAGAGCATGGAATGTATCTGATTCATCTAACACCAGTGCATACAGTATAGTTCACAATACATGCTTAATAAATTTATTCTCATTGTAGAGTGTCAATGGAGCAAAGTAGGAGAAGGTACTTTGCTTCACTGAGCACTAAGTGAGGCAGAAGAACAAGGGAAGAGAGTTAATTAGAAGCAATAGGATTTGGAGTCAGACAGACCTGGGTTTGAATCCTTATCACTTCACTTCATAGCTGAGAGACCCTGTTCAGCCTCCTGTTTCCTCTTCTGTGTAATAAATAAGATCACTTCCTCTGAAATCATAGGGCCTGGGTTAAAGTCCCAGTTCGTATATTATCTTAGCTATGTGACTTTGGAAATGTTTCCTAAAGATTTTTGTGTCTAAATTCCTTCATCTGTAAAATGAGGACACTAATAATTTCTCCTTTTTATAGGGCTGCTGTAAGATAAAATGAGATGAAACATGTAAAACTCAGAACAATTCTAGGAATAGATAAAACAAGGAAAACACATATAACTAATACTACGAAGTAAAGCAGAGATATTGATATTACCTACATTAATATCAATATAAACATATACATGTCTCCAATAAATGGTATCATTATCACTATTATTAATAATTTTAAAGCACTCTACACATTATTACATTATATCCTTCCAACCATCCTTCAAAGTCAATCTAGCATCCTCATCTTAGCTGTAAGAAAGCCAAGGCTCAAAAATTAAATATCTGATTTAGTGTACCCATCTTGTAAGTAGGAGACAAACATAAAAAGCTTATACAAGCTTGAGAAACTGAGAGGGGTATTTCTCAGTAGGAAAAAAAAGAACCAGGAATAAAACATTAACCTATTTGGCATCCAACAATTCTACATCTTTGACAAAAGGTCTCACAAACCTCTTATATTTTCAGCTTTAGTAAAGACAATAAAAACAAAACATGAATGAGCATTATTAACCCATACATGTAGTGAAAATAACATTGCATTTAAAGTCAGATAGAATACAACTGAATTTCAGTCCTGACCCTGACCCTTAAATCACTTTATACATCATTCAGTTTCCTCAGGTTTTACACAAAGATAACTTCAGTTGCTGTGAGGGATTTGGGGGAAACATAAATGAGATAATGTATAGAATTTCTGGCTTCTAGTATCTCGTATATATTAGATACTTGCTAAATTGCAGCTATCATCTATCATGGGTCTTGTATCCATATTACCTAGAATATCATCTGGCTTACAAGGAACACTCTTTAAATGTGTTCAAGGCTAAACTAGAGGGAAAAGTTACAAACCATAGGAAGCCTCAAGCTGAGGAAAATCCTCCCCAAAAGGTATAAACAGTATATTTCTCCTTGGGTTCTAGCCTATTGACTAAAGTATTTTACCTGTCTTCAGAAACTGAGTAACTAGGTGATAGAAACTTAAACGCAGCAATTTAGGCAGCATGTTTTTTCAAAGACTTAAGAAATTAAGGCCAGGCATGGTGGCTCATGTATGCAATCCCAGCACTCTGGGAGGCCAAGGCGGACAGATAATCTGAGGTCAGGAGTTCAAGACCAGCCTGGCCAACATGGTGAAACCTGTCTCTACTAAAAATACAAAACTTAGCTGGGTGTGGTGGCACACTCCTGTAATCCCAGCTACTTGGGGGTCTGAGGTAGGAGAATCGCTTGAACCTAGGAGGTGGAGGTTGCAGTGAGCCGAGCTTGTGCCATTGCATTCCAGCCTGGGCAACAAGAGCAAAACTCCAAGAAGGAAGGAAGGAAGCAAGGAAGGAAGGAAGGAAGGACAGGAAGGAAGAAATTAAGAGTGAGTGATCAAAGCCAGGGAGAGAGTAAGGGTAAGGAAATTAAGGATAGGGACTGTTTAATATCCTCTCCCTCATCCTCCACAACCCTTATGTTAATTAATTTACACGTATTATTTCATTTAATCTTAACTGCAACACTGCAAGGCATAGATTACCCTGACTTCCTAGATAGGAAATAAGTTGAGAAAGATTCAATGTCTTCCTCCAGATGCACAAGTAGAAAATTGCAGAGCAAAGGATTCCAAATTCTAACTTTAAGTGGACCACAGGTTTATTGGGTGAGAACGTGTATTTGATGAAGAGTTCTCTATCTTCATCTCAAAGAATAGTGTGGTTCCCTGGGACAAGACTCTGGAGAAACCATAGAAACTGACCTAGTACATGTCCAGGGGCCTTTAGACTTCACATAATCATGATCCATCCATGGCTTAAAAACCAGGTGAAGAAAATTAGTTTGGTGAATAGAATGAATTGAATTCAAAGGGGATGATAGCTAAGTCAAGTAAATGATCCCTTGGAGAATTGTCTTCTGTACAAGAATCTTCTGGGAAGCCACAGATCCTGATAAAAGCTTAACTTGGTTTAATTCAGAGCAGCCAGGGGAGACTTTGGATCTAGTGTGATCACACTGAGTGATAGAAGACAAGTGGCTGAACCTCCCTGAGGCACAGTTCTGTAAAATGTGGATACTCATATGCACTTGTAGGATTATTGTGGAGAAACCAGATATTGGCAAAGTATCTTCAACATATGACATTAGCAACTGTTTTCTGGAGTTTTCAATCACACAGCACTTTTATACCTGCATGTTTAAAACTTGTCCAACTGCAAAAGAAAATTATGCTTTCCTTGGAAACATACATCTCTATTTCTTTAAGATTACAGAATGTAAGGAATACAATTAGGTACCTGTGTAAGCAAAGTTGAAAGGCCGTGTTAGAGGGACATGATGCTTAGGTGCCACTGTGGGATGTGAGGGATATAAGAACACACCATCATCACCTAGCATATCCACCAGCTCTTTACGCAGGCTTTCTTCCACTGCCTTAAACTTTTGGTATTTCTCATTGCTATATCTGAGCTTTTCTTCCAACAAAGCCAGTCCTACAGAATGATATCATATATCAAGTTAAGGTAATAAACTTCATTTTAATTCCTAGTGTTCTTTATCTTTTCTTATTCAAGTAATACATGTTCATTATAGAACACTGAGAAAGTAAGTGATGGAAAAGGAAACTTTATAATCTTACTTTTAACTCCTTCTAGTTTGTTTTAGTAATGCTATATATAACATTTCTAGCCTCTGCTACTGCATAGTTCATCATAAGGATTTTTCACATAATTGAAAACCCATTATAGCTGAGCATGGTGGCTCATGTCTGTAATCCCAGCACTTCTCAAGGCCAAGGCTGGCAGATTACTTGAGCCCAGGGGTTCAAGACCAGCTTGGGCAATATGATGAAACTCCATCTCTTAGCCAGGTGTGGTGGTGAGCCCTGTAGTCCCAGCAACTTAGGAGTTGAGGCAGGAGGATTGCTTTAGCCCAGGAGGTCAATGCTGCAGTGAGTCATGATTGCATCACTGCACTCCAGCCTGGACATCAAAGCAAGTCCTTCAGAAAAGGGGAAACAGAGAATAAACGTTTGGAAAATTTGCAGCCTGATGATGGATAGAAAAGAAAAACCCATTTTCTAAGGAGAAATTCAAGCCGGCTGCAGAAATTTACATAAATAAGGAGGATCCAAATGTTAATCTCCAAGACAATGGAGAAAATGTCTCCAGGGCATTTCAGAGTCCTTTGTGGCAGCCCTTCCATCACAGGTTCAGAGGCCTAAGAGGAAAAAATGGTTTCATGGACCAGGCCCAGGACCCTCTTGCTGTGTGAGCCCAGGGACTTGGTGCCCTGCATTCCAGCCCCTCTAGCCATGGCTAGAATCATGGCTAAAAGGGGCCAAGATTGAGCTCAGGTAATTGCTTCAGAGGATGGAAGCCCCAAACCTTGGTGGCTTCCATGTGGTGTTGGGCCTGTGGGTGAACAAAAATCAAGAATTGATGTTTGGAAACCTCTGCCCAGATTTTAGAGGATGTATGAAAATGCCTGACTGCCCAGACAGAGGTGTGCTGAGGGACAAGGCCCTCACAGAAAACCTCTGCTAGGGCAGTGTGGAAGGGAAATGTGGGGTTGAAGCTCCCACACAGAGTCCCCACTGGAGCACTGCCTAGTGGAGCTGTGAGAAGAGGGCCACTGTCCTCCAGACCCCAGAATGGTAGATCCACTGATAGCTTGCACAGTACACCCAGAAAATCCACAGACACTCAATGCCAACACATGAAAGCAACTTGGAGGGAGGCTATACCCTGGAAAGCCATAGGGGTGGAGCTGCCCAAGACCATGAGAACCCACCTCTTGCATCAGCGTGACCTGGATGTGAGACATGGAGTCAAAGGAGATCATTTTGGAGCGTTAAGATTTCAGTACCCCACTGGATTTTGGACTTGCATGGGGCCTTTAGTCCAAAATTTATATTTAGATATTAAGAAATATTACAGGACATCAAACTGGTCTAGGTAGAATATGATTTACATACCAATGGAAGGGATGGTGTACACTGACAGACCCAGGCACCATTTGATCAACTCCCACAGAGGACTGACATGTTTCCCATGGTCACCAAGCAAATCTACAAATTTCACAGGTTCCTGAGATTGAAGGAAAGAAATAAAATACAAGAGTATTTTCTCAAAATAGTAAAGACCAAAACACCTATACAAGACTTATATATGAATAATCATTCATAACAGTAAAATACCAGTCAATTGATGAATACATAAATAAAATTTATTGATAAAATATTACTCAGTCACACAAAGTAAGTGCTGATATATGATACAATATAGATAAAACTTGAAATATTGTGCCTAGTGAAAGAAGCCAGTAACAAGACATCACATACGTATGAGCCTATTCACATGAAATATCCAGAATAATCAAATCTATAGAGACAGAAAGTAGATTCTTGGTTACTTAAGGCTATGGAGGTGCGAGTGGGTTGTAGAGTGACTGATAATGAGTACGAGGTCTCTTTTAGGAATGACGAAAATATTCTAAAATTGTGATGATTGTTGCACAACTCTAAATGTACTAAAATCCATTACATTGTATACATTAAATAGGCACATTGCATGGTATATGAATTATACCTCAACAAACCTGTTATAGGGAAGTGTAGGCAGAGCAGGATGGCTGAATAGAATGCTTCAGCAGTCAGCCTCCTTGCAAGAACACCAAATTAAACAACTATGCATGCAAGAAAACACATTCATAAGAACCAATAAAATGAGCAATCACAATAACTGGTTTTAACAAAATATCAATAAAAGAGGCACTGAAGAGAGTAGGAAAGATGGTCTTGCATTGCCTACACAAACCCTCCCTCATTGTCCATCAGCACCTCATTGAAAGACAATTTGTTTGCTTACAGGATGGTGAGTAAAGTGAATGGGCTACTTTGCATTGCAACCCAGTCCTGCCCTGTCCCAGTGGTATGCAACATAGGGAAAAATTATGCTAGCACCAAAGCAGGGAACATTTAGAGCAGTTCTGAATGAGGGAAATTCTCAGCTCCAGTGGGAGGAACTCCAGTCCTGGCTGGCTCCACCACTAGCTGACTAACATGGCCCGAGGCCTGAAGTAAATTTGAGTGGCCATCAGACCTCAAGGACTACAGGCCTTGGAAAAACCCTGGAGCTGCACTGTTCTCTCAGAGGCAATTGATTTTGGATGCACCCAACCTAGTACAACATCAGCTGTGGTGGCCAAAAGAGTGCATGCATCACCCTTCCTTTAACTCCGGCAATGTAGCTGGTGAAGAGACTTCTGTGGCTTTGGGAAAGGAGTGGGAAAAGTACAGAAGATTTTGTCTTGCAAGTTGGGTACCAGCGTAGCTATAGTAAAATGAAGCAACAAGGAGATTCCTGAAGTCCCCAATAACAGGCCTTAGCTCCTGGATGGTCTTTCTAGACCCACTCTAGTGAGAAGGGAATTGACTGTCCTGAAGTGAAGAACCCAGTACCAGGAGGATTCCCAAACTTCTGACTCAAGAGCACCAGAGTCTCCTATAAACATTAGTCAGGCAGTAGTTGCCATGAGCCTTGGATGAGACCCCGTACTGTGCTAGCTTAATGTTTAATCTAGCACACTGCCAGCTGTAGTGGCCACAGGAGTACTCATGTCATCCCTTTCCCAATTCTAGACAACTCAGCATAAAAACAGACTCCTTCATATTGAGGGAAAGAGAGACAAGAGAGTGACTTACTTTACCTGGTGACCCAGGAAATTTTCCCTTATATTACTCAACACCACCAAAGCAGTGCCTCTGGGATTTGGCAAGAGTCACAGCATTCCTCAGCTTAAGACGCCACCTACTGCTGTTATGGATTCAGTGAAAACACACTTACAGGACAACACTCAATCCTCTTCGAATACACGGGAAGTCTTTCAATAAGGATGGGCCAAACCAAGCACAGACGGTGAATATTGAAAACAACACCTAACTCTTCAATGTTAAGACATTAATAAATGTACATAAGCATCAAAAACATCCAGGAAAACATAACCTAACCAAATAAACTAAATAAGGCACCAGTGACCAATTCAGGAGTGACAGAGATATGTGAATTGTCAGGCAGAGAATTGAAAATAGGTGTCTTGAGGAAGCCTAATGAACTTAAAGACAATGCAGAGAAGGAATTCCAAATTCCGTCAGAGACATTTTTTAAAGATTAAAATTTAAAAAGAAGAAAAATTCACTTGACAAACTGAAAATGCATGAGAATCTCTCAAATGCATTATTAAACAAATAGAATAAGTAATTAGTAAGCTGGAAGACAGGTTGTAGGCTCGAGGTTACAAGATGGCTGAATAGGAACAGCTCCAGTCTGCAGCTCCAAGCATGAGCGACACAGAAGATGGGTGATTTTTGCATTTCCAACCGAGGTACCAGGTTTATCTCACTGGCTTGTCAGACAGAGGGTGCAGCCCACAGAGCAGGGTGGGGCATCCTCTCACCTGGGAAGCACAAGGGGTCGGAGAATTCCCTTTCCTAGCCAAGGGAAGCCATGACATACGGTACCTGGAAAATCAGGAAACACCCACCCTAATACTGTGCTTTTCCAATGGCGTTAGCAAACGGCACACCAGGAAATCATATCCTGTGCCTGGCTCAGAGGGTCCGAAGCCCACAGAGCCTCACTCACTGCTAGCACAGCAGTCTGAGATCAAACTGCAAGGTGGCAGCGAGGCTGGGGGAGGGGCATCCGCCATTGCTGAGGCTTGACTAGGTAAACAAAACGGCTGGTAAGCTAAAACTGGATAGAGCCCACCACAGCTCAAGGAAGCCTGCCTGCCTCTGTAGACTCCACCTCTGGGGCAGGGCAGAGCTGAACAAAAGGCAGCAGAAATTTCTGCAGAATTAAACGTCCTGTCTGACAGCTTTGAAGAGAGTACTGGTTCTCCCAGCATGCAGTTTGAGATCTGAGAACGGACAGACTGCCTCCTCAAGTGGGTCCCTGACCCCCAGGTAGCCTAACTGGGAGACAGCTCCCAGTAGGGGCTGACTGACATCTTACAGAGCTGGATGCCCCTGAGATGAAGCTTCCAGAGGAAGGATCAGGCAGCAACATCAGCCATTCTGCAATATTTGCTGTTCTGCAGCCTCTGCTGGTGATACCCAGGCAAACAGAGTGTGAAGTGGACCTTAGTAAACTCCAACAGACCTGCAACTGAGGGTCCTGACTGTTAGAAGGAAAACTAACAAACAGAAAGGACATCCACACCTAAACCCCATCTGTACGTCACCATCATCAAAGACCAAAGGTAGATAAAACCACAAAGATGGGGAGAAACCAGAGCAGAAAAGCTGAAAATTCTAAAAATCAGAGCACCTCTTCTCCTCCAAAGGAATGCAGCTCCTCACCAGCAACAGAACAAAGCTGGATAGAGAATGACTTTGATGAGTTGAGAGAAGAAGGCGTCCGACAATCAATAACAAACTTCTCCAAGCTAAAGGAGGATCTTCGAACGCGTCACAAAGAAGTTAAAAACCTTGAAAAAAGATCAGACGAATGGTAAACTAGAATAACAGGTGTAGATAAGTCCCTAAATGACCTCATGGAGCTGAAAACCATGGCACGAGAACTACGTGATGAATGCACAACCTTCAGTAGCCGATTTGATAAAGTGGAAGAAAGGGTAACAGTGATTGAAGTTGAAATGAATGAAATGAAGCAAGAACAGAAGTTTAGAGAAAAACGAGTAAAAAATGAACAAAGCCTCCAAGAAATATGGGACTATGTGAAAAGACCAAATCTACATCTGATTGGTGTACCTGAAAGTGACGGTGAGAATGGAATCAAGTTGGAAAACACTCTTCAGGATATTATCCAGGAGAACTTCAAGAACCTAGCGAGGCAGGCCAACATTCAAATTCAGGAACTACAGAGAATGCTGCAAAGATATTCCTCGAGAAGAGCAATTCTAAGAGACATAATTATGAGATTCACCAAAATTGAAATAAAGGAAAACAATGTCAAGGGCAGACAGAGAGAAAGGTCGGGTTACCCACAAAGGGAAGCCCATCAGACTAACAGTGGATCTCTCGGCAGAAACTCTACAAACCAGAAGAGAGTGGGGGCCAATATTCAACATTCTTAAAGAAAAGAATTTTCAAACCAGAATTTCATATCCAGCCAAACTAAGCTTCATAAGTGAAGGAGAAATGAAATCCTTTACAGACAAGCAAATGCCGAGAGATTTTGTCACCACCAGGCCTGCCTTACAAGAGCTCCTGAAGGAAGCACTAAACATGGAAAGGAACAACCAGTAACAGCCACTGCAAAAACATGCCAAATTGTAAAAACTGTCAATGCTAAAAAGAAACTGCATCAACTAATGAGCAAAATAACCAGTTAACATCATAATGACAGAATCAAATTGACACATAACAATACTAACCTTAAATGTAAATGGGCTAAATGCTCCAATTAAAAGACACAGACTGGCAAATTGGACAGAGAGTCAAGACACATCAGTGTGCTGTATGCAGGAAACCCATATCACATGCAGAGACACACATTGGCTCAAAATAAAGGGATGGAGGAAGATCTACCAAGCAAATGGAAAACAAAAAAAAGCAGAGGTTGCAATCCTAGTCTCTGATAAAACAGACTTTAAACCAACAAAGATCAAAAGAGACAAAGAAGGCCACTCCATAATGGTAAAGGGATCAATTCAACAAGAAGAGCTAACTATCCTAAATATATATGCACCCAATACAGGAGCACCCAGATTCATAAAGCAAGTCATTAGAGGCCTACAAAGAGACTTAGACTCCCACACAATAATAATGGGAGACTTTAACACCCCACTCTCAACATTAGACAGATCAGTGAGACAGAAAGTTAACAAGGATATCCAGGAATTGAACTCAGCTCTGCACCAAGCGGACCTAATAGACATCTACAGAACTCTCCACCCCAAATCAACAGAATATACATTATTCTCAGCACCACATCACACTTATTCCAAAATTGACCACATAGTTGGAAGTAAAGTACTCTTCAGCAAATGTAGAAGAACAGAAATTATAACAAACTGTCTCTCAGACCACAGTGCAATCGAACTAGAACTCAGGATTAAGTAACTCACTCAAAACAGCTCTACCATATGGAAACTGAACAACCTGCTCGTGAATGACTACTGGGTACATAACGAAATGAAGGCAGAAATAAAGATGTTCTTCAAAACCAATGAGAACAAAGACACAACACACCAGAATCTCTGGGACACATTTAAAGCAGTGTGTAGAGGGAAATTTATAGCACTAAACGCCCACAAGAGAAAGCAAGAAAGATCTCAAATTGACACCCTAATATCACAATTAAAAGAACTAGAGAAGCAAGAGCCAACACATTCAAAAGCTAACAGAATGCAAGAAATAATTCAGATCAGAGCAGAACTGAAGGAGATAGACACACACAAAAAAAAAACGCTTCAAAAAATCAGTGAATCCAGGAGCTGGTTTTTTTGAAAAGATCAACAAAATTGATAGACCACTAGCAAGACTAATAAAGAAGAAAAGAGAGAGGAATCAAATAGATGCAATAAAAAATGATAAAGGGTATAGCACCACCAATCCCAAAGAAATACAAACTACCATCAGAGAATAGTATAAACACTTCTACACAAAAAAACTAGAAAATCTAGAAGAAACGGATAAATTCCTGGACACACACACCCTCCCAAGACTAAACTAGGAAGAATTTGAATCACTGAATACACCAATAACAGGTTCTGAAATTGATGCAATAATTAGCCTACCAACAAAAAAAATCCAGAACCAGACAGATTCATAGCCGAATTCTACCAGAGGTACAAAGAGGAGCTAGTACCATTCCCTCTGAAACTATTCCAATCAATAGAAAAAGAGGGAATCCTCCCTAACTCATTTTCTGAGGCCAACATCATCCTGATACCAAAGCCTGGCAGAAACACAACAACAAAAAAAGAGAATTTTAGACCAGTATCTCTAATGAATGCTGATGCAAAAATCCTCAATAAAATACTGGCAAACTGAATCCAGGAGCACATCAAAAAGCTTATCCACCAGGATCAAGTGGGCTTCATCCCTCGGATGCAACACTGCTTCAACATATGCAAATCAATAAACGTAATTCATCATATAAACAGAACCAAAGACAAAAAACACATGATTATCTCAATAGATGCAGAAAAGGCCATTGACAAAATTCAACAGCCCTTCATGCTAAAAACCCTCCATAAAGTAGGTATTGATGGCACGTGTCTCAAAATAATAAGAACTATTTATGCCAAACCCAAAGCCAATGTCATATTGAATGGGCAAAAACTGGAAGCATTCCCTTTGAAAACTGGCACAAGACAGGGATGCCCTCTCTCACCACTCTTATTCAACATAGTGTTGGAAGTTCTCTTTAGGGAAATCAGACAAGGGAAAGAAATAAAGAATATTCAATTAGTAAAAGAGGAAGTCAAATTGTCCCTGTTTGCAGATGACATGACTGTATATATAGAAAACTCCATCCTATCAGCCCAAAATCTCCTTAAGCTGATAAGCAACTTCAGCAAAGTCTCAGGATACAAAATCAATGCGCAAAAATCACAAGCATTCCTATACACCAAAAACAGACAATCAGAGAGCCAAATCGTGAGTGAATTCCCATTTACAATTGTTTCAAAGAGAATAAAATATCTAGGAATCCAGCCTACAGGGGATGTGAAGGACCTCTTCTAGGAGAACTACAAACCACCTCTCAACGAAATAAAAGAGGACACAAACAAATAGAAGAAGATTCCATGCTCATGGATAGGAAGAATCAATATTTTGAAAATGGTCATACTGCCCAAGGTAATTTATAGATTCAATGCCATCCCCATTAAGCTACCAATGACTTTCTTCACAGAACTGGAAAAAACTACTCTAAGTTCATATGTAACCAAAAAAGAGCCCGCATCACCAAGTCAATCCTAAGCCAAAAGAACAAAGCTGGAGGCATCACGCTGCCTGACTTCAAACTATACTACAAGGCTACAGTAACCAAAACAGCATGGTACTGGTACCAAAACAGAGATATAGATCAATGGAAGAGAACAGAACCCTCAGAAATAATGCCACATATCTACAACCATCTGATCTTTGACAAACCTGACAAAAACAAGAAATGGGGAAAGGATTCCCTATTTAATAAATGGTGCTGGGAAAAGTGGCTAGCCATATGTAGAAAGCTAAAACTGGATCCCTTCCTTACACCTTATGCAAAAATTAGTTCAAGATGGATTAAAGACTTAAACGTTAGACCTAAAACCATAAAAACCCTAGAAGAAAACCTAGGCAATACCATTCAGGACATAGGCATGTGCAAGGACTTCATGTCTAAAACACCAAAAGCAAAGGCAACAAAAGCCAAAAATGACAAATGGCATCTAATTAAACTAAAGAGCTTCTGCACAGCAAAAGAAACTACCATCAGAGTGAACAGGCAACCTACAAAATGGGAGAAAAATTTGCAACCTACTCATCTGACAAAGGGCTAATATCCAGAATCTACAATGGACTCCAACAAATTTACAAGAAAAAAACAAACAACCCCATCAAAAAGTGGGCGAAGGATATGAACAGACACTTCTCAAAAGAAGACATTTATGCAGTCAAAAAACACATGAAAAAATGCTCATCATCACTGGCCATCAGAGAAATGCAAATCAAAACCACAATGAGATACCATCTCACACCACTTAGAATGGCGATCATTAAAAAGTCAGGAAACAACAGGTGCTGGAGAGGATGTGGAGAAATAGGAACACTTTTACACTGTTGGTGGGACCGTAAACTAGTTCAACCATTGTGGAAGTCAGTGTGGTGATTCCTCAGGGATCTAGAACTAGAAATACCATTTGACCCAGCCATCCCATTACTGGGTATATACCCAAAGGATTATAAATCATGCTACTATAAAGACACATGCACACGTATGTTTATTGTGTCACTATCTGCAATAGCGAAGACTTGGAACCAACCCAAATGTCCAACAACGATAGACTGGATTAAGAAAATGTGGCACCTATACACCATGGAATACTATGCAGCCATAAAAAATGATGAGTTCATGTCCTTTGTAGGGACATGGATGAAACTGGAAACCATCATTCTCAGCAAACTATCGCAAGGACAAAAAACCAAACACCGCATGTTCTCACTTATAGGTGGGAATTGAACAATGAGAACACATGGACACAGGAAGGGGAACATCACACTCTGGGGACTGTTGTGGGGTGGGGGGAGGGGGGAGGGATAGCATTAGGAGATACACCTAATGTTAAATAACAAATTAATGGGTGCAGCACACCAACATGGCACATGTATACATATGTAACAAACCTGCACATTGTGCACATGTACCCTAAAACTTAAAGTATAACAATAATAGAAATAAAAATAAAAATAAAAAAAGAATGTTTTCTAATTCTTCGAAAAAATGACACTGATGTTATGATAGGAAAAGTATTAAATCTGTAGATTGCTTAGAGCAGTATGGTAATTTTGTTTATATTTTTCCAATCCAATAGCATGGGATGTTTCTCCATTTATTTGTGTCATCTACTTTTTCTTTCATCAGCATTTTGTAGTTTTACTGATATATATATATATAATTTTGTATATATTAATTCTTCCAATCCAATAGCATGGGATGTTTCTCCATTTATTTGTGTCATCTACTTTTTCTTACATCAGTAGTCTGTAGTTTTACTGATATCTATATCTATATCTATATCTATATACTTATATCTATATATACTGATATATATACTGATATATATATAGTGATATAGATATAGATATCAGTAAAACTACAAACTACTGTGTATATGTGTGTATATATATATACACAAATATATATACACGTGTATACATATACACAATTCAATACATTGGACAATACATATATACACGTGTATGTATGTATATACATATATACGTATATATGTGTATATATATACATATGTATATATGTACATATGTGTATACATATACGTATGTATATATGTACATATGTGTATACATATACGTATGTATATATGTGTATACATGTACCTATGTATATATGTGTATACATGTACGTATGTATATATGTGTATACATATACGTATGTATATATGTATACAGATATATATCAGTAAAAGTACATATAATTATATTTATATATTATATAATTTAAAAATATAAATCTGATTATAACATATTTAATATATAATATATAATTATATTTCAATATAAATATAAATATAAATAATATATATAATATATAATATATAAATATGTTATATATTTATATGTAATATATACATTATATATATTTCATCTTATTAATTAACAAGGAGTTCTACTTTATTTTTTGTAACTATTATAAATGGAATTGCATTGTTGATTTTATTCTCAGCTACACTTTTATTGGTGTAAAAAAATGCTACTTGTTTTTATACATGTATTTTGTATCCTGAAACTTTACTGAATTCTTTTATCAATTCTAGGGGATTCTTTTTGGAGTCTTTAGGTTTTTCAAGATATAAGATTATATAGTCAGATAACAGGAAAAAATTTCACTTCCTCTTTTCCAGTTTGGATATCTTTTATTTCTTTCTTTTGCCAGATTGCTCTGGCTAGGACTTTCAGTACTGTGTTGAATAGGAGTGGTGAAAGTGGGCATCCTTGTCTTGTTCTAGTTCTTAGAGGAAATGCTTTCAACTTTTCTCCATTCAGTGTGATATTAGATTTGGGTTTGTTGTATGTGGCCTTTATTACATTGAGATATGTTCATTTTATGCCTAGATTGTTGAGACTGTTTATCATAAAAAGATTCTAAATTTTATTAAATGCTTTTTCCTGCATCTCTTGAGATAATTATATGGTTTTGTTATTTTTGTTTATGTAATATATCACTTTTATTGATTTGTATATGTTAAACCATCCTTATATTCCTAATATAAAACCCACTTGTTTATGGCGTATTATCTTTTTGTTATGATGTTGAATTTGGTTTTCTAGTATTTTGCTGAGGAGTTTTGCATCTATGCTCTTCAGACTACTGATCTGTAGTTTTTCTGTGGTTGTTGTGTTCTTGTATGGTTTTGGTATCAGGGTGATAGTGGTGTCATGGAATGAGTTATGAAGAATTCTCTCCTCTTTGAACTTTTGGAGCAATTTCAAAAGAACTGTTTATTCTTCTTTGTGTGTATGGAAAATCCATTTAGTTCTGAGATTCCTTTGTTACAAATTATTTATTACTGATTCAATGTTGCTATTCATTATAGGTCTGCTCAAGTTCTCTATTACCTCCTGATTCAAACGGGAGGTTGCATGTTTCCAGAAATTAATTTATTTCCTCTAGGTTTTCTTGTTTGTGGAAGTAGAGTTCTTAATAATAATTTTTAAGAATGTTTGTATTTCTGTGATGTGATTTATAATTTCTTCTTTTGCTTTTCCGATTTTGTTGTAATCTCTCTTTTTTCATTTCTGATTTTGTTGTAATCTCTCTTTTTTTCATGATTAATCTGGATAGTGGATTATTTTGTTTACCTTTTTTAAGAACCAACACTTCCTGTTTCAGTGACCCTTTGTACTTCTACCTTTCCTTTTTGGTCTCTATTTTACTTAGTTCTACTAGAATTTTTTTTTTTAACTCATTTTCTTCTGCCACTTTTCGGTTTAGTTTGTTCTTGTGTTTCTAGTTCATGGCAGTCCATCATTAGGTTGTTAATTTGTAATGTTCCTACTTTTTTAGTATAGGCATTTAATACTATGAACATCCCTTTGGGAACTCCTTTTTCTTTATCCCACAGAATTTGATGTGTTGTGTTTTCCTTTTCATTTGTTTCAAAAATTGCTATAATTTCCACCTTAATTTCTTCATTGACACAATAATCATTAAGGAACATGTTTGATTTCCATGTATTTGTATAGTTTCCAAAGTTCCCAAAAGTAGTGATATTCAGTTTTATTCAAGCGTGGTCTGAGAAGATTCTTGATATGTTTTTAATGTTAAAAAATTCATTGAGACTTGTTTTGTGGCCTAAAATACAAGGTCTATACAAGGTCATACATGGTCTATCTTGGAGAATGTTCCATGTGCTTATGTGAAAAAAATGTACATTTCACAGTTGTTGAGTAGACTTTTCTGTCAAAGTGTGTTAGGTCTATTGCACCTAAAGTCCAAATAAGTTCAATATTTCTTTGTTGATTTCCCGTCTTAATGATGTCTAATGCTGTGAGTGCGCAGTTGAAGTCTCACACTATTATTGTATTATTTTCCACCTCTCTCTTTAGATGTAGTAATATTTGTTTTATGAATCTGGTTGCTCCAGTATTGAGTGTATATATACTGAGTAATGTTATATCCTCCTGTTGCATTGATCCTTTTATCATTATACAATGACCTTATTTGTCTTTTTTAACTTTTTAATTTAATATCTGCTATATCTAGTATAGGTAAAGCTATTCCTACTCTCTTTTAGTTTCTATTTCCATAAAATATCTTTTTTCAACCCTTTTCTCTCAGTCTATGTATGTATTTACAGAGAAGGTGAATTTCTTGGAAGCAGCATTTAGATGGATCATGTTTCTTATATTTTCTGCCAATCTATCTCTCTTTAGAAGAGTACTTAATCCATTTGAGTTCAAGGTTAACATTTATACATGAGGTTTATTTTCTGTCAGGTCACTAAATCTTTTCAGTTGTTTTATACATTGTTTCTTTTTCTCTGTTTGTCTTTATGGTTTGGTGAAATTTTGTTGTGTTAACAACTTGACTTTTCTTCCTTCTTTATGTGATTGTTTTATAATATCATTGAGTTTTATATGTTAATGAGTTATCATAATCATGAACATATACCTTTTATTTCCATGTCAAGGACATTTTTGAGCATTTGTTTTAAGTCTGCTCTAGTGGTGATAAATTCCCTCAGCAATTGCTTGTCTGGAAAAGACTTTATTTCTCCTTCATTTATGAAGCTTAATCATGCTGGATATAAACATTTTTATTGTATTTTTTTCTTTCAGCAATTTGTAAATCCCATTCCATTTTCTTCTGACCTGCGAAGTTTCTGCTAAGAAGCTCATTCTTAGTCTGATGGGGTTTCTTTCATAGGTGACTAGATGCATTTTTCTTGCTGATCATAGAAGTATTTCTTTTATGTTGACTTTAGATATACTGATTTAATATGCCTTTTGCAATGTATTTGTCTTGGATTGCTGGGACTACTGTATCTGGATGTCTAAATCTCTTGCTACACTTGAGATGCTTCCATAAATAATTTTCTTAAATAGGATTTCTAAACTTATTTTTTATCTTTCTTTCTACCTCAGTAATACCAACAAATTGTAAGTATTGTTATTTTTGCACACTCATCTTAAGGGCTTTGTTCATTTGTCTTTATTTTTGTTTGATTGGATTACTTCAAAAGATGTGTCTTCATATTTCGAGAGTCTTCCTTCTGCTTGGTCTTTGGAATGTTTTTGTAACCCCTTCAATGAATTTATAAGTTCCAAAATTTCTGTTACTATTACATTTTTTTAGAAAATCTACCTTCTTAGTAAATTTCATATTAACAGCCTAAGTTGATATTCTAATATATTTGTATTGCTTTACAAATTTCCATTTAAGGTCCAGGTGTGGTGGCTCGTGCCTGTAATCCCAGCACTTTAGGGGTCAGCATGATTGGATCACCTGAGGTCAGGAGTTTGAGACTAGCCTGGCCAAAAATGGTGAAACCCCATCTCTACTAAAAATACAAAAATTAGCCAAGTGTTGTGGCGTGTGCTTGTAGCCCCAGCTATTCAGGAGGCTGAGGCAGGAAAACAAGGGAAGCAGAGGTTGCAGTAGGCCAAGATTGCACCACTGCAATCTAGCCTAGGCAACAGAGTGAGACTCTGTCTCAAAAAAAAAAAAAAAAAAATCAATTTAATTTCATTAAGCCTTTTTTAAAGTCAATATTTTGATTTCCTTATCTGGCATTTTGAAGATTTCTTTTGCACAGAGTCTATTGCTGAAGAATTATTGTTTTAATTTGAGAGTGTTATAGTACATTTCTTTTTCAGGCTTTCTGCATCTATACGTTGATTTCTGAGCAACCAGGGGAATAGGGGATTGTTCTTATTTTTGAATTTACTTTCATTGAATGTGGAATTTTGTTCTTGAAGATATGACTATGATAATAACTACAACCATTTTTTAAGAGATAGTATAAAAAGAAATAAATGTTATAGTGCAAATGCACAAGAAACTGCAAGAGAAGTGGGGATGATTATTGAGTATAAAAAGAGAAGAAATAAGGTCTAGTGTTTGATAGCACAATTGGGTGACTATAGTTTAAAGTACTTTGTTGTATATTATAAAACAAGAGAGTGGAATTGGAAAGTTACACCACAAAGAAATAATAAATGTTTAAACTGTTGGATACTTCAGTTACAGATTTCATAACTACACATTGTATGTATGTGTCATAACATCTTATATATCCCATAAATACATACAACTATTATGTAGTCACAAAATTTAAAAATTTTAAATTAGGTTTGTAATTAAAAAAGAGCTACATTAACATAAAAAGTATGGGTTAGAAAATGGCCACATCCCTTTTCTACCTATTTTAAGTGATTATTAATGAGCAACATGGTAAAGTGGTTATGACCACCAGCTCTAAATCTGGCATCATAATCCCAGCTCTAAATCTGGTATCATAAAAAAGTAAGAGGAGAGCAGATTTTTCCCCCCTCTTTTTCTTTCCAGATTTGTAATTACAGGACCAGTTTTGACAGTCAGCATGTATGTTAACAGTTTATCCAAATTATAAGACAGTGTCTTCTGGAAGTGAACTGAAAATAAACTTTTTGTTTTTGATTTCAGCTTTAGTTTTGATCTAAAGTTCTGATTATAAACTTTCATCTCAGAGCCAAACCTCCTCCCCTTGTGAATTTGTATAAACGTTTTGTTCTGAGAGATTTCCAAAGTGTTTCTGCAAAGAAAACTGGGTATTTGAAAAAATTTTAAAAGTGACTTTTTTTTTTTTTAAGGTAGAGAGGGTCGTGTGAGTTCTGCCTTATGGAAGGGCTATTGTATGTGAGATATCTTATAAAAAATATTGTTAATCCACAAAATAAAGCTGTAAAATGGGTATCAATAGCTTAATTTTACGTATGAGTAAACTGCAGAATAGCTAAGTAACTTGCCCAAGATAACAAAACTAGGAGGTAGCCTGCACTTCAAATTTGGATGTGTCATGCTCTAACACAAATATTCCCATTGGCAGAAAACATTCCTATATTCACAAAAGTTAAATTCTCCAGAATGTTGAATTTATCTTATAGTTCTCAAAGTGTTCATATTAAAAGTCTTCAGCAAGCCTGAAAAAACCTGGCATAAGGGAAGCTTCTTTCACAAGTACCTGTATCAGCTTCTAATCATAGCAGATATGAAAAGGAAGGGAAAAATAAACAGGAGATGGGCAGATAGCTCTGTACATGTATTTTTAAAACATCTCAGGGGGAAGGTAAAGGTGGAACTTGACAACTGAAGTTACCTAATCACTTAAGGCTTTATTGAAACCTACATGTTCTGAGTACCTAGCATACAACATACTAAGATTAGCTTCATTCCCCTGTGTCCTTGTTCTTGCCGTGGTTTCCCCTCTGCCTGGCATAATCTTTATCTCTTCTCTACCTGGTTAAGGTTTCCAAATCATTCAAGATTTGGGAGACTGCAATTCCTCCATCAAGAAGCCTTCACTGATTTCCATATAGGAATGGGCACACTCTCTGTGAATAGCATATATGCCTATTCCGTATAGGCATTCACCAAACTGTGCTTTCTTTAAATATTTTACTATTTTACTTATTTTTTTCATGAGTTTCTTTTCTCTACACCTCTAACATATGGACCACAATAGAAGCTCAATAAATGTTTACACAAAGAAAAAAGTAAGTAAAGAAAGAGGTAAAAATACCTTCCCATCATGTCCCTTTGCTGACATCATTGCGATCCACAACTGAAAAGAGTACTTCATTTTCTTCAGTTTAACATGTTGAACTGAGGCTCCTAGAATAGTTTCAAGGTGAACCACAACCTTATAAAAGAAAGATATAAAAACAGACAAACATGATGAGAAGAGGAGATACTACTGAAGAGTGACATCAGCAAGATGGCAGAGCAGAAAGCGCCAGGCCCTCATTGCCCCATGGAAACACCAAAAAAAACAAAAAAACAAAAAAACAAAAAAACAAAAACAAAACAAAACACCCCAAAATATATAGAGCAAAGTAGTTTTGTGAGAACTCTTGAAACAAGCTAAGAAGCTGAAGCAACCAAGGAAATGCTAGAAAATTTCATGTCATTTCTGCTTGCCCTTGTCCCACTCCCTCTCTAACACAGCACTGAGTGTCTGAAAGAATCCATCAAATTATTGGTTCCTCCATTGGAATGAAAGAATATGAATGGAACTTGCTTGTAAAGTTCTAGCTTCTCTGGGGACAGTCTGAGGGACTGTTGTGTCTTTTCTGACTTGGAATACTAACTGGAATGATAGCATAGTTTAGACTGTAGGCTGGAAAATGCTTAGAGCAGTGGTGGAAGCTATTGCACAAATGGATTGCTGGGTTACTGCAGATATCTGGGTACCTGTGAGCAAGAGATTACATGCAGCGAAATAAAATACAACTTAAGCTCTGAGAAGAAGCAGAAGTAAGACACTGCTGATCATTGTTAGGACCCACCATACCACCCTTCTTTGCTTCTAGACCTATAACTAGACTCAAGTCTTGTCAGGTCATGTTTATTTTTCTAATTTATATAGACATAAATCCAGGGAATACGTATGACAATGGATATTAAAAGTATGGATAATTGTGGAAGAAACACAAACCTGAAACAGGCCAAATGTATTGATATGAGCCCAAGAAGGAGAGAGTCTCGATTTAGTGTTGCAGCTCAGTGTGTCAGAAAATACTCTAAAAAAAGTTTAGAAACACATAGACCAAAAGGTGTCCTACACTAAATGAAGTTGAAATTCCAGTCCTGCCTTGACATACTGTAGAGGAAAGAATCCAAATTCTTAGCGACATTTATCATTTAAGATCTTCTCCCCGACCTTGGGAGAGTACTGAGAACAATTCTTAGCCACAATTACGAGAAATAAATTTTTGTGGGAACCCTATCGTCTTTGAAGATCACTTTTCTCTGTAGGTCAGAAATTACATGGATTGATACCATTAAACTAAAAAAAATAAATTTAATAGAAATAATTGGATTCCCAAGTGGCAGGGGAAAAGTGGCAGCACTTAACTGACAAAAACTACATAAGCAGAAGAGTCAAAGCAGCAATCAGAATAATCTGACTGATGCAGACCTATGACATTGTTAGTTAATCATGTTTCTAGTAGTGAGACAGATAATAATTCCATTATATTCTTACTAAATCTGTATAAGCAGAGGAGTCCTAGGTCAATTGAACAAAATTCTAGCTTGTAACATAAAACAGAGTCATGGCCCTTCAATCAATTCCCAGGCTTGAGCCAGTTTACAGACTCACAACCCTTGAATGAAGGGAAGAATGGGTCCCCTGGAAGAAGCATCCCACCACACGCCCAACAACATATAATGTCAATCTTTCTCACAGCTTTCCCCAAAATAAATTATGGCATGGAAGAATTAGGGAAAAATAATCAGAAGTTTTGGAGAATATTGGACACAGGTCCTGAACTGATACTAATGCCAGGAGACCTAAAATGACACTATAGTCTACAATCAGAATAGTGGCTTATGGAGGTCAGGTGAACAATAGAGGTGTTTTTGTTTTTGTTTTAATATTTATAATTTAGGAGAAAGTAGTTTTGTTACATGGATATATTGCATAATGGTGAAGTCTGGGGTTTCAGTGTAGCCATCAACCTAATAATGTACATTGTATCCGCTAAGTAATTGTTCATCCTTCACCCCCTCTGATCCCTCCCATCCTTTTGAGTCTCCAGTGTCTATTATTTTACTCCTTATGTCCAGTTCTATACATTATTTAGCTCTCACTTATAAGTGAAAATATGTGGTATTTGCCTTTCTGTTTCCAAACCATTCACTTAAGACAATGGCCTCCAGTTCCATTGATGTTGCTGGAAAAAAAAAAATGACTTTATTCTCTTTTTTAATGGCTGAATACAATCCATTGTATATATACACCACATTTTCTTTATCCGATAATCCATTGATTGACAGTTTAGTTGATTCTATATCTTTTCTATTGTGAATAATGCTGGTATAAACACATGAGTGTAGATATCCTTTTGTATAAAATTTATTTCCCTTTGGTAGATAACCAGTAGTGGAATTATTGCATAGAATGGTAGTTCTATTTTTAATTCTTTGAGAACCCTATGTATTGTATTAATTACAAGTTATATTCATTAATATTTCTACTAAAGCTTATGAGTGCTTCCTTTTTTCTCCATACTTGCCAATATCTGTTATTTTTTGACTTCTTAGTAATAGCTACTGTGGTGTAATACAATAGCTAATCGAAATTTTAATTTGCATTTCATTGATTAATAATGTTAAGCAGTTTTTTATGTGTTTGTTGGCCATTTGTATGTCTTCTTTTGAAAAAGTCTGTTTATGCCATTTGCCTACATTTTAGCAGAATTTTTTTTTTTTTTTTTTGAGATGGAATCTCACTCTATGGCCCAGGCTGGAGTGTAGTGGCGTCATCTGGGCTCACTGCAAGCTCCACCTCCCAGGTTCACGCCATTCTCCTGCCTCAGCCTCCCAAGTAGCTGGGACTACAGGCACCCGCCACCACGCCCAGCTAATTTTTTTTTTGTATTTTTAGTAGAGATGGGGTTTCACCGTGTTGGCCACGGTGGTCTCGATCTCCTGACCTCGTGATCCGCCCACCTCGGCCTCCCAAAGTGCTGGGATTACAGGCGTGAGCCACTGCACCTGGCCTTGGCAGAATTATTTGTTGTTGTTGAGATGTCTGAGTTCTTTGTGGAACCTAGTTATTAATATTTTATTGGATGTATTGTTTGTAAATAGTTTATTCCATTCTGCACGTTGTCTGTTTATTTTGTTGATAATTTCTTTTGTTGTAAAGAAGCACTTTAGTTTAAGTCCCATTTGTCTATTTTTGGTATTGTGCATTTGTTTTTAAGGTCTTTGTCATGATGTCTTTGCCAAAAATGATGTTCAGAATAGTTTTCCCTGTTTTCTTCCTGTATTTTTATAGTTTTGGTCTTACACTTAAGCCTTTAATACATTTGTGATAATTTTTGCATATGGTGAGAGATACAGGTCCATATTTATTCTTCTGTGTATGGCCACCTAATTTTCCAAGAACCCTTTTTGAATAGGATGTTGTTTTCACAGCCTATCTTTTGTTGACTTTATCGAAGACCAGTTGGCTGTAGTTATGTGGCTTAATTTCTGGGTTCTCTCTTCTATTCTTTTGATCTATGTGTCTATTTTTATACCAATACCATGCTGTTGTAGTTTCTATGGCTTTGTAATATAATTTGAAATTAGGTAATGTGATGCATCCGACTTAGTTCCTTTTGCATAGGATTGTTTTGGCTATGCAAGCTCTTTTGTGGTTCCATATGAATTTGGTGATTTTTTTCTAATTCTGTGCAAAATTACATTGGTATTTTGATGAGAATTGAAATGAATCTGTAGATTGCTTTAGATAATATAGACATTTTAATGATATTCATTCCTCTTATTCAAGAGCATAAGATTTTTTCAATTTATTTTTGTCATCTCAAATTCCTTTAATCAGTGTTTGATAGTTTTCCTTGTAGGTATTTTTCACTTCCTTGGTTAAATGCATTCCAGATATTTTATTTTTACAGCTATTGTAAATGCTAACAAACTGACAACTTGATTTGGTTCTAAGCTTGATTATTACTGGTAAATAGTAATTTTTGTACATAGATTTTGTATCCTGAAACTTTACTGAATTCATTTATCAAATCTAGGAGTCTTTGGGGTAGAGTCTTTAAAGTTTTCTATGTATAAGGTCATATTATCAGCAAACAGAAATAATTTGACTTCTTTTTAAATTCAGAGGGCTTTTATTTCTTTCTCTTGCCTGACTGCCCTGGCTACAATTGCCAGTATTACGTTGAAAAGGAGCAGTGAAAATGGGCATTTTTGTCTTGTTTCAGTTTTTAGAAAGAATGCTTTCAACTTTTCCCCATTCAGTATAAGGCTGGCTATGGGCTTCTTATATACGGTTTTTATCACTTTGAGGTACGTTCCTTCTATGCCTAGTTTTTAAAGAGTTTTTATAATAAAGTTATGCTGAATTCTATTAATTTTTTTCTGCATCTATGGAGATGATCATATGGCTTTTGCTTTTAATTCTGTTTATGTGGTGAATTACTTTTATTGATTTGTGTATGTTGAACCATCCTTTCATCTCTGGGTTAAAACCAACTTGATCATGATGTATTATCCTTTTGATGTGGTGTTGGATTCAGTTAGTTAAAATTTTGTTGAGGATTTTCACATCTATGTTTATCTGGGATATTGGTTTGTAGATTTCTTTTCTCTTCTATTTTCATATGTTTATATGTGGCTTTGTTAATAAGGTGATACTGGCATCATAGAATGAGATAGAAATAATCCCTTCCATATTGATTTTTTTTTTAAATTGTTTCAGTAGGACTGGAATAAGTTCTGCTTTGCACATTGGGTAGAATTGAGCTGTAAATCCATTTGGTCCTGGGCCTTTCTTTGTTGGGAAGTTTTTTAATATTATTATTACTCAATCTCAGTACTCATTTCTGATCTGCTCATGATTTCTATTTTTTTCCGTTTCAATCTTAGGAGGTCGTATGTTTCCAGAAATTTATCCATTTCCTCTAGTTTTTCTTGCTTATTAGCATAGAGTTGTTCATGCTACTCTCTAGTTATCTTATTTTTGTGATATCAGTTATAATGCCTCCTTTTTCATTTCCAATTGTGTTTATCTGAATCATCTCTCTTCTTCTCATGGTTATTCTAGAGAGAGTTCTGTCAATTTTCATTATTTTTTTAAATAAACTTCATTTCATTGCTTTTTAATATTGTTTATTTGCTCTAAATTTCATTTAGTTTTGCTCTGATGTTTGTTATTTTTCTTCTATTAGATTTGGGTTTGGTTTGTTCATATTTTCTGGTTCATTGAGTTGTGATGGTAGATTGTTAATTTGTAGTCTTTTTATTACTTTGATGTAGGCATTTAACATTATAAACTTCCATGTAAATACCAGTTCTGCTGTATTACAAAGGTTTAGGTATGTTTTGTTTCCATTTTCATTTGTTTCAAATATTATTTAATTTATGTCTACATTTTTTCATTGACTCAAAGATTATGCAGGAACATGTTGTTTAATTTCCATGTATTTTTACAGTTCAAGGGTTCCTTTTGGAATTGATTTCTAGTTTTATTCCACTGTGGTCTGAAAAGATATTTTTTATAAGTTTGATTTCTTAAAACTTATTGAGGCTTGTTTTGTGGCCTAAAATATGGTCTATCCTGGAGAATTTTCCATGAGCCGATTGGAGGAATTCTAAATTTGTTGAGTATGTTCTTTAAATGTCTATTAGGTCTACTTGGTCTAACGTCCAGTTTAACTCTTGCATTTGTTTTTCCTTTTTCTGGCTTGATAATCTGTGTAGTGCTGTCACTGGAGTGTTGAAGTCTCCAGCTATTATTGTATTGCTATATCTTTCCTTAGTTCTAGTAATATTTGTTTTATGATTCTGGGTGCATATATACTTAGGATTTATTACATCTTCTTGTTGAATTGATCCATTTATCATTATATACTGACCTTTTTTTACTGTTCTTGATTTAAAGCCAGTTTTAACTGACATAGGTATAAAATCAATATGGAAGGGATTATTTCTATCTCATTCTATGATGTCAGTATCACCTTATTACAAAAGCCAGTTATAAACATATGAAACACATGATACTCTTGCTTACTTTTGGTGTCTGTTTGCACAGAACATCTGTCTTCACCCATTACCTTCAGTCTATAATTGTATTTATGAGTAAGGTGAGTCTTTTTCAAGAATAAAATAATAGATCATGTTTTTAACATCTATTCTGCCAATTGTGTCTTTTAAGTGGAGTATTTAATTCATTCACACATTCAAGGCTGATATTGATGTGTCACGTTTTGTTCCTGTCATAATCTTAATTGTTATCTAGTTTTTTCGTATATTCTTTGGCCTGTGAGTTTTATACTATTGTGTGCTCTTATGATGGAGAGTATTGACTTTTTTATCCTTATTTAGAACTCTGTCAGCATTTCCTGTAGAACGAGTATAGTCATGATAAATTCACTCAGCATTTGTTCATCTAGAAAATACTTCATTTCTTCATTTATAAACATTAGAGCAGGATTCAAAATTCGTATTTAAAAGTGTTTTTTTCATGAAGAACTCTAGAAATAGAACTTCAATTTCTTCAGGCTTATAAAGTTTCTGTTGAGAAGTCTGCTGTTTATGTGATGGGCTTTCCTTTATAGGTGACTCAAAACGTTTCTGTTGCTAATTTTAGGATTTTTTCCTTCACTTCAATTGTAGTCTGGTTATTATATGCCATGGTAAGTACTTTCTTGCAATAATTTTTCCAGAATTCCTTGAGTCTCTTGTATCTGGATATCTAGACCTTTTACTAGACTAGGGAAGCTTTTCTCAACTATTTCCTCGAATAGATTTTGCAATCTTGTTGTGTTTTTTATTCTCTCTTGGGAATACCTACGATTCATAGGTTTGGAGATTTTACATAGTTCCAAACTTTTTGAAGGCTTTTTTTGAAACTATTTCTTTTTTTGTCAGAGTGGATTAATTTGAAAGACCTATCTTCAAGTTCTGAGATTCTTTATTCTACCTGGCCTAGTCTACTGTTGAAGGTTTTAATTGTATGTTGTAATTCCTTTCTAATTTTTTATTTTCAGATTTTTTTGTTTTTTAATATCTATCTTTTTGGTAAATTTCTCACTTATATCCTTAATTGATTTTTTATTTCTTTGTATTGCTTTTCAGCTTTCTCTTTGATTTCATTGAGTATCTTTAAAATTAATGTTTTGAATTCTTTACGTGGTATTTCAAAAATTTCATTTTGATTAGGATCCATTGCTACCAAGTTGGTGTGCTTGTTTGGGAATGTCATAACACCCACATTTTTTCATATTTCCAGAATTGTTACACTGCTTTCTCCTCATCTGGAGATATTTTCTCTTGTTATTTTTAAATTTACTTTTGCTTATAAAGGCCATATTTATTCCCTTTGGAGATATGACTATAATGTTTGTTGAGTAGGGTTGTTTGGCTTTGCTTCTAAGTGTTTTTAGTGGTAAGCACTCTATAAGAATTCCTTGGTTATAGACAGTTTTAATGTGTTTCTCAAATGCTGGTTGTAGTAGCAGTGTACTGAATATGTGAATAGGCTTATGTTCTCCTGTGTCTCTGGGGTGGCAGAGGTCTTGGGAAGTTTATCTGGGACTGGTTCCCAGATATTTTTCTCTATACCTCAAGCTTGTGTCAGCTGATTTTATATTGGGTTGCTTAGTTCAAACTTCAGGGCTGTAGGTGTTGCTTACAGGTAAGAGCCAGCCAGCTGTGGCAGAAGCAGTAGGGGTCTTTGTTTACACGGAGAAGATCTCCTGTGCCTCAAGCAATGGAGTAGTCTGTGAAATGCCCAGTGGCCTGGGTTCTATGCTCAGCCCCAGAGATGGGGTAATGCTGTGCAGAATTTGAAGAGGCAAACCTGTCCTCACGTCCTTCAGTGGTGGACACCAAAAAAAGGACTGACTGGAGTAGCAGGGGAGTAGTGTAGAATTTGTTTAATTTTCTTAGTCATAAATAGCCTCAGTGTGGTGGCTTTCTCAAATGCCAATTGTAGTCTTAATGTACCAGGTGGGTAAGTGGGTTCAAGACCTACTGAGTAGCTGGGGTTGTGTGGGCAATGAAGGCAGCAGATGTCACACAGATCATATCTCCTTTCTGAGTGCTATGCTATTGTGTCGGCCGATGTTGTAATGGACTATGCAGTTTGTCCTCCTGTTCATTAGGTGGTACTTTCAGGTGAGAGCCAGCTGTGGTCGTGGCTGTGGGGTTCAAGCTTGAGCTTTGTTTACCAGGATAAATACTCAGATATCTCAGAAAATGGGCTAGGCTATAGAGCTCCCTGGGGGCGTGGTCCTGTTGTCTGTATCCAAGGCAGGTGAAAGGGGCAAAGCTGAGTGGGACTGGGCTAGGCAAGTCCATGCTTAGGCTCCCCAATGGCACGCACAAGCACCAGCCCAGACAGGAGTTAGATAGCAATTCTAACACCACTGGGGCAATGCTCCAGGAAGGAGTGAAGGAACCTCTGCTGTGCCAAAGAGCATGCATGAAGAAAGGGGCAGCTTTGAATTCAAACCCTAGCATGTGGCAGTGGGTCCCACATTGCTTCCACACTCTCAACCTGGTGGAGCTCTCTCCTGCAACCTACCATTGGCAGCAAGCTAAAACAGCCAGACGAGACACAAACAGTTTGCCTTCAGATCATTAAATTGTCCCAGGCTGCCGAACTCCCTGATTGGAACAAAACTGAGGCTCCCAGGCCACATCCATGCTGGTCTAGTCCTGCCAAGGGAAGAGCTCCCAATTTCTGCACCTGCAGCTCATGCCCATGCCACACTCACCTCTCAGTTCTGTCCATGAAGTCTCCTTCCCCACATGAGACTAGATTGCAAATCTCAGTCCAGAGACTTGCCAAACCGGAGACTTTCACCCATTCTGGATAGTAGATTTCCGTGCAGTTCTCTATGAGTTAGGATTAGAAATGTCCTCCTTCTATTAGTGGTAGAGTATAGAAGTGCACACAAAGCACTTCCCAATGCCACTCCTCATAGCCTCCTCACGGCTCACCAAGTCAGATCCTGTGCTTGGTAGGATCAAGGAGCTCCCTCGTGGCCTGGATTTCCCAGTTCCCCAATGAAAATATGTATCAGAGAGAAATTCTCTCCCCCTCTTACACACTGGTGACTCACTCACAAATTTCCATTGGACCCACCCATAGCATGGGCTGCTGCTGGCTAAAATTTTTAAAGTTTCTGAAGTTTATTTCACTTTTATGTCCAGCTCTCATGTTCCTTCTTGGATAAAATTTTACAGTGTGACTCTCTACCTGCTATTTTGCTATTTTCAGGTGGGTGTGGTGTGATAACAAAGCCTCTAATCCATAATCATTTCCAGCCTCCCAGAGTGTCCTTGTGTCCTCCCTGCAAATCTTTTATCACCTGTAGGCCACAGAGGGACAGAGGCAATGGCATAGACACCTGGGCCTCCTGGAGCAGAAGAGAAGGAACAATGGAGTGAACCTGAGCTCAGTGGACAGGCAGAAGAGACAAAATCTCTGTCAGACCATCAGATCATAGGTTTAGCTGACATTCATTTCACAGCGTGTACAGTGAGTCCATGAAACCATCTTGCGATTATTTCCTCAGCTCTGCAGTGCATAATTTGAATAGATATACTCAGCAACTGGCAGAATTCCCACATCACTTCCCTGACCTATGGAGTGAGTGCTGTTGTCATGGTAGAGGATAAATAGAAGCAACTAAAACTGCTCCTATCTAGGAAAATAGTAAACCAAAATCAGTACTGCCTTCCTGGAGGGATTGCAAAGACCAGTTCCATCAAGAACTTAAAGGATGCAGGGGTGGTAATTCCCATCACATCCCCATTTAACTCACATATCTCCTATTTGGCCTGTGCAGAAAACAGATGGATCCTGGAGAATGACAATGGATTATTGTGAGCTTGATGAGATGATAACTCCAAACAGCTGTTGTGCCAAATGTGGGTTCACTGCTAGAGCAAATTAACACATCCCCTGGTATCTGGTAGAGAGCTATTGACTAAAAGAATGTTTTTTTTTTCCTATGTCTGTTAGTAAAGACAGCCGGAAGCAGTTTGTTTCAGCTAACAAAGCAAGCAATACAATATCGTACCTCAGGAGCAGGACTCTTCAGCTCCTTGCAATAATTTAGTTTGTAGGACTTTGCCTTTTCCTTACACAAGGCATTGCACTGGTCCATTAAATCAGCAACATAATTCTCATTGGATTTAGTAGGTAAGAAGTAGCAACTACTCTAGACTTATTGGGAAAACATTGCTTTATTTCCCCATCATAATGCCTCTTCTAATCAAGGAACTCATTTCACAGCAAATGAAGTGTGTCAATGGACCCACGCTCAACAAATTCACTATTACCACATTTTCACTCCTACGGACTGGATTGTGTCCCTTCTTTCACCAAATTTATATGTCGCAACCCTAACCCTTAATGTGACTGTATCTAGAGATAATCTTTAAGATTTAATGAGATCATAAGAGTGAGGCTTTAATATGATAGGACTGTGGCCTTATAAGAAGAAGATAGAGGTATTTATTCTATTTCCCTGAGCCTTGTGAGAAGGTGGCCATCTGTAAGCCAGGAAGAGAGCCTTCACCAAAACCTGACCATACTGGCACCGTGATATCAGATTCCTACCCTCTAAAACTATGAAAAAATAAATTTCTGTTGCTTAAATAACCCAGTCTATGGTATTATGTTATGGGTCACTGCAACCGCCACCTCTTGGGTTCAAGCAACTCTCCGGTCTCACCCACCTGAGTAGCTGAGTAGCTGGGATTACAGGCGCACACCACCACACCTGGATAATTTTCGTATTTTTAGAAGAGACGGGGTATCACCATGTTGGTTAGGCTGGTCTCAGACTCCTGATCTTGTGATCCGCCTGCCTTGGCCTCCCAAAGTGCTGGGATTAAAGGTGTGGGCCACTTCACCCGGCCAAAAACACCTTTGTGGCTTCTTGATAATAGTTTTCACTCATGTGTTGGAGCTAAAATGTTAATCTTATGAAGGTAATGAATAGAATGTTGATTACCAGAGGCTGGGAAGAGTACTGGGAAGGGGAAATAATGCAGGTTGATTACTGTGAACAAAAATAAACAAAACCAAAGACAAAAACCACATAATTATCTCAATAGATGCAGAAAAGGCCTTTGACAAAATTCAACAACCCTTCATGCTAAAAACTCTCAATGAATTAGGTACTGATGGGACGTATCTCAAAATAATAAGAGCTATCTATGACAAACCAATAGCCAATATCACACTGAATGGGCAAAAACTGGAAGCATTCCCTTTGAAAACTGGCACAAGACAGGGATGCTCTCTCTCACCACTCCTATTCAACATAGTGTTGGAAGTTCTGGCCAGGGCAATTAGGCAGGAGAAGGAAATAAAGGGTATTCAATTAGGAAAAGAGGAAGTCAAATTGTCCCTGTTTGCAGATGACATGATTGTATATCTAGAAAACCACATTGTCTCAGCCCAAAATCTCCTTAAGCTGATAAGCAACTTCAGCAAAGTCTCAGGATACAAAATCAATGTACAAAAATCACAAGCATTCTTATACACCAATAACAGACAAACAGAGAGCCAAATCATCAGTGAACACCCATTCACAATTACTTCAAAGAGAATAAAATACCTAGGAATCCAACTTACAAGGGATGTGAAGGACTTTTTCAAGGAGAACTACGAACCACTGCTCAAGGAAATAAAAGAGGATACAAACAAATGGAAGAACATTCAATACTCATGGGTAGGAAGAATCAATATCATGAAAATGGCCATACTGCCCAAGGTAAATTATAGATTCGATGCCATCCCCATCAAGCTACCAATGACTGTCTTCACAGAATTGGAAAAAAACTACTTTAAAGTTCATATGGAACCAAAAAAGAGCCCACATCGCCAAGTCAATCCTAAGCCAAAAGAACAAAGCTGGAGGCATCATGCTACCTGACTTCAAACTACACTACAAGGCTACAGTAACCAAAACAGCATGGTACTGGTACCAAAACAGAGATATATATCAATGGAAAAGAACAGAGCCCTCAGAAAGAATGCCACATATCTACAACTATCTGATCTTTGACAAACCTGAGAAAAACCAGAAATGGGGAAAGGATTCTCTATTTAATAAATGCTGCTGGGAAAACTGGCTAGCCATATGGAGAAAGCTGAAACTGGATCCCTTCCTTACACCTTATACAAAAATCAATTCAAGATGGATTAAAGACTTACATGTTAGACCTAAAACCATAAAAACCCTAGAAGAAAACCTAGGCATTACCATTCAGGACATAGGCATGGGCAAGGACTTCATGTCTAAAACACCAAAAGCAATGGCAACAAAAACCTAAATTGACAAATGGGATCTAATTAAACTCAAGAGCTTCTGCACAGCAAAAGAAACTACCATCAGAGTGAACAGGCAACCTACAAATTGGGAGAAAATTTTCGCAACCTACTCATCTGACAAACGGCTAATATCCAGAATCTACAATGAACTCAAACAAATTTACAAGAAAAAAACAAACAACCCCATCAAAAAGTGGGCGAAGGATGGGAACAGACACTTCTCAAAAGAAGACATTTATGCTGCCAAAAAACACACGAAAAAATGCTCACCATCACTGGCCATCAGAGAAATGCAAATCAAAACCACAATGAGATATCATCTCACACCACTTAGAATGGCAATCATTAAAAAGCCAGGAAACAACAGGTGCTGGAGAGGATGTGGAGAAATAGGAACACTTTTACACTGTTGGTGGGACTGTAAACTAGTTCAACCATTGTGGAAGTCAGTGTGGTGATTCCTCAGGGATCTAGAACTAGAAATACCATTTGACCCAGCCATCCCATTACTGGGTATATACCCAAAGGACTATAAATCACGCTGTTATAAAGACACATGCACATATATGTTTATTGTGGCACTATTCACAATAGCAAAGACTTGGAACCAACCCAAATGTCCAACAATGATAGACTGGATTAAGAAAATGTGGCACATATACACCATGGAATACTATGCAGCCATAAAAAATGATGAGTTCATGTCCTTTGTAGGGACATGGATGAAATTGGAAATCATCATTCTCAGTAAACTATCACAAGGACAAAAAACCAAACACCGCATGTTCTCACTCATAGGTGGGAATTGAACAACGAGAACACATGGACACAGGAAGGGGAACATCACAGTCTGGGGACTGTTGGGTGGGGGGAGGGGGGAAGGATAGCATTAGGAGATATACCTAATGCTAAATGACGAGTTAATGGGTGCAGCACACCGGCATGGCACATGTATACATATGTAACTAACCTGCACATTGTGCACATGTACCCTAAAACTTAAAGTATAATAATAATAAATATATATATATATACTTTGAAAGAATAAAAGGGTGCAGGCAAGATGGTCAAATAGGAACAGCTCTGGTCTGCAGCTCCCAGCCAGATCAACGCAGAAGGTGGGTGATTTCTGCATTTCCAACCGAGGTACTCGGCTCATCTCATTGGGACTGGTTAGACAGTGGGTGAAGCCCATGGAGGATGAGCCAAAGCAGGGTGGGGTGTCACCTCACCTGGGATGCACAAGGGGTCAGGGAACCCCCTCGCTTAGCCAAGGGAAGCCATAAGGGACTGTGCCATGAGGGATGGTGCAATACGGCCCCAGATAACACGCTTTTCCCACAGTCTTCAAAACCCACAGACCAGGAGATTCCCTCAGGTGCCTACACCACCAGGGCCCTGGGCTTCAAGCAAAACACTGGGCAGCAGTTTGGGCAGACACTGAGCTAGCTGCAGGAGTTTTTTCTCAAAGCCCGGTGGCGCCTGGAACACTAGGAAAACAGAACTGTTCACTCCCCTGGAAAAAGGGCTGAAGCCAGGCAGACAAGTGGTCTAGCTCACCGAATTCCACCCCCATGGAACCCAGCAAGTGAAGACCCACTGGCTTGAAATTCTCACTGTGAGTACAGCAGTCTGAAGTCGATAGGGCATGCTCTGGCATGGTGGGGGGAGGGAGGGCCACAATTACTAAGGCTTGAGTAAGTGGTTTTCCCCTCAGTGTAAACAAAGCCTTCAGGAAGTTCAAACTGGGGGGAGCCCACCACAGCTCAGCAAAACCACTGTAGCCAGACTGCGTCTCTAGATTCCTCCTCACTTGGAAGGGCATCTCTGAAAGAAAGGCAACAGCCCCAGTCAGCAGCTTACAGATTAAACTCCCATCTCCCTGAGATAGAGAACCTGGGGGAAGGGGCGGCTGTGGGCCCAGCTTCAGCAGACTTAAAAGTTCCTGCCTGCTGACTCTGAAGAGAGCAGCAGATCTCCCAGAACAGCACTAGAGCTCTGCTAAGAGACAGACTGCCTCCTCAAGTGGATCCCTGACTGCTGTGACTCCAGACTGGGAGACAGCTCCAAGCAGGGGTCGACAGACACCTCATACAGGACACATGTGGCTGGCATCTGGAAGTTGCCCCGCTGAGAGAAAGCTTCCAGGGAAAGAAACAGGCAGCAATCTTTGCTATTCTGCAGCCTCCACTGGCAATAACCAGGCAAACAGGGTCTGGAGTGGACTTCCAGCAAATGCCAGCAGACCTGCAGCAGAGGGGCCTGACTGTTAGAAAATAGACTAACAAACCAAAAGGGATAGCATCAACATCAACAAAAAGAACATCCACACAGAAACCCCATCCAAAGGTCACCAGCATCAAAGACCAAAGGAAGATAAATCCATGATGATGAGGAAAAAACAGCACAAAGAGCCTGAAAATTCCAAAAACCAGAACACTGCTTCTCCTCCAAAAGATTACAACTCCTCACCAGCAAGGGAACAAAACTGGACAGAGAAAGAGTTTGATGAATTGATGGAAGAAGGCTTCAGAAGGTGGTTAATAACAAACTCCTCCAAACTAAAGGAGCATGTTCTAACCCAATGCAAAAAAAGCTAAGAACCTTGAAAGAGAGAGGAATTGCTAGCTAGAATAACCAGGTTAGAGAAGAACATAAATGATCTGACAGAGCTGAAAAACACAGCATGAGAACTATGTGAAGCATACACAAGTATCAATAGCCAAATCAATTAAGCAGATAAAGGGCATCAGAGATTGAAGATTAACTTAATAAAATAAAGCGTTAAGACAAGATTAGAAAAAAAAAGAATGAAGAAAGCAAACAAAGTCTCCAAGAAATATGTGAAACTATGTGAAAAGACCAAACCTACGTTTGATTGGTGTACCAGAAAGTGACAGAGAGAATGGAACCAAGTTGAAAAACACTCTTCAGAATATTAAAAGACGAACTTCCCCAACCTAGCAAGACAGGCCAACATTCAAATTCAGGAAATACAGAGACCACCACAAAGATACTCCTCAAAAAGAGCAACCCCAAGACACATAATCGTCAGATTCACCAAGGTTGAAATGAAGGAAAAAATGTTAAGGGCAGCCAGAGAGAAAGGACAGGTTATCCACAAAAAGAAGCCCATCACACAAACTGCAGAACTCTGCAGAAACCCTGCAAGCCAGAATAGAGTGGGGGCCAATATTCAGCATTCTTAAAGAAAATAATTTTCAACCCAGAATTTCACATCCAGCTAAACAAAGCTTCATGAGCAAAGGAGAAATAAAATTCTTTACAGAGAAGCAAATACTGAGAGATTTTGTCACCACCAGGCCTGCCTTACAAAAGCTCCTGAAGAAAGCACTAAACATGGAAAGGAAAAAACTGTACCAGCCACTGCAAAAAAAAATACAAAATTGTAAAGACCATCAATACTATGAAGAAACTTCATCAACTAGGGAGCAAAATAACCAGCTAGCTTCATAATGACAGGATCAAATTCGCACATAACAATATTAACCTTAAATGTAAACAGGCTAAGTGTCCCAATTAAAAGACACAGACTGGCAAATTGGATAAAGAGTCAACAGCCATCAGTGTGCTGTATTCAGGAGACCCATCTCACTTGCAAAGACACATATAGGCCCAAAATAAAGGGATGAAGGAATATTTACCTAGCAAATGGAAAGCAAAAACAAGCAGGGGTTGCAATCCTACTCTCTAATAAAACAGATTTTAAACCAACAAAGATTAAAAAAATACAAAGAAGGGCATTACATAATGATAAAGTGATAAATGCAACAAGTAAAGCTAACCATCCTAAATATATATGCACCCAATACAGGAGCACCCAGATTCATAAAGCAAGTTCTTAGAGACCTACAAAGAGACTTAGACTCCCACAAAATAGTAGTGGGAGACTTTAACACCCCACTGTCAATATTAGACAGATCAAAAACACAGAAAATTAACAGGGATGTTCAGGACTTGAACTCAGCTCTAGACCAAGTGAACCTAACAGACATCTACAGAACTCTCCACCCCAAATAAACAGAATATACATTATTCTCAACACCACAGGACACTTATTCTAAAAATGACCACATAATTGAAAGTAAAACACTCCTCAACAAACGAAAAAGAATGAAAATCAAAACAAAGAGTCTCTCAGACCACAGTGCAATCAAATTAGAAGTCAGGATTAAGAAGCTCACTCAAAACTGCAAAAGTACATGGAAACTGAGCAACCTGCTCATGAGTGACTACTGGGAAAATAACAAAATTAAAGCAGAAGTAAAGAAGTTCTTTGAAGCCAATGAGAACAAAGACACAATGTACCAGAATATCTGGGACACAGCTAAAGCAGTGTTTAGAGGGAAATTTATAGCACTAAATGCCCAAAGGAGAAAGCAGGAAAGATCTAAAATCGACACCCTAACATCACAATTAGAAGAACTAGAGAAGCAACAGCAAACAAATTCAAAAGCTAGCAGAAGACAAGAAATAACTAAGATCAGTGCAGAACTGAAGGAGAGAAATGAAAACTCGTCGAAAAATCAACGAATCCAGGAGCTGTTTTTTTTTGTACAGATCTACAAAATATATAGACTGCTAGCCAGACTAATAAAGAAGGAAAGAGAGAAGAATCAAGTAGATGCAATAAAAATGATGAAGGGAATACCACCACTGATCCCATAAAAATACAAACTACCATCAGAGAATACTATAAATATCTCTATGCAAATAAACAAGAAAATCTAGAAGAAATGGATAAATTCCTGGACACGTACACCCTCCCAAGACTAAACCAAAAAGAAGTCACATCCCTGAATAGACCAATAACAATTGCTGAAATTGAGGCAGTAATTAATAGCCTACCAACCAAAAAAAAAAAAAAAAAAAGCCCAGGACAAGATGAATTTACAGTCAAATTCTACCAGAGGTACAAGGAGGAGTTGATACCATTTCTTCTGTAACTCTTCCAAACAATAGAAACAGAGGGAATCCGCCCTAACTCATTTTATGAGTCCAGCATCATCCTGATACCAAAACCTGGCAGAAAGACAACAAAACAAGAAAATTTCAGGCAAATATCCTTCATTAATATCAATGCAAAAATCCTCAATAAAATACTGGCAAACTGAATCCAGTAGCGAATCAAAAAGCTTATCCACCACAATCAAGTCAGCTTCATCCCTGGGATGCAAGGCTTGTCCAATATACACAAATCAATACATGTAATCCATCACATAAACAGAACCAATGACAAAAACCACATGATTATCTGAATCGATGCAGAAAAGGCCTTTGATAAAATTCAACACCCTTTCATGCTAAAAGCTCTCAATAAACTATATATTGATTAAACATATCTCAAAATAATAAGAGCTATTTATGACAAACCCACAGCCAATATCATACTGACGAGGCAAAAGCAAAAGCTGGAAGCATTTATTTGAAAACTGGCACAAGACAAAGATGCCCTCTCTCACCACTCCTGTGTAAAATAGTATCAGAATTTCTGGCCAGGGCAATCGGGCAAGAGAAAGAAATACAAGGTATTCAAATAGGAAGAGAGGATGTCAAATTGTCTCTGTTTGCAGATGACATGATTGTATATTTAGAAGAGCCCATAGTCTCAACCCAAAATCTCCATAAGCTTATAAGCAACTTCAGCAAAGTCTCAGGATACAAAATCAATGTGCAAAAATTACAAACATTCCTATACACCAATAACAGACAAACAGAGAGCCAAATCATGAGTGAACTCCCATTCACAATTTGTACAAAGAGAATAAAATACCTACAAATACAACTTACAAGGGATGTGAATGACCTCTTCAAGGAGAACTACAAATCACTGCTCAAGGAAATAAGAGAGGACACAAACAAGTGGAAAAACATCCCATGCTCATGGATAGAAAGAATCAATATCATGAAAATGGCCATACTGCCCAAAGTAATTTATAAATTCAATGCTATCCCCATCAAGCTACCATTGACTTTATTCACAGAGTTAGAAAATATTTTAAATTTTATATGGAAACAAAAAAGAGCCTGTACAGTCAAGACAATCCTAAGCAAAATGAACAAAGCTGGAGGCATCACACTACCTGACTTCAAACTATACTGCAAGGCTACAGTAACCAAAACAGCATGGTACCAAAACAGACATATAGATAAATGGAACAGAACAGAGGTCTCAGAAATAACGCCACACATCTACAACCATCTGATCTTCGACAAACCTGACACAAGCAATGGGGAAAGGATTCCCTATTAAATAAATAGTGCTGTGAAAACTGGCTAGCCATATGCAGAAAACAGAAACTGGACTCCTTACTTACACCTTATACAAAAATTAACTCAAGATGGATTAAAGACTTAAATGTAAGACCTAAAACCATAAAAACCTTAGAAGAAAACCTAGGCAATACCATTCAGGACTTAGGCATGGGCAAGGACTTTATGACTAAAACACCAAAAGCAATGGCAACAAAAGCCAAAATTGACAAATGGAATCTAATTAAACTAAAGAGCTTCAGCATAGCAAAGAAACTATCATCAGAGAGAACAGGCAACCTACAGAATAGGAGAAAATTTTTGCAATCTCTCCATCTGACAAAGGGCTGATATCCAGAATCTACAAGGAACTTAAACAGCTTTACAAGAAAAAAACAAACCTCACCAAAAAGTGGGTGAAGCATATAAACAGACACTTCTCACTAGAAGATATTTATGCAGCCAACAAACATATGAAATAAAAAGCTCGTCATTACTGGTCATTACAGAAATGCAAATCAAAACCACAATGAGATACCATCTCATGTTAGTTAGAATGGCGATCATTAACAAGTCAGGAAACAACAGATGCTGGAGAGGGTGTGGAGAAATAGGAACGCTTTTACAGTGTTGGTTGGAGTATCAATTAGTTCAACCATTGTGGAAGACAGTGTGGTGATTCCTCGAGGATCTAGAACCAGAAATACCATTTGACCCAGCAATCCCATTACTGGGTATATACCCAAAGGATTATAGATTATTCTACTATAAAGACACACACACACATATGTTTATTGCAGCACTGTTCACAGTAGCAAAGACTTGGAACCAAGGCAAATACCCATCAATAATAGACTGGATAAAGAAAATGTGGCACATATACACCATGAAATACTATGCAGCCAGAAAAGAAGGATGAGTTCATGTCCTTTGCAGGAAGATGGATGTAGCTGGAAACCATCATTCTCAGCAAACTAACACAAGAACAGAAAACCAAACACTGCATGTTGTCACTCATAACTGGGAGTTGAACAATGAGAACACATGAACACAGGGAGGGGAACATCACATGCTGGGGCCTGTCATAGGGTGGGGTGCTAGGGGAGGGATAGCATTAGAAGAAATACCTAATTTAGATGACAGGTTGTTAGGTGCAGCAAACCACCATGGCATGTGTATACCTATGTAACAAACCTGCACATTCCGCAGAACTTAAAATATACATGTATCCCAGAACTTAAAATATAATTTAAAAAAAAGAAAGAATAAAATCTAGTGTTTGGTATCACAATAAGGTGACTATAGTTATCAACAATGTATTCTATATTTCAAAATAACTAGAAGAGTCGATTTGGAATATTACTAACACAAAGTAATAATAAATGTTTTAGGCAATGGATATCCCAATTACTAGATTTGACTATTATGCATTGTATACTTGTATCGAAATATTACATGTACCCCATAAATATGTACAACTAGTATGTATCTGTTAAGATAAAGAAAATTTTAAAAGAGTAATACTCCCATAGGAATAGTTGCAGATGAAAAATAATTTAATTTATTCATTAAAAATAATAATGTTGTGGGAGCTTTCGATTCTAGGTGTAGCACCCTGGTGGAACAAAAAACTCCAAGAGTAAATATGTTGAAGAGGGTAAGAGAAGTAGTTTCCCATTAACTGTATCACCTCTACCCTAAGGTAACAGAGCTTGGTGCCAAAAGAGGCCCAAGGAAAAGGAAATTTCTCCCACAAATTAAAGTTGGAGACACAGCTTCCCCGGCCATGCAGAATACTGCCCAGGAGATGACCTTCTCTCTTGCCCCACTCAAAACAGAGTACATCAGCAAAGCTGAATTCTCTGCAGTTAACTAGGAGCAGTGAAAAGGAGAGGAAACACATAAGAGCCAGCATGCAATACACAATAATCAGTCATGAATACTACTTACCAGTACATGGACTCCACCAAGAAAATTGTCCATAAGCCCTGCAGGGTGACTTACCTGAGGACCCCACACGCAGCCAACATGTGCCCCAAGCTTCCTTCCTCCCCAGTGGAAAGCACCCCACACATCTCTGTGCATGACTCACATGAGAACAATAAATAGCATATGGATCTCATAATCAGGTCAGAATCTTAACAGTCAGCTTGAATCTTCTGGATTGAGAGAGGGCATATAAACTTGAACAACTCAGGACACACTGCTTTAGGGAAAATAAATGGGATGGTCAGAGCACCAGGTCTCGCTTTGCAGCATAGAGAGAAGGTAAACAATACTCAGTCTTTCCCCCTAAGAATAATTAAGAAGAGTGAAGAAGGCACATCCATGGAAAAGGTCTGAACGCCTCCCAGAATATCTGGCTGGGCTCACTGGTAAAGATCTTTCTTCCCCAAAGCCTGTTATAAACAGTAGAGAAGATAACTGCTTTTTCAACTGTGAAGACAACAATCCAAGCCTCCAAGGAACATAAAGGATCAAGGAAATATGAAAGAATTGAAGGACCAAAATAAAGCCCCAGTGACTGACCCCAAAGAAATATAGAACTACAAATTGCCTGACAAAGAATTCAAAATAATCACTTTAAAGAATCTCAGCGAGCTACAAGAAAACTCATAGAGACAACTAAATGAATTCAGGAAAATGATACACAAACAAAATGAGAAGTACAACAAAGAGATACAAACAATTAAATAAAAGAGAAAGGAAAAGAAATTCTAGAGGTGCAGAATACAATAAAGAGATAGAAAAATATATTCCATGCAAATTGCAGCATCAAAAAGTAACAGAGGTGGCTATACTTAGGCAAGATATAGTTGAAGTAAAAAATAAGGCCCACAAGAGACAAAGGAGGTTATTATATAATGATAAAACAGTCTATTATTCAAGATGATATTACAATTTGCTTTATATAGTTATATGGTCCAATGTTGATGAGATATATATAGCTACATAAAGCAAATTATAATAGATCTGAAGAGAGTAACAAAATAATTGTACAGTACTTCAACACTCCACTTTCAACAATGTATAGATCATCTGGAGAGAATATCAACAAGGAAATACTGGACTTAAACTACACTTGAGAACAAATCGACCCAACTGGAATATAAAGAATATTCCATCTAGCAGCAGCAGAACACACATTCTTCTCAAGTGCTCATGGAACATTCTCCAAGACAGACAATTTGTTAGGCCACAATACATGTCTTACCAAATTTAAAAACATCAAAATCGTATGAAGTATCATTTCAGCCACAATGTTATGAAACTAAAAATCAATTTAGAAAATTAGAAAACTCCCCATTATGTAGAAATAAACAAATATCCTTCTGAAAAAAAATGGGTCAACTAATAAAAGGAAATTAAAAAAAAATCTTGGACAAATGAAAACAAAAACACAACACACCAAATATTATGAGTTGTAGCAAAAGCTGTTCTAAGGGAGCACTTATGGCAATAAACACCTACATTAGGATACAAGAAAGAATACACATAAAATACCTAACATCACACTTCAGGAAACTAGAAAAGAGGCCAAAATAAGCCCAAAGTAAACATAAGGAAGAAAATAATAAATATCAGAGTAGAAATAATGTAATACTGAAAAAAACTAAGATTTTTTTTAAAAAACTGAAGAACAACATTGAGAAAACATTAGCTGGACTACCTAAGAAAACATAGAAAAGACTCAAATAAATAAAATAAAAAATAAACAAGTAGACATAACAAGTGGAAACATAGAAGTAAAAAATTGTAAGAGACTAATATAAACAATTATATGTCAACAGATTGGATAACCTATAAGAAATAAGTAAATTCCTAGAAACATAGAACCTACACCATAAAAACTACAAAGGCTGAGTCATTAATAAACTGAAAGTCTGAACACACCAATAATGAATAAAAAGATTAAATAAGTAATCAACTCTCCCAAAAAAAGATAAGCCCAGAACCTGATGGTTTCACTAGTGAATTTTACCAATGATTTAAAGAAAAATTAATGACGATCTTCAAACTCTTCAGAAAAATCAAAGAGGAGGAAAAAAATTACAGACCTATTCTACAAGCCCAGCATTACCCTGATATCAAGGCCAGATAAAAAATAAAATTACAGGTAAATATCTGAGATGAACATAAACACAAAAATCTTCAACATAATACCAGAAAACCTAATTCAACCATGTTAAAAGGATAATACAAAACAATTAATTGAGATTCATCCCTGGGATGCATAGATGTTTTAATACAACAATGTGCTGCATATGATGTTTTGGTCAATAATGAACCATATTTATGATGGTGGTCGCATAATATTATAATACCAGTATTATTTATATGTTTATATATGTTTGGATAAACACATACTTACCATTGTATTAAAATTGCCTACAATTTTCAGTACAGTAACATGCTGTATATGTTAGTATCCTAGGAACTAGAGACTATACTATATAACCAAAGTTTGTAGTAGGCTATACCATCTATGCTTCTGTAAGTACACTCTATATTGTTCACACAATAACAAAATCGTCTAACAATGCATTTCTACAAATGTATCCCATAGTTAAGGGACACAAGTCTGTATATGAAAATCAATAAACATGACACACCACATTACCAGAATGAAGGATAAAAATCATAGTATCATTTCATTACATGTAAAGAAAAATACACTTGACAAGATTCAACATTATTTTTGTGATAAAAGCTCTCAACAAATTAAGTACAGAAGAAATGTATCTCAACACAATCAAGGTCATATATCACAAGCCCACAGCTAACATCAGACTCAATGGTGAAAAGCTGAGAGCTTTTCCTCATAAGGAATAAGATAAAGGTGTTCACTTTGGCTATTTCTATTCAACATGTCACTGGAAGTCTTAGCCAGAGCAATGAGGCAAATAAATAAATAAATAAATAAATAAATAAATAGCATGCAAATTGGAAAGGAAAATGCAAAATTGTGTTTGCAGATGACATGTTCTCATACGTAAAAATCCTAATATTTCACATAAAATGTTAGAAATAAATCAGGAAATAATCTAATTTACAATAGAATTAAAATGATTAAAATACTAACACATAAGTTCAACCAAGAGGAGAAAGTCTGTACATTAATAACTATATAACATTGATGAAAAAATTAAAATAGGCAGAAAAGAATGGAAAGATATTCCATGTTCACAGATTGGAAAATTAATATTGTTAATATCTTCATTAACAGCCAGATCTACAGACTCAATGCATTTGCTATCAAAATTCAAATGAAATTTTCTTACATAAATAGAAAAGATAATCCTAAAATTTGTATGGAACTACAAAAAGCCATGAATAGCCTAAGCAATCTTTATCAAAATAATAATAATAATAATAATGTGGAAGCATCACACTTCCTAACTTAAAATTATATTACAAAGCTATAGTAATCAAAACAGTATGGTATTGGCATCAAAACAGACACATTGCCTGAATAGAATTGAAAGCAAATAAAACTAAATCCATGTGTATAAAGTCAAGAAACTTTTGACAAAAGTAACAAGAATACATAGTGAAGAAAGAACAATCTCTTCAATAAGTTATTTTATGAAATCTGGATATCCATTTGCAAAAGAATGAAATTAATCCCTTATCTTAAACCATACACAAAAATCATCTCAAAATGGATCGAAGATTTAAACATAAGACTTGCCAGTTCTCAGACAAGGAAATTAGTGTCTTTCTGATTCGAGTTTGGAGCAGCTTCTCCAATGCGAGCCCCTTCCAGGCTTCCCATTAGATGACTGACTAGAGATGCCAAATGCCAGTTCTCCTCATAAAAGAGATCAAAGTTATGGGTGAGCAGTCACCCCGAGTGGAAAGCTGAGGGAAGAGTGCCAAAAACTCTCAGAGAGCTACAGAATAAGCTAGGGTACAGAAAAGAAAGGCAGCAAAAATCTGGCAGAGATTGGCCCCCAAAAAGCTTGGAGTTCCATGGACAGGTTAGGTAGGGTATTACTTTGCTCCCCTCACCCATGTGACAGAATGCTGACCAACAAATTGTTGGAAAGTTCCTCTGCCCTCATGAGCCTGAGTAACACTCTCAATGGTTATGTGGGAACTTCCTGGGGGCAGAACACTGGTTGGTGAGCTCCTGCAGTTGTACTCACATGATTCCTCAACCCAAATTCAGGTGGAAGGTGCCATAAAGGTTTTGCACCCAGTATAAGCCACCATCTTGCCCATGGAATCTCAGCTCTTATTTCACTGCATCAACAGATACCCTGCAAACATACCCCAGAATCTGCTCTGACTTCGACAAATAAGAGGATCACTAGATCCTTAGGGAACTGCAGGATCCCTAGAGATCTAGCCTTTGGCATGAGCCACCATTATGGGAATGGGGAGCAGAGCCCTCCAAAGCACCACTTGGGACAAAGGAAACACAGGTACAATGCTGATCTCCAATGCAGGAGAGAGTATGGTTCTGTCTCAGTGGATGGGCAGCACTAGTGACTGGCAACAAATGTAGAGAGATCACCTCCTGCCACCCCATCTATTGCCACAGATGCAGCCAAGGCTTTTCCCACTGGGGGCTGGTGCAAGTGCACTTTGTGGTTGTTCGTCTAGCACTTTTAATAGTGGCTCCATCCACACTGAATGTGTGCCCACCACCTGGGCTCAAACAATGACTGGGGTTCATCTTCCTCTCTCTACACAGAGTGGTAGCATCCCTGCCACAGAGTGCAGACCAGCCACAGAACTGTATGTTTTGGGCTGCAGGAAGACGTCTGCCCAAAGGCAATTTTGGCAGTAACTGGCAGATGGGCATTTCCTGCAAACCTCAGTCACATTGTGGACTAGAGATAAAAGACAGCATATATCTGAACTGAAGGTTATGATCCCTGTGTCAGGGGCATTATAGGAAAGCAGATTATGTTCCTTCCTGTCCAGGACAAGTTGCTGGTGCAGCCCCCTCCCCTAAGATCTCAGCATATCAAACCAAACACTCCCTCTACCGTCCCCATCAGGGTGGGTGTTTCCATAATTCATTAGAGTACCCCAGGGTAAGCTGGCTCTTACGCATCCCCTACTCTACTGTAGAGCAAACTTCCCACCAAATAAAAACCTGCTGACACAGCATAGTGCTAACGTGCAAGATAAGCTTTCTGAGAGCTCTGCACTCCCAGCTCACAGAAGATAGTGTGCCAGATCATATGGCCAATGCATCATTACGATAAGCAGCATTTGAGAAAGCCACGACACAAAAGTTATATATAGCCAAAGAACTCATACAGAGCCCTTGGCACATTGAAAGCACCCAGATATGGAGGCAAAAGGTCATACATGACATCCATTACAGTCAAACCACTGAGGAATTTTTATCTGTACAATGGCAATTTCAAAACTAAGAAGTGACAGCTGCTTCAAATGAGAAGGAACCAGTGCAAGAACTCTGGCAGTACAATAAGGGAGATTGTTTTGACACCCCCAAAGGACATCAATATCTCCATAGCAATGGATCCTAACCAAAATGAACACTTTGAAATGACAGATAAAGAATTGAAAATATAGATTGTAAGGTAGTTCAATTAGATTCAAGAGAAAGTTGAAAACCAAAATAAATTTTAAAAATTCAGGATATGAAAGATGAGATAAATATATTGAAAAACCAGAACTTCTGAATATTAAAAAGTCACTAAATGAATTACAAAATACAGTTGAAAACTTTAATGACATACTAGATGAAGCAGAAGAAAGAATTTCAGAGCTTAAAGACTGTTCTTTTAAATTAACACAGTCAGAGAAAAATTTTTTTAAAAAATTAAAAAATGGGGCAACCCCCCTTGGGCCCCCTCCTATTTTATGGGAGCTCTGATATACCGCTGGAGCTGAGCTTTCACTCACCATCCACCACTGCTGTTTGCCGCCATCGCAGACTTGCCACTTACTTCCACCACTCTGGATCTGGCAGGGTGTCTGCCACACTACTGATCCAGCGAGGTGCCCATTGCCGCTCCCAATCGGGCTAAAGACTCACCACTGTTCCTGCATGGCTAAGTGCCTGGGTTCGTCCTTATCAAGCTGAACACTAGTTGCTGGGTTCCATGGTTCTCTTCCATGACCCACAGCTTCTATTAGAGCTATAACACTCACTGCATGGTGCAACATTCCATTCCTTGGAATCTGTGAGGCCAAGAACCCCAGGTCAGAGAACACGAGGCTTGCCACCATCTTTGAAGTGGCCCGCCACCATCTTGGGAGCTCTGGGAGCAAGGATCCCCCGGTAACATTTGGTGACCATGAAGGGACCTCCAAAGTGGTGAGTAATATTGGACTACTTTTGCTTGCTATTCTGTCCTATCCTTCCTTAGAATTGGAGGAAAATACCAGGCACCTGTCAGCCAGTTAAAAACGATTAGCATGGCCACTGAACTTAAGACTCAGGTGGGAAGCTGTCTGGGAAAGGGCTTTCTAACAACCCCCAACCCTTCTGTGTTGGGAGTGTTGGTCTGCCTGGAACCAGCTTCTGCTTTCAATTTTTCTGGGGAAGCTGAGGGCCGACTAGAGGCAGAAAGCTGTCATCCTGAACTCCCGGCATTAGCCGGTTGAGATCATGGTGCAGCCAGAAGTCTCTACTCAACAGTCACCCATGCGTGTGCCCCTACCTTTCCTTCTGACCCATACCTCCTGGGTCTGGACCACGACTTTCCTGAAAGAGTAGCCCCAAAATTCTCATTACCTCTGAATCTACTTCCTCCTCTCCCTGCCTCCTAGATACTAATGCTTCAGACCTTCACTTCCTCTCCCAAGTATTACAGCAGGTTGTATCTCCAAAGGGATCTAAGGAAGATCTATGCTGCATCCTTAGGCCCCTAGGCTATGAACCCAGGGAGTCTTGTCGCTGGTGTCCCTCCCAATTTAGGCATACAACTCTTGACATGAGCAGTTATGTGGGACCCATTCCCTACCACCCTTGTCAGGGCCTTAGAAATGATAACCCAGTACTTTAACAACTGGAACTGGGTCTACAACAACATAATAGATCAGGATGAAAGCAAATTGAGTAAATAAAAGGGAGGCACATATTCATATAGTGGCAAATGGGGGCAATGAGCGAATGTCCTTCCACTGTTTCCAAAATCCATCTACAAAGACAGAAAGGAGAAAGAAAGAGAGAAAGAGAAAGATAGAAGTAGTAAAGAAAAAATAGTGTACCCTATTTCTTTAAAAGCCAGGGTAAATTTAAAACCTATAATTGATAACTGAAAGTTTTCTCCATGACCCTATAACACTCCAATACCACTTTGTTGTCAGTGTAAACAAGGATGTAGCCTGAAAGCACTGAGGCCACTGATAACCAGTAGACTTCCTATAAAAAATCTTTAACCCAGGAACCTGTGGATGGCCCAAATGCATTCATTCTGTAGCAGCAACTGCTTTGCTAACAGAAGAAAGTAGAAAATTAGCCTTTAGAGGAAACCTCATTGTGAGCACACCTCACCAGTTCAGAACTATCCTAAGTCAAAAAAGCAAAAAGGTAGCTTACTAACTTAAAAATCTTAAAGTATGGGGCTATTCTGTTAGAGAAAGATAATTTAACATTAACCACAGAAAATTCCGTTAACCCAGCAGATTTCCTAACAGGGGATTTAAATCTTAATTACCATACAAATGTCTGAACAGACCTAGGAGGGACTCCCTTCAGGACAGGACAATAGATGGTTCCTCCCAGGTGATTGAGAAAAAAACACAATGGGTATTCAATAATTGAGGGAAACTCTTGTAGAAGCAGAGTTAAGAAAATTGCCTAATAATTGGTCTGCTCAAACGTGCGAGCTGTTTGCACTCAGCCAAGCCTTAAAATACTTACAGAATCAAAAAACTCTATCTCAATCCTGACTCAAAAGGTTACCCACACCCTCTCTGAAATGAATTTGCATAAGAACGGTTGTTTGTAGGAATGCATCTTGATGGGGCAAATGGGTTATTATGAAATACTCAGGAACCCAGCCCAGCTCTAGAACTCGCCCCTGAGTGCAAAGGCAATGTCAGGCTTGCTGGTAAAGGACCACTAGAATCCAGCAGCCCAGACCCCTTTCTTTGTGGTCAAGAAAGGCAGGAAAACAGGTGCAGGACTGCTACATCAGTGAGCGTAACTAATCCAATAAGCAGAGGTCTATGGGTGACCTGAAAAGGAATAAGCATTAGGACCACAGAGGACGCTGTAAGACTAATGTCCATTGGAAAATTACTAGGGGTGCTGGCGTCCCTATGTTTGTTTGTTTGTTTTTTTCAGATGGGAAACTTCCCCCCAAGGCAAAAATGCCCCTAAGATGTATTCTGGAGAATTCGGCCCAGTCAGAGTGCATGTGCCTTTTTCCTCTCAGACTTGAAGCAAATTATAATAGACCTAGGTAAATTCTCAGATAACCCTGATGGCTATACTGATGTTTTACAAGGGTTAGGACAATCCTTTGATCTGACATGGAGACATATAATGTTACTGCTAGATCAGACACTAACCCCATATGAGAGAAGTGCCACCATAACTGCAGCCCGAGAGTTTGTCAATCTCTGGTATCTCAGTCAGGTCAATGATAGGATGACAACAGAGGAAAGAGAATAGTTCCCCACAGAACAATTCTGCCACCAGGCAGTTCCCAGTGTAGACCCTCAGAGGGATGCAGAATCAGAACATGGAGATTGGTGCCACAGACATTTGCTAACTTGCGTGTTAGAAGGACTAAGGAAAACTAGGAAGAAGCCTATAAATTATTCAATGATGTCTACTATAACACAGGAAAGGAAGAAAATCCTACTTCCTTTCTGGAGAGACAAAGGGAGGCATTGAGGAAGCATACCTCTCTGTCACCTGACTCTATTGAAGGCTAACTAATCTTAAAGGATAAGTTTATCACTCAGACAGCTGCAGACATTAGAAAAAAACCTTCAAAAGTCTGCCTTAGGCCTGGAGCAAAATTTAGAAACCCTAATGGAGTTGGCAACCTCAGTTTTTTATAATAGAGATCAGGAGGAACAGGTGGAACAGGACCAATGAGATAAGAAAAAGGCTACCACTTTAGTCATGGCACTCAGGCAAGTGGAATTTGGAGGCTCTGGAACACGGAAAAGCTGGGCAAATTGAGTGCCTAATAGGGCTTGCTTCCAGTGTGGTCTACAAGGACACTTTAAAAAGATTGTCTGAGTAGAAATAAGCTGCCCCCTCATCCATGCCCCTTATGTCAAGGGAATCACGGGAAGGCCCACTGCCCCAGGGGACGAAGGTCCTCTGAGTCAGAAGCCACTAACCAGATGATCCAGCAGCAGGACTGAGGGTGCCCTGGGCAAGAGCCAGCCAATGCCATCACCCTCACAGAGCCCCGGGTATGCTTGAACATTGAGGGCCAGGAGGTTAACTGTCTCCTGAACATTGGCAGAGCCTTCTCAGTCTTACTCTCCTGTCCCGGACAACTGTCCTCCAGATCTGTCACTATCCAAGGGGTCCTAGGACAGCCAGTCACTAGATACTTCTCCCAGCCACTAAGTTGTGACTGGGGAACTTTACTCTTTTCACATGCTTGTCTAATTATGCCTGAAAGCCCCACTCCCTTGTTAGGGAGAGACATTCTAGCAAAAGCAGGGGCCACTATACACCTGAACATAGGAGAAGGAACACCCATTTGTTGTCCCCTGCTTGAGGAAGGAATTAATCCTGAAGCCTGGGCAACAGAAGGACACTATGGATGAGCAAAGAATGCCTGTCCTGTTCAAGTTAAACTAAAGGATTCCACCTCCTTTCCCTACCAAAGGCAGTACCCCCTTAGACCCGAAGCCCAACAAGGATTCCAAAAGATTGTTAAAGACCTAAAAGCCCAAGGCCTAGTAAAACCATGCAGTAGTACCTGCAATACTCCAATTTTAGGAGTACAGAAACCCAACGGACAGAGAAGGTTAGTGCAAGATCTCAGGATTATCAATGAGGCCGTTGTCCCTCTATATCCAGCTATACCTAACCCTTATACTCTGCTTTCCCAAATGTCAGAGGAAGCAGAGTGGTTTACAGTCCTGAACCTTAAGGATGCCTTTTTCTGCATCCCTGTACATCCTGACTCTCAATTCTTGTTTGCCTTTGAAGATCCTTCAAACCCAATGTCTCAACTCACCTGGACTGTTTTACCTCAAGGGTTCAGAGATAGCCCCCATCTATTTGGCCAGGCACTAGCCCAAGATTTGAGCCAGTTCTCATACCTGGACACTCTTGTCTTTTGGTATGCGGATGATTTACTTTTAGCTGCCCGTTCAGAAACCTTGTGCCATCAAGCCACCCAAGTGGTCTTTTTATAAATTTTTTATTTATTTATTTTTGAGACAGAGTCTCACTCTGTCGCCCAGGCTGGAGTGCAGTGGCATGATCTCGGCTGACTGCAGGCTCTGTCTCCTGGGTTCACACCATTCTTCTGCCTCAGCCTCCCAAGTGGCTGGGACTGCAGGCGCCCGCCACCACACCTGGCTAATTTTTTTGTATTTTTGGTAGAAACGGGGTTTCACTGTGTTGGCCAGGATGGTCTCAATCTCCTGACCTTGTGATCTGCCCGCCTCAGCCTCTCAGGGTGCTGGGATTGCAGGCATGAGCCACTGCGCCCAGCCCCACCCAAGTGTTCTTAAATTTCCTTGCCACCTGTGGCTACAAGGTTTCCAAACCAAAGGCTCAGCTCAGCTAACAGCAGGTTAAATTCTTAGGTCTAAAATTATCCAAAGGCACCAGGGTCCTCAGTGAGAAATGCATTCAGCCTACACTGGCTTATCCTCATCCCAAAACCCTAAAGCAACTAAGAGGGTTCCTTGGCATAACAGGCTTCTGCCAAACATGGATTCCCAGGTACAGTGAAATAGCCAGGCCATTATACACACTAATTAAGAAAACTCGGAAAGCCAATACCCATTTAGTAAGATGGACACCTGAAGCAGAAGTGGCTTTCCGGGCCCTAAAGAAGGCTCTAACCCAAGTCCCAGTGTTAAGCATGCCAACAGGGCAAGACTTTTCTTTATATGTCACAGAAAAAGCAGGAATAGCTCTAGGAGTCCTTACACAGGTCCGAGGGGCCAGCTTGTAACCTGTGGCATACCTGAGTAAGGAAATTGATGTAGTGGCAAAGGGTTGGCCTCATTATTTATGGGTAGTGGCAGCAGTAGCAGTCTCAGTATCTGAAGCAGTTAAAATGACACAGGGAAGAGATCTTACTGTGTGGACATCTCGTGATGTGAATGGCATACTCATTGCTAAAGAAGACTTGTGGCTGTCAGACAACCGTTTGCTTAAATATCAGGCTTTATTACTTGAAGGACCAGTGCTGCAACTGCACACCTGTGCAACTCTTAATCCAGCCACATTTCTTCCAGAAAATGAAGAAAAATAGAACATAACTGTCAACAAGTAATTGCTCAAACCTACACCACTCGAGGGGACCTTCTAGAGGTTCCCTTGACTGATTCCGACCTCAAATTGTATACTGATGGAAGTTTCTTTGTAGAAAAAGGACTTTAAAAAGCGTATTATGCAGTGGTCAGTGATAATGGAATACTTGAAAGTAATCCCCTCACTCCAGGAACTAGTGCTCAGCTGGCAGAAATAATAGCCCTCACTCAGGCGCTAGAATTAGGAGAAAGGAAAAGGGTAAATATATATACAGACTCTAAATATGCTTACCTAGTCCTCCATGCCCATGCAGCAATATGGAGAGAAAGGGAATTCTTAACTTCTGAAGGAACACCTATCAAACATCAGGAAGCCATTAGGAGATTATTATTGGCTGCACAGAAATCTAAAGAGGTGGCAATCTTACACTACTGGGGTCATCAGAAAGGAAAGAAAAGGGAAATAGAAGGGAACCGCCAAGTGGATATTGAAGCCAAAAGAGCCACAAGGCAGGACCCTCCATAAGAAATGCTTATAGAAGGACCCCTAGTATGGGGTAATCCCCTCCAGAAAACCAAGCCCCAGTACTCAGCAAGAGAAAGAGAATGGGGAACCTCACAAGGACATAGTTTCCTCCCCTCAGGATGGCTAGCCACTGAAGAAGGGAAAATACTTTTGTCTGCAGCTAACCCATGGAAATTATTTAAACCCTTCACCAAACCTTTCACTTAGGCATTGATAGCACCCATCAGATGGCCAAATTATTATTTACTGGACCAGGCCTTTTCAAAACTATCAAGCAGATAGTCAGGGCCTGTGAAGTGTGCCAAAGAAATAATCCCCTGCACTGCAGGCCATACAAATCCCCTGCACTGCCAGGACACACATTTCAATCCCTGTATCTTTAACCTCCTTGTTAAGTTTGTCTCTTCCAGAATCGAAGCTGTAAAACTACAAATCATTCTTCAAATGGAGCCCCAGTTGCAGTCCATGACTAAGATCTACCGTGGATTCCTGGACCGGCCTGCTAGTCCATGCTCGGATGTTGATAACATCAAAGGCACCCCTCCAAAGAAAATCTCAATGGCATGATGCCTACTATGCCCCAATTCAGCAGGAAGCAATTAGAGCGATCATCAGCCAACCTCCCCAACAGCACTTGGGTTTTCCTGTTGAGAGGGTGTGACTGAGAGACAGGACTAGCTGGATTTCCTAGGCCGAATAAGAATTCCTAAGCCTAGCTGGGAAGGTGACCGCACCCACCTTTAAACACAGGGCTTGCAACTTAGCTCACACCCGACCAGTCAGCTAGTAAAGAGAGCTCACTAAAATGCTAATTAGGTTAAAACAGGAGGTAAAGAAATAGCCAATCATCTATCACCTGAGAGCACAGAGGGAGGGACAATGATCGGGATATAAAACCTAGACATTTGAGCCGGCAGCGACAACCCCCTTTGGGTCACCTCCCATTTTATGGGAGCTCTGTTTCAGTCTATTAAATCTTGCAACTGCAAAAAAAAAAAAAGTTAAATGAACAACATCTTCAAGAAATATAAGATTGTGTAAAGCAACCAGATCCGCAATGCATGGCCATTCCTGAGGGAGAAGAAAAAGTAAGAAATTTGGAAAACATATTTGACGGAATAATTCAGGAAACATTTCCTGATTTTGTTAGAGTTGTAGATATCCCGATACCAGAAATTCTGAGAACACCTGTGAGATATTACAGAAGATTAATATCATCAAGGCTTATAATTATTTGATTATCCAAGTTCAATGTGAAAAAACAAATCTTAAAAGCAGCTCCATTGATGGGCATTTGGGTTGGTTCCAAGTCTTTGCTATTGTGAATAGTGCTGCAATAAACATACGTGTGCATGTGTCTTTATAGCAGCACGATTTATAATCCTTTGGGTATATACCCAGTAATGGGACGGCTGGGTCAAATGGTATTTCTAGTTCTAGATCCTTTTGATAGACTGGATTAAGAACATATGGCACATATACACCATGGAATACTATGCAGCCATAAAAAAGATGAGTTCATGTCCTTTGTAGGGACATGGATAAAGCTGGAAACCATTATTCTCAGCAAACTATTGCAAAGAGAAAACCAAACACCGCATGTTCTCACTCATAGGTGGGAATTGAACAATGAGAACACATGGACACAGGAAGGGGAACATCACACATCGGGGCCTGTTGTGGGGTGGGGGGAAGGGGGAGGGATAGCATTAGGAGATATACCTAATGTAAATGACGAGTTAATGGGTGCAGCACCCCAACAAGGCACATGTGTACATATGTAACAAACCTGCACATTGTGCACATGTACCCTCGAACTTAAAGTATAATAATAAATAAAAAAAGAAAAAAAAAGCAGCTACAGAGAATCATCAAATTACCTATGATGGAAATCCCACTAGTCAAACAGTGGACTTCTCAGCGGAAACCTACCAAGCCAGTAGAGATTGAGAGCCTGTTTTTAGCCTCTGTGAAGAAAAAAAAAATGCCAGTAAAGAATTTTATATCCTGCCAATTAAGCTTTATAAATGAAAAAACGTAAAGTACTTCCCAGATAAGCAAATGCTAAGGGAATTCATCATTGAACCAGCCCTACAAGAAATGCTCATAGAAGTACTAAATATGGAAACAAAAAAATGACACTGACATCATAAAAGCACATGTCACATGTGCACATGAGCAAAACTCACAGATCTTATCTGGCAATTACATGATTGAGACTACAAAGCATATAGCTAACATCAGTGTGACAGAAACAGAACCTCATGTATCAGTACTAACATTGAATGTAAATGGCCTAAATACTGCACTTAAAAGATATAGGCTGGCATATTGGATGAAAAAGCAAGACCCAACTAACTGTTGCCTAAGACACCCACCTAATGGTTACAGACAAAAAGCAAAAGGGGGAAGAAGATGTATCACGCAAATGGAACAGAAAACTGAGCTACTCTTTAAACAAAAGTAAACAAAAAACAAAGAAGGGCATTATATAATGAGAAATATAACTATCCTAAATATATATGCACCCAACACTGGAAGACCAAATTCATAAAACAAATATGACTAGACCTAAGAAAATAGAAAGCAATACAAAAATAGTGGGAAACGTAAATAACTCACTGACAATACTAGACAGATCACGAAGGCAGGAAATCAATAAACTCTGGACTTAAATTGGACCCAGACCAAATGAACCGCATAGATATTTACACAACATTTGACAATGTTATGTAAATGACAGAATATACATTTTCTTATCTGCATATAGAACATTCTCCCAAATTAACTACATGCTTGGCCATATAGCAAGGCTCAATACACTTGAAAAAATAATAATTATATCAAGTATCTAATTGGACCACAGTGGGATAAATGTAGAAATCGATATGAAGAGGAACTCTCAAAACAACACAAATACATGGGAACTAAATAACTTGCTCCTGCATGACTTTTGGGTAAACAATGAAATTAAGGCAGAAATAAAATAATATTTTTGAAACACAAAAATGGGGACACAACATACCAAAACTCCTGGGATGCAACAATAGCAGTATTAAGAGGAAAAATCATGGCATTAAATGCCTTCATCCAAAAGAGAGAAAAATCCCCAACTAACAACCTAATGCTCCACTTCAAGGAAGTAGAAAAACAAGAAAAAAAAAAAAAAAACACTAAACCTAAAGCTAGCAGAATAAAAGAAATAACTAACACCAAAGCAGCACTAAATGAAATTAAGATTAAAATAATTATACAATCATTAAAATGAAAAGTTTGTTCTTTGAAAGGATAGACAAAATTGATAGACCACCAACTAGATTAATTGAGAAGACAGCTGACTCAAATAAACACAATCAGAAATGATAGTGTTGACATTACAACCAATATCACAGAAACAGAAAAGATCATCAGAGACTATTATGAACACAAACTAGAAAACCTAGAAAACATGGATACTTCCTGGACACATACAACCTCCCAAGATTGAACCAGAAAGAAATGGAAATCCTAAACAGACCAATAACAAGTAATGAATTTGAATCTGTAATACAAAATATCCAACAAAAATGGCCCAGGACCAGATTGATTCACAGCTGGATTTTACCAGACATACAAAAAACTTGTCCCAATCTTACTTAAATTATGCCAAAAAATCAAGGAAGAACAATTCCTCTCTAACTCATTCTATGAAAGCAGTATCACCTGATACAAATATTATGCAAGGAAAGAATAAAAAAACCTTACAAGCTAACATACCTGGTGCATACTGATGCATAAATCCACAATAAAATATTAGCAAATTTAAACAAACAGTACATCAAGCCATGTGGGTTTGATACCAGAGATTCAAGGATGGTTCAACATATGCAAATCAATAATGTAATTAACCACATAAACAGAATAAAAAACAAACACTACATGATCATCTCAATTGATGAAGAAAAACGACTTGATAAAATCCAACATTTCTTCACAACCAACTAGGCATTTAATATACATACCTCAAATTAATAAAAGCCATCTATGACAAACCCATAGCCAACATCATACTGAATGAGGATAAGGTTAAAGCATTCCTCCTAAGAACTGAACAGGATATTGGTGGTGTCCATCGTGGGCAGCAGACTAATAAAGGCCATGGCACCAGCAGAAATCCTGAACAGGAAGGAGATCTCCGCACAAATAAGGGCGAGACTGAAGAATCAAGTCACTCAGTTGAAGGACAAGTACCTGGTTTCACACCAGGCCTGGCAATATTACAGGTTGGCAACAGAGATGATTCCAATCTTTATATAATGTGAAGCTGAAGGCTGCTGAAGAGATTGGGATGAAAGCCACTGACATTAAGTTACCAAGAACAACCACAGAATCTGAGGTGATCAAGTACATCATATCTTTGAATGAAGACTCTACTGTACACGGGTTCGTAGTGCAGCTATCTCTAGACTCAGACAATACACTGAAGGAGTGATCAATGCTATTGCACCTGAAAAGGATGTGGATGGATTGACTAGCATCAGTGCTGGGAAACTTGCTAGAGGTGACCTAAATGACTGTTTCATTCCTTGTATGCCTAAAGGATGCTTGGAACTCATGAAAGAGACAGGGGTGCAGATTGCCAGAAGGCATGCTGTGGTGGTTGGGTGCAGTAAAATAGTCAGGGCCCTGATGCGTGACTTGCTTCTGTGGAACAATGCCACAGTGACCACCTGCCACTCCAAGACTGCCAATCTGGATGAGGAGGTAAATAAAGGCGACATCCTGGTGGTTGCAACTGGTCGGCCTGAAATGGTTAAAGGGGAATGGATCAAACCTAGCAATAGTCATCAACTGTGGAATCAATTATGTCCCAGATGATAAAAAAAACAAATGGGAGAAAAGTTGTGGGTGATGTGGCATACGACGAGGCCCGTTCCTGGTGGCTTAGGGCTCATGACGGTTGCAATGCTCATGCAGAGCACTGTAGAGAGTGCCAAGCGTTTCCTGGAGAAATTTAAGCCAGGAAAGTGGATGATTCAGTATAACAACCTTAACCTCAAGACACCTGTTCCAAGTGACATTGATATATCACGATCTTGTAAACCGAAGCCCATTGGTAAGCTGGCTTGAGTAATTGGTCTGCTGTCTGAAGAGGTAGAATTATATGGTGAAACAAAGGCCAAAGTTCTGCTGTCAGCACTAGAACGCCTGAAGCACCAGCCTGTTGGGAAATATCAGGTGGTGACTGGAATAACTCCAACACCCCTGGGAGAAGGGAAAAGCACGACTACAATCGGGCTGGTGCAAGCCCTTCTTGCCCATCTTTACCAGAACTTTTTTATGTGTGTGCGACAGCCTTCTCAGGGCCCCACCTTTGGAATAAAAGGTGGTGTTGCAGGAGGCGGCTACTCCCAGGTCATTCCTATGGAAGAGTTTAATCTTCACCTCACAGGTGACATCCATGCCATCACTGTATCTAATAACCTTGTTGCTGCGGCTATTGATGCTCAGATATTTCATGAACTGACCCAGACAGACAAGGCTACCTTTACTCATTTGGTGCCATCAGTAAATGGAGTGAGAAAGTTCTCTGATATCCACATACAAAGGTTAAACAGACTAGGCATTGACAAGACTGACTCTACCACACTGACAGATGAAGAGATAAACAGATTTGCAAGATTGGACATTGATCCAGAAACCATAGCTTGGCAAAGAGTGTTGAATACCAATGATAGATTCCTGAGGAAGATCACGATTGGACAGGCTCCAACGAAGAAAAGTCACACACAGACGGTCCACTTTGATATCTCTGTGGCCAGTGAAATTATGGCTGTCCTGGCTCTCACCACTTCTCTAGAAGACAGGAGAGAGAGACTGGGCAAAATGGTGGTGGCATCCAGTAAGAAAGGAGACCCCGTCAGTGCTGAAGATCTGGGGGTGAGTGGTGCATTGATAGTGCTTATGAAGGACACAATCAAGCCCAATCTCATGCAGAGATTGGAGGGCACTCCAGTGTTTGTCCATGCAGGCCCATTTGCCATCATCGCACACGGCAATTCCTCTATCATTGCAGACCGGATCACACTCTAGCTTGTTGGCCCAGAAGGGTTTGTAGTGACGGAGGCGGGATTTGGAGCAGACATTGGAATAGAAAAGTTTCTTAACATCAAATCCCAGTATTCCGGTCTCCACCCTCACGTGGTGGTGCTTGTTGCCACTGTCAGCGCTCTAAAGATGCACAGGGGTGGCCCTATGGTCACTGCTGGAATGCCTCTTCCCAAGGCTTACATAGAGGAGAACCTGGAGCTGGTTGAAAAAGGCTTCAGTAACTTGAAGAAACAAACTGAAAATGCCAGAATGTTTGGAATTCCAGTAGTAGTGGCCGTGAATGCATTCAAGACAGATACAGAGACTGAGCTGGACCTCATCGGCTGCCTTTCCAGAGAACAGAGGGCTTTTGATGCCGTGAAGTGCACTCACTGGCAGAAGGGGGCAAGGGTACCTTAGCCCTGGCTCAGGCTGTCCAGAGAGCAGGACAAGCACCCAGCAGCTTCCAACTCCTTTATGACCTCAAGCTCCCAGTTGAGGATAAAATCAGGATCATTGCACAGAAGATCTATGGAGCAGACAACATTGAATTACTCCTCAAAGCTCAACACAAAGCTGAAGTCTACACAAAGCAGGGCTTTGGGAATCTCCCCATCTGCATGGCCAAAACACACTTGTCCTTGTCTCACAACCCAGAGCGAAAAGGTGTCCCTACAGGATTCATTCTGCCCATTCGCAACATCCATGCCAGCATCGGGGCTGGTTTTCTGTACCCTTTAGTAGGAACGATGAGCACAATGGACTCCCCACCCAGCCCTGTTTTTATGATACTGATTTGGACCCTGAAACAGAACAGGTGAATGGATCATTCTAAACAGATCATCATCCATCTTCAAGAAGCTACTTTGAAAATCTGGCCAGTGTCTATTCAGGCCCACTGGGAGTTAGGAAGTATAAGGCAGCCAAGAGTCAGCCCCTGCCCAGAAGATCTGAAACTAATAGTAGGAGTTTTCCCGGATGTCATTTTCAGCCTTAATTCTCATCGTGTATAAATTAACATAAATCATGCACATGTCTATTTACGTTAGTGACGTTCCACAGAATAAAAGGAAATAGTTTTGCCAAAAACAAAAAACAAACAAACAAAAAAAACAAGAACTGAAAAAAGACAAGGATCTCCACTCTCACCACTCCTATTCAACATAGTACTGGCAGTTCTAGCCAGAGGAAAGGGATCCAAATTTAAAAAGAAGTAGTCATGTTATCTCTGCTTGCTGATGACATACCTAGAAAACCTAGACTTTACATAAAATTCCTATATTTGATAAACAATTTTGGTAAAGTTTCAGGATACCAAATCAATGTAAATAAAGTCAGTAGCATTTCGATACACCAATAGCATTAAACCTAAGAAACAAATAAAAAATTCCATCCCATTTACACTAGCCATTTACAAAAATAAAATACTAGAAATATGTTTAACCAAGGAGGTTAAAGATCACTATAAGGAGAAATACAAAACACTGATATAATAAATCATAGATGCCAGAAATAGAAAAAGATCTTATGCTCATGGACTGGAAGTATCACTAGTTAAAACGACCATACTGCCAAGAGCAATCTACAGACTAAACATAACTCCTATCATTACAAAGATAATTTTTCACAGAATTAGAAAAAAAATCCTAGAATACATATAAAACAAAAAAAGAGCCTGAAGAGCCAAATAAATTTTTCATAAAAAGAAAAAAGAGGCCCCACATTATCTGACTTCAAAATATACTAAAAAACTATAGTAACAAAGACTGTATGGTAATGGTAAAAAAATGGAGACATAGAATGGAACCAAATAGAGAATCAAGAAATAAAGCCACATACCTATAAAAAACTGAACTTTGACAAAGTTGACAAAAATAAACAGTGAAGAAAGGATATGAAATATTGCTTTACTGAATAGCAATAAAGAGTTCTGGCAAAATTGGCTAGCCATATTCAGAATAATGAAACTGGACCCCTCTCTCTCACCATATACAAAAATGAACTCAAGTTTCATTTATGACTTAAATGTAAGACCTCAAACAAGAAAAATCCTAAGAAAAAAAAATAGAAAAAACTTCTGACATTGAGGGAAATAATTTATGACTAAGACCTCAAAAGCAAATGCAACGAAAACAAAAGTACACAAATGGAACATAAACTATTTTAGCTTCTGTACAGCAAAGGAAATAATCAACAGAGCAAAAAGACAAACTACAGAAGAGAAGAAAATATTTGCAAATTATGCCTCTGAAAATGGTCTAATATCCACAGTCTACAAGAAACCAAAACAAATCAACAAAAAAAACCCCATTAAAAAGTGAGCAAAAAACATGAATAGACATTTCTTAAAATAAGACATGCAATTAGCTACAAAAAAAAATTATGAAAAGGTGCTCAACATCACTAGTCATCAGAGAAATGTAAATTAAAACCACAATGAGATACCATCTTACACCAGTCAGAATGGCTATTTTTTAAGGTAAAAAATAACAGTTGTTGGCGAGAATGCAGAAAAAAAGGAATGCTTATACACTGTTGGCATATTGTAAAGTAGTAAAATTTCTGTGGAAAACAGTATGGAGGTTTCTCAAAGAACCAAAATAAAGCTACCATTCAGCACTGCATTTCCACTCCTGACTATCTAACCAAAAGAAAAAAATTATTATATCAAAAAGACACCTAAACTTGTGTGTTGTGTTTATTGCAACACTATTTACAATAGCAGTCATGGAATAAACCTAAGTTTTTATCAATGGTTGACTGGATAAAGAAATGTGATATATAAACACCACAGAATACTATACGGCCATAAAAAATGAAAGCATGCCCTTTGCAACCACGTGGATTTAGCTTGAGGCCATTATCCTAAGTTAAACAACTCAGAAACAGAAAGTCTGTTTCTCACTTATAAGTGGAAACTAAACAATGGATACACTTGGACAAGTAGGCAGAAATAATTGACACTGGCAACTCAAAAATATGGAAGGGTGGGAGGTAGATGAGGGCTGAAAAATTACCTGTGGGATAAAATGTTCACTGTTTGCATGACTGGTACACTAGAAGCCCAAACTTCACCATTACACAATATATCCATTTAACAACATGCACAAGTACCCTTTCAATCTAAAATAATAAAAAATAAAGTACAATAAATATAAGACTTGACTGTGAAATTCCTAGAGGAAAATAGAGAGAAAAAGCTCCGTGACATTGGTCTTGGCAATTGTTTTTTGCATGTATCTCCGAAAGCACAGGCTAATAAAGCAAAAATAGACAAATTGGTTTAGAGCAAACTAAAAAGTATTTTCACACAAAGAAAACAATATAAAATACAAAGGCAACCTACTGAATGGGATAAAACATTTGTAAAACATATATTTGATATAGGATTAATATTCAAAATATACAAGGAATTCATAGAACTTATCAGAAACAAATAACTTAATTGAAAAATTGGCAAACAACCTGAATAGACATTTCTTCAAAGGAGACATGCAACTGGCCCCTAGGTATATGAAAAAAAAAAATCAACAACACTAATCATCAGGTGAATGCACACCAAAGCCAAGATGAGATGTCACCTCCCACCCAATAGCATAGCTATTATTTTTTTTTAAAGGTAAGTGTTGGTGAGGACAGGGAGAAAAGGGAAACCTTGTACACTGTGGTAGAAATGTAAATTTGTACAGCCATTCAAAACATTAAAAATAGAACTACCATATGATCCAGCAATGCTACGTCTAGTAATATATTTGAAGTAATTCAAATCAGGATCTCTAAGAAGTAACTGCAATCCCATGTTCTCTGCAGTATTATATATAATTGCTAAGATATTAAAACATCCTAAGTGTGTGTTGATGGATGGATAAAGAAAATGCTGTATATACATGCACTGGAATATTATTCAGCCTTAAAAGTATAGAAAATTTTGCAATTTTCAACAATATAGATGGACCTGAAGGGCATTATGTTAAGTGAAATAAACCAGACACAGAAAAACAAATGTTTTATAATATCATTTATTTATGTAATCTAAAAAAGTCAAATTCCTAGAAGTAGAGAGTAGAATCGTAGTTGCCAGGAATTGGGGTGGGGTAAGGGGATGAAATAAAGCTATATTGGTCAGAGGGTACAAACTTTCATTTGTATTAGTCATTATATATTATATATGTATATATATATATGTGTGTGTGTGTGTAGGTGTGTGTGTGTGTGCGTGTGTATGTGTGTGTGTAAGGGTACTAAAATTAGGGTACTCCAGAGAAGCAGAAGGAATTTCTTCTGCTTCTCTGGAGTACCATAACAAACCCACTTTGGAAGACAATCTCAAGATTTCTAACAAAGCAAAGTATATTGTGTTCCTTGGTACTACCTAATTGAATAGAAAACATGTCTATGGAAAAGGTGCACATAAATGATTATAACAGCTTTTGTTCAAAGATAACAATATTTTGAAACAACCAAGATGTCCTTTACTAGGTAAATAGGTAAAAAATGGTGGCACATCCTTAAAATGAAATATTATTCAGAGATAAAAAGAGTTACCAAGCCACGAAAAGACATGGAGGGAACTTAAATGCGTATTTCAATGTGAAAGAAGCAAGTATAAAACGGTTACATAATTTAGATTCTAAATATATGATATTAGGGGAAAGGCAAAAGTATAAAGACAGTAAAAAATCTGTGGTTTCCAGTAGGAGTGGAGAGAATGTATGAATAAATAAGTGATGCACAGAAGTTTTTTGAGTGGTAAAAACTACTATTCTGTATGATATTGTAATGATAGTTACATGGCATTATGCATTTGTCAAATGCTGTAAAACTGTACAATATAAACACTAATGTAAACTATGGAGTTTAGTTAATAATATATCAATATTGTTTCATCAGTCATGAAACATGTACCCTACTAGTGAAAGAAAGAGGGGCTACCCATGGACACTGTACTATCTGCTCAATCTTTTGGTAAATATATAACTGTTCTAAAAATAAAATCTGCTAATAAAAAAATCCAACAGCACACAAGGCCTTGGCATATTTTTCTACAAAATAGGTAAAAGTAAGGTGTTGCTAGGAAATATAGAAATGATAAAAAGACCTGGATTATAAAATATCCCCCACAAAGTTTGATGTCCTAACTCCTTTCCTTTTATTCTGACTTAGAAAGAATTACAGACCAACATCAGTTAGCAACTATTGAGTTTCTGCTACAAAATCAAAAAAGCTCCCTCTTTATATTGAACCTGAAAGTGGATAAAGTTCAAATTGCTATATAAAGTTATTAACTTTAGAGAAATATTTAAATGTATTATGCCATATTAAAATTCTGGAATACTAAATCCTTAATATTTTTATTCTCCTGAGTCAAAAGTTTTCATTTCTTCTTGGCTATTTATTCTGACAGGAGAACCTTAACATCATTTTCTCAACTTCCATAATAAAAGTTGCTAATTTGATTTTAATTGCTATAAAATATAGCCATCCTGTCCTAAAACATGGTATTTTTCTGACAATAGCTTGGGAATGGTGGAGGTGGCACACATCCTTACCCCACCTCCAATGATGTAATAATGTCTTTCTCTATTTACCTCCTCCCTCCTCAGATACACACATCACTCATTCTCATGTTCCTCCACTTCCTCCTTTTCAGAAAATATACAGAAACAAAGATACATAAATTAATTTATGCAATGACAGATTATAGAACAGCAGGCCTGTTGGTGTTTCAGAAATGCATTTATCACTGTGATGGAATTTTGGAGTGTGCCTAGGAACTTTATAAAATGGAATGATATTTGTAATCCCAGTGACAGGGATTATATAGGCTATGGGATCTATCCACCAACAACTCAAGCTATAAAACTAAGTTTCTTTTTTTATTCAAAACTCATTTTAGGACTCTTAGTAAAGTTCTGTAATTTTTCTCTGGTAGGTTCTACAACCTTATTTTTAGAGTCTGTAGGCATTTTGTAGGATTTTCTGTTTGTCTTCTCTGTTTTCCTCATTCTACTTTTTATCTGGTTATTGCTGATATGTTAGCTATGGTTTTTCTCATTTTCATCGTACATCCTATTTTAGGTTGAACTCATTTATTCTAAGAGTTTTAAAATAGCACTCCTTGAGTTTTACAAGAATATACTCATATCTTAATCTATAAATAATTATTGATTTGTCTTTTTTCATAGTCATACCTCTTATTTCTAATTTATCCTTGGCATACTTTCTATAAATAATAATGGTGATGGTTAGCATGCTTATCTAACTTTATATTTTAAAGAGATTGCCCTGGATTTCATGCATATAATATAAAAAGAACATAGTATGGCAAAAAATAATTTTTAATCAGAAACAGACATCTGAATTTTATAAAATGCTTTCTGGAAAAATATTTAGGTTATAAAATTTCTCTTATGGAACCAACTTGTAAAGCATACAACAGTAGTATAGATCCTTGTATTCCATACACCAATCTTCACTAGAGCCTGTTCTAAACTTATCCAATATGAAATGAAACTCCTAAATGAATTCACATGTATTTCAATCTGTCTCTTTTTTAGCATGTGACTATTTTAAACTATTATTTCAAACTAAACTATTCTGTGATAGCTCTCCCTGCTACCTGATGCCAACAGGTGATGAGGTCTGCAACACTGTCACTTCTGACACTGCAGAGAAAGTTTCAATAACAGTGAGACTCTTGATTAGTATCAACAGTGAAAAAACCCATTTAGGAAAATTGGCTTTTCATACACATGAATTTCAGGCCAGCAAAAATATGGTTTTAATACCGTAAAGGGAAGGGTTTGGGGTCAGAATATTAAATTGGCTAGAGAATTTGGTAATGAAGAGTCTGTACATTAAGTTATTAGAATTTTTGCTAAAGCTACAGAACAGGAAGGGAGGTAATTCTACTGTGAGAGCAAATTACATTGGACTAAAAGTTCAATGTAAGTAATTTACTTCCATTCACTTACTTTTTTCCTCCTGCTCCTGGCTTCATAATTTTGCATTTATCCTCCAGCTCGCCAGGAAAGTACCAATTTGCTTTGCCACTAGCATTCTATGGTTTATCAACCCAAGCAACGAAGGTATAGTACCTTAATTTTTCTATAGTTTTTCCTTTAATTACTTATAAGTCTTAACATTTCTTGTGTTTTTATTGTTCACTTATATAACTTCTTTTATAATTTACCTTTCTCCTTTACCTATGTCCCTGGTGGTATTTCTCTTATAATAGGTTATAGCCTGTTAATAATCCTCTATCATTTTTATTGGCAGTATTTTCTATGATTTCTTTCATTTAGATATTATTAATTCAGATATGTGAAGCTATCTTAATACACGTAAAAATTAATATAGGAAGAAATTCTGTTTCTGGGCTTATAACTTATGAAGATCTCACTTTTCTTTTATCCTCATTAAGCATTACAAAAAGAAATTTAAAAATCCACTGAGTTTTTATATGAATTACATTTTCCCTATAGATTTAAAAATAACGTATAATTTTATAACATGACTTTCAAATCTAGTAACACAGTAATGTATCCACTTATGCTATTTTTTTTTTTTTTTAACGGAGTCTCACTCTGTCGCCCAGGCTGGAGTGCAGTGGTGCGATCTTCACTCACTGCAAGCTCCGCCTCCCGGGTTGACGCCATTCTCCTGCCTCAGCCTCCCGAGTAGCTGGGACTACAGGCGCCCGCCACCGCGCCCGGCTAATTTTTTGTATTTTGTTTAGTAGAGACGGGATTTCACCGTGTTAGCCAGGATGGCCTGGATGTCCTGACCTATGGTTTGAATAGATCGCCTCCAAAATTCAGGTGTTGCTAATGCATTATTATTAAGAGGGGGGCCCTAAAGAAGTGATTAGGCCATGAGGGCTGCCCTAGTTAATGCCATTACAGCCATTTTTACAAAGGCTTTATGCAGCCTTAGCAGCTGTCTCTTCCACCCTTCTGCCATGTTTCTCCCCTCTGGAGAAGGCAGTAAGATGGCCCTCACCAGACACTGAACCTGCCAGAACCTTGATCTTGGACTTTCCTGTCTTCAGGTGTGTGAGAAATAAATTTTTATTCTTTATAAGTTATTGAGTCACAGGCATTTTTTCATGGTGGCAGAAAACAAAGATAGAATATAAAAGCCATCTTTTACCACAATCAAGTTTCTTCTAGTTTTACATGTCTTTTTTTTTTTTTTTTATTATACTTTAAGTCTTAGGGTACATGTGCACAACATGCAGGTTTGTTACATATGTATACATGTGCCATGTTGGTGTGCTGCACCCATTAACTCATCATTCACATTAGGTATATCTCCTAATGCTATCCTTCCCCACTCCCCCCACCCCACAACAGGCCCTGGTGTGTGATGTTCCCCTTCCTGTGTCCAAGTATTCTCATTGTACAATTCCCACCTATGAGTGAAAACATGCGGTATTTGGTTTTCTGTCCTTGTGATAGTTTGCTGAGAATAATGGTTTCCAGCTTCATCCATGTCCCTACAAATGACATGAACTCATCATTTTTTCTGGCTGCATAGTATTCCATGGTGTATATGTGCCACATTTTCTTAATCCAGTCTATCATTGTTGGACATTTGGGTTGGTTCCAAGTCTTTGCTATTGTGAATAGCATGTGTCTTTATGGGTATATACCCACTAATGGGATGGCTGGGTCAAATGGTATTTCTAGTTCTAGATCCCTGAGGAATCCCCACACTAACTTCCACAATGGTTGAACTAGTTTACAGTCTCACCAACAGTGTAAAAGTGTTCCTATTTCTCCACATCCTCTCCAGCACCTGTTGTTTCCTGACTTTTTAATGATTGCCATTCTAACTGGTGTGAGATGGTATCTCATTGTGGTTTTGATTTGCATTTCTCTGATGGCCAGTGATGATGAGTATTTTTTCATGTGTCTTTTGGCTGCATAAATGTCTTCTTTTGAGAAGTGTCTGTTCATATCCTTTGCCCACTTTTTGATGGGGTTGTTTGTTTTTTTCTTGTAAATTTGTTTGAGTTCATTGTAGATTCTGGATGTTAGCTCTTTGTCAGATGAGTAGATTGCAAAAATTTTCTCCCATTCTGTAGGTTGCCTGTTCACTCTGATGGTAGTTTCTTTTGCTGTGCAGAAGCTCTTGAGTTTAATTAGATCCCATTTGTCAATTTTGGCTTTTGTTGCCATTGCTTTTGGTGTTTTAGACATGAAGTTCTTGCCCATGCCTATGTCCTGAATGGTATTGCCTAGGTTTTCTTCTAGGGTTTTTATGGTTTTAGGTCTAACATTTAAGTCTTTAATCCATCTTGAATTAATTTTTGTATAAGGTGTAAGGAAGGGATCCAGTTTCAGCTTTCTACATATGGCTAGCCAGTTTTCCCAGCACCATTTGTTAAATAGGGAATTGTTTCCCCATTTCTTGTTTTTGTCAGGCTTGTCAAAGATCAGATAGCTGTAGATGTGTGGCATTATTTCTGAGGGCTCTGTTCTGTTCCATTGGGCTATATCTCTGTTTTGGTACCAGTACCATGCTGTTTTGGTTACTGTAGTCTTCCAGTATAGTTTGAAGTCAGGTAGCATGATGCCTCCAGCTTTGTTCTTTTGGTTTAGGATTGACTTGGCAATGTGGGCTCTTTTTTGGTTCCATATGAACTTCAAAGTAGCTTTTTCCAATTCTGTGAAGAAAGTCATTGGTAGCTTGATAGGGATGGCATTGAATCTATAAATTACCTTGGGCAGTATGACCATTTTCATGATATTGATTTTTCCTATCCATGAGCATGGAATGTTCTTCCAGTTGTTTGTATCCTCTTTTATTTCATTGAGCAGTAATTTGTAGTTCTCCTTGAAGAGGTCCTTCACATCCCTTGCAAGTTGGATTCCCAGGTATTTTATTCTCTTTGAAGCAATTGTGAATGGGAGTTCACTCATGATTTGGTTCTCTGTTTCTGTTACTGGTGTATAAGAATGCTTGTGATTTTTGCACATTGATTTTGTATCCTGAGTCTTTGCTGAAGTTGCTTCTCAGCTTAAGGAGATTTTGGGCTGAGAAGATGGAGTTTTCTAGATATACAATCATGTCATCAGCAAACAGGGACAATTTGACTTCCTCTTTTCTAGTTGAAAACCCTTTATTTCCTTCTGCTGCCTGATTTCCCTGACCAGAACTTCCAACACTATGTTGCATAGGAGTGGTGAGAGACAGCATCGCTGTCTTGTGCCAGTTTTCAAAGGGAATGCTTCCAGTTTTTGCCATTCAGTATGATATTGGCTGTGGGTTTGTCATAGATAGCTCTTATTATTTTGAGCTACGTCCCATCAATACCTAATTTATTGAGAGCTTTTAGCTTGAAGTGTTGTTAAATTTTGTCAAAGGCCTTTTCTGCATCTATTGAGATAATCATGTGGTTTTTGTCTTTGGTTCTGTTTATATGCTGGATTACGTTTATTGATTTGCGTATGTTAAACCAGCCTTGCATCCCAGGGATGAAGCCCACTTGATCATGGTGGATAAGCTTTTTGATGTGTTGCTTGATTCGGTTTGGCAGTATTTTATTTAGGATTTTTGCATCGATGTTCATCAGGGTTATTGGCCTAAAATTCTCTTTCTTGGTTGTGTCTCTGCCAGGCTTTGGTATCAGGATGATGCTGGCCTCATAAAATGAGTTAGGGAGGATTCCCTCTTTTTCTATTGATTGGAATAGTTTCAGAAGGAATGGTACCAGCTCCTCCTTGTACCTCTGGTAGAATTTGGCTGTGAATCTGTCTGCTCCTGGACTTTTTTTGGTTGCTAGGCTATTAATTATGGCCTCAGTTTCAGAGCCTGTTATTGGTCTATTCAGAGATTCAACTTCTTCCTGGTTTAGTCTTGGGAGGGTGTATGTGTCCAGGAATTTATCCATTTCTTCTAGATTTTCTAGTTTATTTGCATAGAGATGTTTATAGTATTCTGTGATGGTAGTTTGTACTTCTGTGGGATTGGTGGTGATATCCCCTTCATAATTTTTTATTGCGTCTATTTGATTCTTCTCTCTTTCCTTCTTTATTAGTCTTGCCAGCGGTCTCTCAATTTTGTTGATCTTGTCAAAAAACCAGCATCTGGATTCATTGATTTTATGAAGGGTTTTTTATGTCTCTATCTCCTTCAGTTCTTCTCTGATCTTAGTTATTTCTTGCCTTCTGCTAGCTTTTGAATGTGTTTGCTCTTGCTTCTCTAGTTCTTTTAATTGTGATGTTAGAGTGCCAATTTTAGATCATTCCTGCTTTCTCTTGTGGGCATTTAGTGCTAAAAATTTCCCTCTACACATTGCTTTAAATGTGTCCCAGAGATTCTGGTATGTTGTGTCTTTGTTCTCGTTGGTTTCAAAGAACATCTTTTTTTCTGCCTTCATTTCGTTATGTACCCAGTAGTGATTCAGGAGCAGGTTGTTCAGTTTCCATGTAGTTAAGCGGTTTTGAGCGAGTTTCTTAATCCTGAGTTCTAGTTTGTTTGCACTATGGTCTGAGAGACAGTTTGTTATAATTTCTGTTCTTTTACGTTTGCTGAGGAGTGCTTTACATCCAACTATGTGGTCAATTTTGGAATAGGTGTGGTTTGGTGCTGAGAAGAATGTACATTCTGTTGATTTGGGGTGGAGAGTTCTGTAGATGTCTATTAGGTCTGCTTGGTGCAGAGCTGAATTCAATTCCTGGATATCCTTGCTAATTTTCTGTCTCATTGATCTGTCTAATGTTGACAGTGGCGTGTTAAAGTCTCCCATTATTATTGTGTGGGAGTCTGTCTCTTTGTAGGTCTCTAAGGACTTGCTTTATGAATCTGGGTGCTCCTGTATTGGGTGCATATATATTTAGGGTAGTTAGCTCTTCTTGTTGAATTGATCCCTTTACCATTATGTAAGGGCCTTCTTTGTCTTCCATTGCTTCCACGTAATAAGCTGTATTATTATTACATTGAATAGTAGTTTAAAAATTACTTTTAAAATTTGGTAGGTCTGTTCCCCTTATTATTCTTCTTTCCCAAATGAACTCTTGCTTTTAAAAAGACAAATTTGTGCTATTATTTCATCTGATTATAAAAGTATTTTAAAATAAAGCTCAGGCTAAAATGATTGCATATATAATGTTGTCTCTATTACCTAAAATTTACATCTACACATTAGCATAGGAGAATCACTGGATAGATACATACCAAATTATTAATGACAGTTACCTCTGAGCAATTTATTTATTTGATTTATCATACTTTATTTTCAAAGTACTCATTTCATTACTAAAAAATAAAATATCTAAAATAACCATGAAAAATTACATCCAAAATTCCTTAGTATAACTGTTCTGAAAACCTTAATTCCGTATGCTGACACAGAAATATTTGGCAGTAAGTGAAGTAAAGGGCTCAGAAGGATATCTCTTTGACTAAAAATAATTCCTAAACAAATTTTATTTAAAATTACCTTTTTCTGAGTCATAATGAGATCTTGGTCCACTTTGGACATTAAAAATGAGCCTCCATCATGTTCCATCCAGTAAAATTTTAAGTCTTTTAAATGTACCTTTGTGTCTAGTTTTAACCTGTGTAGGATTAAAAAGAAACTGACATCAACAAATTATTTAGATATCCTTAATAGTTCAATCCTGACATCTGAGCTTCAGCTCTAATGAAGTATTTTTTTCCCTGAGCACTGTGTGCCAGAAACAGTATTATACCTTTAGAATTTAGATTTGCATTTAAAAAATGTACTTGAGCTGCAAGGGAGAGAATGGTTTGAAATGCATCAAAATTGTAGACGTGGTGACAAGTCAAAATGTTTTGGTGGTAGTTCATGCTAGAAATGATTATAGCCTGAACTAGAACTGTAACCATGGTAAGGGAGAGATATGTAAAGATGTAAGAAATCATTAGTAGGTAATTTCAATATGACTCAGCATTGCTTAGATGTAATGACTGAGAAAAATCGGAAATGAGGCTTTAGCAACTGGGTTGATTTTGGTCATCCAGTCACTGGGATTGGGTAAGAATCAAAGTAGTGGATCAGGTTTCTGGAGCTTGAAAGAAAAATAATATCAGTTTTAGATATATTGAGTCTCAGTTATCTGAAATGGCCAGTCTTCCTGTAGTAGTAAATAGACAGTCCTCTAGCTTAAGTGAAAAAAGTGAGCTGAAGAGGCAGATTTTGGCATCATCTGTGTATGGAAAATGGTTGAAGTGGCAAGGGTAGATGGAGTCATTCTGAGAGGGTAAGTAGAAAGAATAGAGATAAGTAAACCAGGTCCTTCTAGAATACCAATATATAAGAGATGAACAAAGGAAGAAGAGCCAGTAAGGCAGATGAAAGGAAAAGGAGCAATATCAAAAGGGTGGATTGTCCATAACATAAAGGATAAATGCTTAAGGGGATGGATACCTACCCCATTTTCCATGAAGCGATTATTATGCATTACATGACTGCTTCAAAATATCTCATGTAGCCCAAAAATATATACACCTGTTAGGTACCCACAAAAATTAAAAATAATTTTAAAAATGATTGAATCACAAGAGCCAAGGGCAGAGTTTGTTTCAATAATGATGGAGTAATATCAATATTGCCACCAGTTATAATGAGGTAATGAATGGTAAGTATTGAGAAGCAGTCATTATTTTTAGCAAAAATGCAAAAAAAAAAAAAATTCAGGGACTTTGGCAAGAATAATTTTGGTGGTAAAAACCACTTTGTAGTGAATTCATTTATGAGATGGCAATGTGAGAATTTAGAGTTAATGAGTATAAATAATTCACACAAAGGATCTGGCAATGGGGCAAAAAGCGGCATAGAGTAGTGGCTTAAGGGGAATAAGGGGCTAAAAAAATGTTGTCTCTTTTTAAGATGAGAGACACTTAGGATGCTTAATAATAATGAGAAGGGTGCGCACACGTGTGTGTGTGTGTGTGTGTGTGAGAGAGAGAGAGAGCGAGAGAGACAGAGAGAGAGAGGTTAAAGTCATACTAAGATGAGATAAGTAATGGAACAAAGATCTGAGAGAATAAGAGAACATAAGATCAAGAGCATAACTGAAACTACTTATATGCTAAAGCAAAATGGAAAGATATTTTCTCCACTCTAAGAGGAGAAAGAATGAAAGCTGGAGACCTAGAAAAATGTGATGGTAAGAAACTGAAGTAAGTTACATATAGATTGCATTTTTTTATGAGATAAAATGTGGGATTATTTACTTGAGGGTAAAGGAAAGGAGAAGATCAGAGTTTCGCTGGAAATGGAAATAATTTGAAATGACTGCTACAGAAAATATATTAAAAAAGAGCTGTCTAGGGAACCAATTTCCAAGCAGCGTTGATGCCTAGGTGAGATTGGAAAGTATGTATATGGTGACAGATGTCAGAAGAATCAGAAAGGCTGAACTTAAAGTGAACGTAGTCCTTATGCACAAATTCACAAATGAAAAACAAAAAGATTCACTGTTTCCTTCCCAAAAATAAGGCCTCTCTTTGTATTTTCTCAGTAAAATACTTTTACATGGCATCTTTCCAATTTGTGAAGCATGGTATCCACTTATATAAGTATATAAAGGCTCTCTCATAAAAACCTGTAAAAATTATTTGCTTGAGGACTGAAAGTCTACCTCTATGACACTAATAAACAAAGAGAGAATGAATGTCAGGATAAGAGTCCAAGGAAATAAAAATAAATGAACATACCTTTTGATCCCAGGTCCTGCCATGACCTTCAACATGGGGGCCAGGTCTTCAGCATAACGGCACATAGGACCAGTGCACAGAAACAACTCCTGGGCTCCCACAGCCAAGGGAAACTGACCTTTGTTGGGAACCACACCTGAAAGGATAGACAGTCAGGTTAGCCGCCCAAAATAAGACATGATCCCTGCATGTTGTATTTCATTATGGTGTTTAATCTATCTTAAATACTTTTTCTCCTGGTTAAAACTTTTCAGGTCTTCTTATATCTCATTGCAGTAGTTTCACAATTTTACTAGCTCTCTTAAAAGCAGTGAATTTTTTTTCCTAATAGAGTCCAACGAAGAACTTCAATATAAAACAAGCAAAACCAGAGCTACTCTGATGGAAACAGGGTCCCTACTTATTAGGCTATTCTCTCTTTCTGGGGATGGTTCTAAGGGTCTGCAGAGCCTATATGGAAAAGGACTAGTTAGAATACAGATTTAAAAATCTACTGGCATAGAGGATAAAGTCAAAATTCCTTTAGCTTGTATACAAAGCTCTCTGCAACCTGATACCTAAACAGAAGCCATAACAAATTGTTTGCAATTTTCCGCAAAGAACAGGCTATTTTGATGCTCATTTATAACTTTGTTTATGCCATTTCCTCTGCTTATAATACATTTCACAATTAATATGCCAGATGGATAACCAGATTTCAAGACTTAAGTGAAACTATAAGGCCTTTCTTGATCACCTACAATCTCTCAGCCCAAAACTTTCTTAACCTGATAAGCAACTTTAGCAAAGTCTCAGGATACAAAATCAATGTGCAAAAATCACAAGCATTCCAATATACCAATAATAGATATCCAAATCATGAGTGAGCGCTCATTCACAATTGCTAAAAAGAAAATAAAATATCTACGAATACAACTTACACGGGATGTGAAGGACCTCTTCAAGGAGAAGTACAAACCACTGCTCAAGGAAATAAGAGAGGACACAAACAAGTGGAAAAACATTTCATGCTCATGGATAGCAAGAATCAATACTGTAAAAATGGCCATACTACCCAAAGTAATTTATAGATTCAATACTATCCGTATCAAGCTACCATTGACTTTCTTCACAGAATTAGAAAAAACTACTTTAAATTTCATGTGGAACAAAATGAGCCCATTTAGCCAAGACAATCCAAAGCAAAAAGAACAAAGGTGGAGACATCATGCTACCTGGCTTCAAACAATATTACAAGGCTACAGTAACCAAAACAGCATGGTACTGGTACCAAGACAGAGATATAGACCAAAGGAACAGAACAGATCCCTCAGATATAATGCCACACATCTACTACAATCTAGTCTTTGACAAACCTGACAAAAACAAGAAATGGAAAAAGGATTCCCTATTTAATAAATGGTGCTGGGAAAACTGGCTAGCCATATGTGGAAAACTGAAACTGGATCACTTCCTACACCTTATACAAAAATTAACTCAACATGGATTAAAGACTTAAATGTAAGACCTAAAACCATAAAAATCCTGGAAGAAAACCTGGGCAATACCATTCAGGACATAGGCATGGGCAAAGACTTCATGACTAAAACACCAAAAGCAATGGCAACAGAAGCTAAAATTGACAAATGGGATCTAATTAAAGAGCTTCTGCACAGCAAAAGAAACTATCATCAGATTGAGCAGGCAACCTACAGAATAGGAGAACATTTTTGCAATCTATCCATCTGACAAAGATCTAATATCCAGAATCTACAAGAAACTTAAACAAATTTACAAGAAAACAAAAACATCAAAAAGTGGGTGAAGGATATGAACAGGCACTTTTCAAAAGAAGACATTTATGCAGCCAACAAACATATGCAAAAAAAAGCTCATCATCACTGGTCATTAGAGAAATGCAAATCAAAACCACAATGAGATACCATCTCACACCAGTTAGAATGGCGATCATTAAAAAGTCAGGATACAATAGATGCTGGAGAGAATGTGGAGAAATAAAAACGCTTTTTACATTGTTGGTTGGAGTGTAAATTAGTTCAACCATTGCAGAAGACAGTGTGGTGATTCCTCAACGATCTAGAACCAGAAATACCATTTGACCCAGCAATCCCATTACTGGTTTTATACCCAAAGAATTATAACGCATTCTACTATAAAGACACATGCACATGTATGTTAACTGCAGCACTATTCACAATAGCAAAGACTTAGAACTGACCCAAATGCCCATCAATGACAGACTGGATAAAGAAAATGTGACCATCATTCTCAGCGAGCTATCACAAGAAGAGAAAACCAAACACCACATGTTCTCACTCATAAGTGGGAGTTGAACAATGAGAACATATGGGCACAGGGAGTGGAATATCACACACTGGGGGCCTGTCAGAGGGTGAAGGGCTAGGGGAGGGATAGCATTAGGAGAAATACCTAAGGTAGGTGACTGGTTGATGGGTGCAACAAACCACCATGGCACGTATACACCTATGTAACAAACCTGCATGTTCTGCACATATTTAAAAGATTATTTGTGGAGAAGATTAATAATATCGATGAACACGTAACAAGACTTATCAAGAAAAAGGGAGAAAAAAACAAAAATGATCAGTATCATGAATGAAAAAGGGATACTATTACAGATTGTATAGATATAGTACAGCCTGTAGTTATACTACAGTTATAGTAGATATAGACACAAGGATTAAGATAATGAAACAGAATAATATCCAGCCCACTTGCTCTTGTTGCTGTTACCTGATTTAAAACAAAGATGGCACTGCAATGCAGTGGGGAAAGTATAATCTTTACCACAAAAACTTTTGACATAACTCAATATATATATAGAAAAATAGTAACTTTCAATCTTAATTCATACAATACACAAAAACCTGTTTCTAATGGATTAAAAACCTAAGTGTCAAAGGAAAATGAATAAAGCATCTTTAAAAAATAATAGAATATCTTTATGGCTTTGGATGGGCAAATATTTCTTAAATAGGACAATCAAAGCATTAACCAATGATAAAACAAACTACCCAATTAAAAAAGGGCCAAATATTTTATCAAGGCTTTCTGCAAACAGAAATCCAAATGGCCAATAGATATATAAAAAGATAATAATTCTTCCAAACCATTGTCTATGATATTACAACAAGTTGCAAGATTAACCAAGAAAAGGAGAGAGAAAAGAAGCTCAATTAGAAATGAAACAGGAGACATTACAACCAAACCAGAGAAAGACAAAAGATCACACAAGGCTAGTATGAACACCTTTACTAGCATAAACTAGAAAACATAGAGGAGATGGAAAAGTTCCTGGAAATATACAACTCTCCCAGCTTAAATGAGGAAGAATTAGAAATTCTAAACAGACCAATAACAAGGAGAGAGATTGAAATAGTAATAAAAAATTTACAAAAAAAAAAAAAAAAAAGTGCAGTACCAGATGGATTCACAGCTGAATTCTACCAGACATTCAAAGAATTGGTACCAATCCTATTGATGCTATTCCACAAGATAGAGAAAGAAGGAATCCTCTCTAAATCATTCTGTGAAGCCAGTATCACCTAATACTAAAACCAGAAAGGACATAACATCAACAAAAAAACAACTACAGACCAATATCCCTGATGGACATGGATGCAAAAATCCACAAATAAATACTAGATAACTGAATCCAACATCATATCAAAAACATAATCTACCATGATCAAGTGAGTTTCATACCAGGATGCAGGGATCATTTAATAGAAACAGGTTAATGACTTGTGTCATTAAATGGAATACACCACATAAACAGAATTAAAAACAAAAATCGCATGATCTTCTTGATAGACGCAGAAAAGCATCTGACAAAATTCAGCATCCATTCATGATTAAAACCCTCAGCAAAATCGGCATACAAGGGACATACCTCAGTGTAATAAATGCCATCTATGGGAAACCCACAGCCAACATAATACTGAACGGGGAAAAGTAGAAAGCATTCCCTCTGAAAACTGGAACAAGACAAGGATGCCCACTCTCACCACCTCTATTCAACACAGTACTGGAAGTCCTAGCAACGGCAATCAGACAAAAGGTGGAAATAAAGGGCATCCAAATCGGTAAAGAGGAAGTCAAATTGTCACTGTTTGCTGAAGATATGATTGTATACCTAGAAAACCCTAAAAACTCCTGCAAAAAGCTCCTAGAACTGACAAATGAGTTCAGCAAAGTTTCAGGATACGAAATTAATGTACACAAATCAGCAGCTCTGCTATACAATAGCGACCAAGCTGAGAATCAAATCAAGAACTCAACCCCTTTTACAATAGCTGCAAAATAAATAAAATACTTAGGAATATACCTAACCCGGGAGGTGAAAGATCTCTACAAGGAAAACTACAAAATACTGCTGAAAGAAATCATAGATGAAACAAACAAATGGAAACACGTCCCATCCTGATAGATGGATAGAATCAATATTGTGAAAATACCATACTGCCAAAAGCAACCTACAAATACAATGCAATCCCCATTAAAATACCATGATCATTCTTCACAGAACTAGAAAAATTCCCAAAATTCATATGGGACCCAAAAAGTATCTGCATAGCCAAAGCAAAGCTAAGCAAAAAGCATAAACCTGGAGGCAACACATTACCTAATTTCAAACTATACTATAAGGCCATAGTCACCAAAACAACATGATACTGCTGTAAAAATGGGCACATATACCAACGGAACAGAATAGAGAACCCACAAATCCAAATATTTACAGCCAACAGATCTTTGACAAAGCAAACAAAAACCTAAAGTGGGAAAAGGACACCCTATTCAACAAATAAAGCTGGGATAATTGGCTAACCACATCTAGGATAATGAAACTGGATCCTCATCTCTCACCTTACACAAAAATCAACTCAAGATGGATCAGATACCTAAATCTAAGACCTGAAACTATGAAAATTCTAGAAAATAATATCGAAAGACCCTTTTAGACATTGGCTGAAGCAATGATTTCATAACCAATAACCCAAAAGCAAATGCAATAAAAACAAAGATAAAGAGGTGAGACTTAATTAAACTAAAGAGCTTTTGCATGGCAAAAGAAACAGCAGAGTAAACAGACAACCCACAGAGCAGGAGAAAATCTCCACAGTCTATACATCTGCCAAAGGACTAATATCCAAAATCTAGAAAGAACTCAAACAAATTAGCGAGAAGAAAACAATGCCATCAAAAATGGGGTAAGGACATGAATAGACAATTCTCAAAAGCAGATATACAAATGGCCAACAAACATATGAAAAAAATGCTCAATTTCACTAATAATCAGGGAAATGCAAATCAAAACCACAATACAATACCACCTTACTCCTGCAAGAATGGCCATAATCAAATAAAAAAAAAAAAGATGTTGGCATGGATGCATTGAAAAAGAAACACTTCTACATTGCTGATGGGAGTGTAAACTAGTACAGCCACTATGGAAAACAGTGTAGAGATTCCTTAAAGACCTAAAAGTAGATTTACCATTTGATCCAGCAACCCCACTCCTTGGTAACTACCCAGATGAAAAGAAGTTATTATAAGAAAGAGATACTTGCACACACGTTTATAGCAGCACAGTTTGCAATTGCAAAAATATGGAACCAGCCCAAATCCCCATCAGTCAATGAATAGGTAAAGAAAATATGATATACCATGATATACCTTGGAATACTACTACTCAGCCATAAAGAGGAATGAAATATTGGCATTTGCAGCAACCTGGATGGAATTAGAGACCATTATTCTAAGTGAAGTAACTCAGGAATGAAAAACCAAACATTGTAGGTTTTCACTCATACGTGGAAGCTAAGCTATGAGGATGTAAAGGCATAAGAATGATATAATGGACTCTCGGGACTCGAGGGAAAGGGTGAGAGGAGGGTGAGGGATAAAAATCTATATACTGGGTACAGTGTATACTGCTCGGGTGATGGGTGCACCAAAATCTCAGAAATCACCACTAAAAAACTTATTTATGTAACCAAACACCACCTGTTCCCCAAAAACCTATTGTAATAAAAAATAATTAAAAAAATTAAAAGTGGCTAACACAGTAAGTTTTATGGCGAGTATATTTTATCACAATAAAACTAATTAATTAGTTAAAAATTCTACTACTACTTTTGTTTAGGAAGAGAAGTAATCATTAAACAAGAAATGTCACCACTAATAAAAGAATTTTTCAAATGACCTGGAATATAAAAATAAAGATATTCAATTGGATAACTTGGAAAAAACAAGCAATAAACAAATAACCCCATGAAAAAGTGAACAAGACACATGAACAGATGCTTCTCAGAAGAAGATATAGAAGTATCCAACTAACACACAAAAACAATGCTCATCATCACTGTAATTATTGGAGAAACAAAAATTAAAACCACCAAGAAATACCATCTCACACCAGTCAGAATGGCTATTATTAAAAAGTTAAAAAAATTACAGATGCTGGCAGGACTGCAGAGAAAAGAGAATGCTTATACATATTTGGTGGGAATGTCAGTTGGTTCAGTTCTTTGGAAGGCAGTTTGGTGATTACTCAAATAACTAAAAAATAGAACTACTATTCCACCTATCAATACTATTACTGGGTATATACCCAATGGAATATAAATCATTCTACCAAGAAGATACATGGATCTGTATGTTCATCACAGCACTATTCACAATAAAAAAGACATAGATTCAAAATAGATATCCATCAACTGTGGATTGTATAAAAAAAGTGATACATATACACAATGGAATATTATGCAGCCAAAAAAAGAAGAAAATCATGACCTTTGCAGCAACATTAATGCAGCCTGAGGCCATTATTCTAAGTGGATTAATGCAGAAATTAAAAAACCAAAGACCGCATCTTCTTACTTATAAGTGTAAATTAAACATTGGGTAAACATTGACATAATGATAGGAACAGTAGACACTGGGGGCTACAAGGTGAGGATAAAAGGGAAAGTGTTAATGGTGAAAACCTATCAGATACTATGCTCACTACCTGGGTAACAGGTTCAATCATACCTCAAACCTCAGCATCATGTAATATACCTTTTTAGAAACCTTGCACATGTATCCCCTGTTTCTGAAGTAAAAGTTGAAAGTAACCCCCCCCCCAAAAAATAGAACTGTGATCCAACCCAATCATCCCATCACTGGGTATATATTGAAAGCCAAATATTGTTCTACCTAAAAGACACATGCACCTGCACGTCTACAGCAGCACTATTCATAATAGGAAAGACATGGAATCAAACTAGGTGCCCATCAATGGTGGATTGGATAAAGAAAATGTGGTATCACAGAGTACTATGCAGCCCATAGAAAAGAATGAATTCATTTGCAGAAGCATGGATGGAGCTGGAGGCCAATATCCTAAGCAAACTAACACAGACAGAAAACCAAATACCGCATGTTCTCACTTACAAGTGGGAGCTAAACATTGTGTACACATGGACATAGAGTTTAGAAAAATAGACACAGGAGACTATAAGCTTGGGGAGAGTTTGAAGGGGGCAAGGGTCAAAAAGGTACCTATTGGGAGCTATGCTCACTAGCTGGGTGACAGGTTCAATTATATGACAAACATGCAGTAGACCTTTGCAAGAAACCTGCATATGTACTCCCTCAATCTAAAATAAAAGTTGAAAATAAAGTAAAATAAAAAACCAACAAATTTTTGATACTTATTTGTGGCCAAACATATGATGTATCCTGGAGTAACTTCCACATGCTGTTGACAAGAATGTGTATTCTGCAGCTGTTGGGTGGAATGTTCTGTAAATGTCTATTAGTACCATTTGGTCTAGAGCAGTGATCCCCAAACTTTTTGGCACCAGGAAGTGGTTTCATGGGAGACAATTTTTACATGCACTGTGAGGTGAGATGGTTTTGAGATGAAGCTGTTCCACCTTAGATCATCAGGCATTAGAGTCTCATAAGAAGCACACAACCTAGATCCCCTGCATACTCAGTTCACAAAAGGGTTCATGCTCCTATGAGAATCTAATGCTGCTGCTGATCTAACAGAAGGCAAAACTTATGTGGTAATGCTTACTCACCTACTACTCACCTTCTGCTGTGCAGCCAGTTTCTAACAGGCGATGGACTGGTACTGGTCCATGGCCTGGGGGTTGGGGACCCCTGGTCTAGAGTATAGTTTATATCTGAGTTTTCATTAATTTTGTGCCTAGATAATCATTTCATTGCTGAAAGTGAATGAAGTCCCCAACTGTTATTATATGGCAGGCTACCTCTCCATTTATATCTAATATTTGCCTTATATATTTGTGTGCTCCAGTGTTGGGTGCCTATATATTAACAATTGTTATATCCTTTTGCTGAATCAACTTTTGTCATTATATAATGATCTTCTTAGTCTCTTTTTCCAGTAACAACTGGAACTGGAAAAACAGGTAATATGCGTCTCTCATGGGCAGCATACAGCTGGGTTATGTTTTTCTTATCTGGGTTATATTTTTTTATCTATTCATCCACTTTATATGTTTCAATTGTAGAATTTGATTCATTTACATTTAAGGTTATTATTGGTTACTAAGGACTAGCTTCGGCCATTTTGTTAAATATTTTGTATCCTTTGTTCCTTTCTTCACCTCTCATTTTTTTACGTTTGTCATTTGGGGGTTTTCCATAGTAATAAGCTTTGTATTCCTTCCCCTTTCTTATATGTTTATGTGCTGTAATTTGCTGTTAGTGGCTACTATAGGGCTTACATGAAAAGCTTACAGTTACAATAAATAATTTTAAGTTGATAATAAGTTTGGTCACATACATTCTAGATTTCTTAAAATTCATAACTTTGTATCTCCATTTGCATGTTTTAATATTTTGTGTCCACTTACAACTTGTTGTAGCTATAGGTATTATTTACCATTGTGATTTTAACCTTCATAGAGATTTGAAAAATTATATTACTTTATAATAATGGAGTGTTCTGAATTTCACAACAAATTTACCTTTATTAGTTATAGTTTCATATGATTTCCTCTTAGTAACTATATGTTTACTTCCAGCTGAATCACTCCCTTAAGCATTTAATGTAAAGATAATTGATGGTGAGTTTCCTCAACTTTTGTTTGTCAGGTAAAGACTTTATTTCTCTTTCATTTTGGAAGAATAGTTTTGTTGGGTATGGCATTTTTACCTCAATTTATTCCCCAGCACTTTGATATACCATCCCATTCTCCTTAGGCCTGCAAGGTTTCAGCTGATAAATCTGCTGTCAGTCAGATGGAGATCCTTTTATATGTGACTTGACAATTTTCTGATGTTTCTTTTATAATTCTTTAGGTCTTAACAGTGTGATTATAACAGGCCTCAGAGATGACCTCTTTGGGTTGAATCTGGAGTCCTTTGAGCTTCATGGATCTGGATATCCACATCTCTTCCAAAATTTGGGAAATTTTCAGCTACTATTTTGTTAAATAAGCTTCCTGTGCTTTTCTCCATCTCTTCTACTGAAATCTCTAGAATGCAGAAGTTTGTTTGATTAATGATGTACCACCTATTTCATTTGCTCTTTTACATTATTTGCTCTTTTACATTATTTTATTTTTATTCCTTTTGACTGGACTGTTTCAAAACACATTCCTCAAGTTTAAAAATTCTTTCTTCTGCTGGATCTAGTATACTGCTAAAGCTCTCAGTCTTATTTATTTCGTTGGTTGAATTCTTCAGCTCCACAATTTATGTTTGTTTCTTTTCCATTATATGTATCTCTTTGATCAATTTCTCATTCATACTATGAATTGTTTTTCTGATTTTGTTGCAGTGTGTGTCTGTGTACTCTTGTATATTTCTGAGTTTTCTTGAGTCATTATTTTGAATTACTTTTTAAAAAAAATTAGAAATTTCCATTTTGGGGGGTCAGTTACCACAAAATTATTGTGTTTCATTGGTAATGTCATATTTCCTTGACTTTTCATGTGTCTTGTGTCCCTATATTAATACCCATGCATAAGGTGGAATGGTTATCTTTTCCAATATTATCAAGTGTCTTTCATGTGGAGATACTTTTACCTGCTGATGTTTCCTAGGGCTTGATTGGGTAGAGCATGCTGGCTTTGATTCCAGTGAGTGCAATAGCATAGTCTCTATGCAGTTCCTTCAGCTGTAGTCAACACCAGCAATGCCTTTGTGAGCATCAGTGTCTCTGGTGCTGCTCCACTGTGGGTGGGACATAAGCTGCTCCACATGCAGAGGGAGTTCACGATTTATGCATTCATATGTGTGTTGTTCCATGGGGTATGCCACCAAGCTCTTTTGTGTGCCAAGAGAGCATACAGCTGGTCCTCTGCTTGTCTGCTGTTCCCCTTGGGGCAGGACACCAGGCTGGTTCTCACATCAAGAGAGTGCTGAGCTTGCCCACAAGCTTGTGCACTGCTCCCACATAGGCAAAGCACCAGCCTAGTTTGTCCACTGAGGGTGCATGCAGGGGCCTAGCTCTTTGTACTCAGCTTCTGTGCTGTGCACAGCACTAACTATTCTCTGGGTTTGGGGGTGGGGGTGGGTTCAGTGTGCCTTGTGTATTTGGCTGCTAGATTTGCAGCTGTTTTGCTGGAGCCAGGCTTGGAGTAACCAGGGTTGGGGTATGGTAGACACTGGAATGGGGTAGATGGAAGACCTCCTAGGCAGCTTGTTCCAAAGGGGAGTGACCCATAATAGTTTGGCTGAGTAATGGTGTACTACTAGGTATGAGCATGGTGTAATGATGGCAAAACCTCAGGGATGGAGGCATGAAGTGGTTATTGCCCTCATGAGCAAGACACAATATAGCAGTGGCTCCAGTTATAAGATAGCACTGTGCAGCAGCAGCTTAGGTCAAATAAGAACGGGGGCAAATGTGGGCTCTTTCTTTAACAATGCAGCTGTGTGAAATCCTGGCAGCTTTCCAAACTTGGCTCAGCATCTGTGAGAACTGCAGGATTCTTCAGCAGGAAGGACTGCAGACATCCATGATCTTAAGAGGGGCTGTTAGAAACCTCCTTCTTACTTTCTGGTGCAGAGGGAAGTCCCCCTTAGTTCTGAGTGAATCCCATTTGAGGAGATAAAGTAACAGCAGCAGAATACTTTGCTTCCTTGTCTATGAAGCCATCCTGAGCCTGCATGTTCCACAGAGTCTCTGCTACTCCTTTGCTGTGCTCTAGCATTCTTTTTCAGATAATATAGTTAAAATGTAGTTGTTTATTCATTGTTTTTGCCCTTGTTTTATGAGAGGGAAAAGTATGAAGAGCTTCTAAATGGTCTTGCTGATATCAATCCTTTTTTACATTTTTTGTAACTTTTGTTTTTATTTATATTTTTACTAACAGTGTGTAGCAGTAAAGAATACAATGACTAGCAGTGCAATTTAGTGTCATTGCCTTGTTCATGCTAAGGTGCAGCCACTTTGGATAACATTGCTTTTGAAACATGACTACAAATGTCAACATAATGAAAAAGGCCAATTATATCTTAGCATTATTATAAAATAATTTCGACTTCATGGACCCTCTGACAGATCCTAAGTTAACCTTAGATGCTGACATTTTGTGCTTTCCTTTATAATAATCAACATCTTATCTGAATACGTTATCACTTATATATGCTGTGCATGATATATTTCAATGTTTAAAAAGCAATGCAAGGTTATTTCGTATGAGTTTATACAATACAGAGATAAATATAGGAAAAGACATTTGACACACAACCACCACGTACACCTGAGCTAGCAAGGAGAACTGCCTGGAGAGTTGGCAGAGACAGAACTCCAGCCTGTATGGAGTCCAGAGGTTTTGTGTAGAAATGACTGCAGTGGAGCATAGCCATGGCTGCCAATTCCCCAAAGACTGCCATATTCCACCAGGCAGCTCTAGCCTTTGTTGGAACCGAAAAGAACATGGCTGTGTTGCCTGTGGGACAGGGCCAGTCTGATCTGAGCTCCCCCTTATCTGCTAACCTCTGCCAGGGTCCTGCCTAGCTACAGCCACTTGCAGTGCAGCCTCCACTGTTTACCAGCATCCACTGCCATCGATCCCTCAGTGGCAAGCCCTGCTTAACTGTTTGAGTGTTTTTGCAGACAGACTTCCAGCAGCACATGACCACCCACAGCCTTCCCTTGTGGGTGTATGCTTGCCCACAGTCTCCCCTCATCACCCTGCCAGCATGCACATGCGTATGGAAAACACACCACCCTGCAGGCATGAGCAAGCTTTGGGACCCCTGCTGCCCCACTGGCGTGCACCCATGTGGGGGATGACCACAAGCCCACTGGAGTACCTTTGCTAGCAGCGTCTGTTAGTGTTGTCACCAATGGGCTGGGAACACATTGGCCCCTCCAGGGCAACAGATATTTAACCCCCAAGGGGCAAAAGAACAAAGCTGTGGGCCAGGTCCCAGTTCACCAGGGATAGAGCATGTAGCCCAGGAGTGCTCAGCTGAGTCTTAGCCCCTGAAAGCATCTGAAAATGATGCCAATCAACTAAACCTAACTTATAACAGTCAAACCCTCAAGAACATCAAAGAAAGAAAAAAGCAAAAGCCTCATCCAAAAGGCAGCAACTCCAAAAACTAAAGGAACATCAGCCCACACAGATGGAAAAAAGAAAGAAAGAAAGAAAGAAATAGTGCAAGAACTCTGGCAACATTAGAAGTTAGAGTGTCTTCTTACCTCCAAACAAACTCACCAATGGTTCTTAAGCAGACTGTAATGGCTGAAATTACACACATAGAAATTAGAATCTGGACAGCAAGGAAGCTCATCAACATACAAGAGAAACTTGAAAAACATCCAAGGGACACAATAAAATAGTTCAAGAGTTGAAAGATAGCTGCCATTTTAAGAAAAAACAAACTGATCTGAAAATGAAAAATTCACTGCAGGAAATTCAGAGTGCAATTGGAAGCATTAATAACGTAACAGACCAAGCTGAGGAAAAAGTATCAGCACTCAGAAACTTCTCCTTTGATTCAACATAGGACGACAATGGTGAAGAATAGAGAAAAAATGAACAAAAGCTCTGAGAAATGCAGGATTCTATAAAAAGACAGAACCTCAGACTGAATGGCATTCCTGAAAGAGACAGAGAGAGCAAGCAATGTGGAAGAAATATTGGAGTATATTGTCCATAAAAACATCCCCAATGTTGCTAGAGAGATTGACATGCAAATATAGGAAACGCAGAGAACCCTTGCAAGATACTACACAAGACAACCATGCCAAAAGCACAGAGTCATCAGATTCTTCAAGGTCAATGTGAAAGAAAATATGTTAATGGCAGCTAGAGAGAAGGAGCATGTCACCTACAAATGGAACCCCATCAGGCTAATAGCAGAACTTTCAGCAGAAATCTTAGAAACCAGAAGAGAGTGGAGGCCTATAATCAGCATCCCTATACAAAAGAAATTCCAACCATGAATGTCATATTCTACCAAACTAACTTCATAAGTGAAAGAGAAATAAAATCTTTTTCAGACAAGCAAATGCTACAAAATTTGTTAACGTCAGACCAGCCTTTCAAGGGGTCCTTAAGTGAGTGCTAAATATGGAAATGAAAGACCAGTACCTGCAGCCACAAAAACATGCAGAAACAACCACACAGTAAAAGTGGAAGACATCAACATGCCATTGACAAGTTACACAGATAATCAAAGCAAAAAACAAACCAAGGTATTCTGGAATAAATCTTTATACTTGATCAATTGGACCTAATAGCTATCTACAGAATACTCCAACTAACAGTTTTTCTCATCTGTATATAGTATATATTCTAAGCTCAACCATATGCTCCACCATAAAACACATCCAAACTAATTTTAAAAAATATATAATAACAACTACACTCATAGACCACAGTGCAATAAAAATAGAAATCAATACCAAGACAATCCCTCAAAACCACATAATTACATGGAAATTAAGCAACATGCTCCTGAATGACTTTTTGGTTAAGATTGAAAGTAAAGCAGTAACCAAAAAAACTTTTTGAAATTAATGAAATCAGAGTCAATACATACCAGCATCTTGGGACACAGGGAAAACCTGTTAAGAGGGAAGTGGAGAGTGCTGAGCAACTACATCAAGAAATTAGAAAAATCTCAAATTAATACCCTAACATTACACCTGGTGGAACTAGACAAGCAAGAGAGACTCTAAAGTTACTATTTAAAAAGAAATAACTAAAATTAAGAGCTGAGCAAAATCTAGATAGCAAAATCCATACAAAAGATCAACAAAATCAAAAGTTGAATCATTGGAAGAATTGACAAGACCAAAACACTAGGGGATCTATTAGCAAAAAAAAAAAAAAAAAAGGAGAAGATCCAAATAAGCACAAGCAGAAGTGATGAAGATTATGTTGCATGTGACCACACAGAAACACAAAAAAATCTGTAGAGACTATTACAAACACCTCTCTGCACACAACCTAGAAAACACAGAAGAAATGAATACATTCCTGGAAACTCACAACCTCCCAAGATTGAACCAGAAAGAAACTGAAACCCTGAAAAGACCAATAATGCATTCCAAAATTAAATCAGTAATTTAAAAACTACCAAGAAAAAAGCCCTGCACCAAACGGATTCATAGCCAAATTCTGCCAGATGTACAAAGAAAATCTGATACCCATACTACTTAAATTATTCCAAAAAGTCAAGGAGGGAGTCTTCCCTAACTCATTCTGTGAAGCATGAATCATTCTGACACCTAAGCCCACCAATACAAAAAAAAAAAAAAAAAAAAAAAACCCTACAGGCCGACATCTATGATGAACATAGATGCAAAAATCCTCAACAACATACTAGCAAATGAAATCCTGAAGCATATAAAGAAGGTAATTAATGTCTTATTCCTGGGGTGCAGAGATTGCTCAACATATGCAAATCACTGAATGTGATTAACCACATAAACAGATTTCCTTTAAAAAATATATGACTATCTCAATGAATGCAGAAAAGGCTTTTGATAAAATTCATCATACCTCCAATGTTAAAAATCCTCTAAAAATTAGGCACCATAGAACATACCTCAAAATAATAAGAACCATCATTGAAAAACTAACAGCCAATGTTATCCTAAATTGACTAAAGCTGGAAGTGTTCCCCTTGAGAAGTGGAAAAAGACAAGGGTGCCCACCCTCATCACTCCTATTCAACATAGTGCTGGGAAGTCCTAGCCAGAGCAATCAGGCAAGAGTAAGAAAAAAAGGCATCCAAATAAAAGAAAGGAAGTCATTTTATTTCTCTTTACAGATTATATAGTCTTATACATAGAAAGTCCTAAACACTCTGCCAAAAGACTCCTAGAATTGATAAACTACTTAGAGTTTCAGGATACAAAATCAATGCACAAAAATCAGTAGTACTTTTATACACCAATAATGTTCATGCTGAGAGCCAAATGAAGAATGTAATATATTTATGATAGCCACAAAGATAATAAAATACTTAGGAATATAGCTAACCAGGGAGGTGAAAGTTTTCTAGTTTGAGAATTATAAAACTCTGCTAAAATAAATCAGAGATGACAAAAAAAGTAAAACATTCTATGCCTATGAATTTGAAGAATTAATATTGTTAAAATGGCCATACTTCCCAAAGCCATTTACAGATTCCTTGCTATCCCCATCAAACTCTCAATGTGAGTTATTGCAGAATTAGAATAATCTATTCTAAAATTCATATGGAACCAAGAAAAGCCCGAATAGCCAAAGCAATTTTAAGTAAAGAGAACAAAGCTGGAGGCATCACATTATTCAACTTCAAATTATACTACAAGGCTGCAGTAACCAAGCAACATCATATTGTTATAAAACCAGACACCTAGACCAATGGAACAGGATAGAGAACCCAGAAATAAAGCTTCAAATCTATAACAACCTGGTCTTCCACAAAGTTGACAATAACAAGCAATGGGGAATGAAGTACCTATCAATAAATGGTGTTTAGATAACTGGCTAGTCATGTGCAAAATACATTTCACCATATTCAAAACTTAACTCAAGATTGATTAGACATATGTAAGACTAAACTTATAAACATCATAGAAGAAAATCTAGAAAACACCATCTGGACATCATCCTTTGGAAAAAATTTATATCTAAGTACCCAAAAGCAGTTGCAACAAAAACAAAATTTGACAAGTAGGACATAATTAAGTGAAAGAGCTTTTGCACAGCAAAAGAAACCATCAACAGAGTAAACAGAAAACTTCTAAAATGAGAGAAAATATTTGCAAACTATGTATCTGACAAAGGCCTAATATCCAGTTCTGGGATACATGTGCAGAACATGCAGGTTTGTTACATAGGTATACACGTGCCATGGTGGTTTGCTGCACCCATCAACCCGTCATCTACATTAGGTATTTCTCCTAATGCTATCTGTCCCCTAGCCTCCCACCCACCGACAGGCCCCAGTGTGTGATGTTCCTCTCCCTGTGTCCGTGTGTTCTCATTGCTCAACTCCCACTTATGAGTGAGAACATGTGGTGTTTGGTTTTCTGTTCTTCTGTTATTTTGCTGAGAATGATGGTTTGCAGCTTCATCCATGTCCCTGCAAAGGACATGAACTCATCTTTTTTTGTGGCTGCATAGTATTCCATGATGTATATGTGCCACATTTTCTTTATCCCCTGTTCTTAAAATAAAATTTGAAAAAAAAATCAAACTCTAGGGTCAAGAACAAAGAAAGGACCATAAAATCGGTAAGATGGAGCAAATAACTTATGAGGAGCTCTGATAGTCTGAAAGCAAACTTCTCAGCAGAAATCTTACAGAAAAGAGGAGAGTGGGATGCTATCTTCAAAATAATGAAGGAAAAAAAACTTTGAACTTAGACTATTGTGCCTACCAGAGTTTCCTTCAAACATGAAAAAAATATAATGAGTTTTCCAGACAAACAAGATGAGGGATTTCATAACCACTAGAACTGTCATATAAGAAACACTAAAGGGAATTGTTCAATCTGAGAGAAAAGGATGCATTTTATCCAATGACTGCAAAATACACAACCTTCTCATCATTTCATGGACATTCTCCAAGAGAGAACACATATTGGGCTACAAAGAAAGTCTTACAATTTAAAAAAATATATATATAATATCACATATCTTCTTTGACCTCAATTAAATAATACTGGAAATCAATAACAAGAGGAATTTTGGAGACTAAACAAATACATGAAAATTAAATAGCATGCTGTGGAGCAAACAATAAGTAAATAAAGAAATTTAGGAAAAAATCTTAATTTCTTGACAGAAAAATAAAATGGAAATACAAAATATCAAAACCCATGGGATACATTAGTAGTTGTACTAAGAGGAAAGTTTATAGAAATAAATGCATATATCAAAAAAGTAGAAAGAGTTTATAAACAACCTCATGCTGCACCTTTGAGAACTAGAAGAGCAACAACATGCCAAACCTTAAATTAATAGAAAGAAAGAAAGAAGTTATTATGAATAACTATATGCCAGTAATTTTGAAAAACTAAAAAAAAGTATTTACATATATAACCTAAGATGGTGAGCCATGGAAAAATAAAAAATCTGAGCAAACTAATTATGAGTAATGAGATAGAAGCAGTAACCTGATGGTTTCACTGCTGAATTCTATCAAATATTTAAGAAAGAACTAATTATAATTCTACTCAAATTATCCAAAAATTTATGGAGAAGGGAGGGAGAGACTGGATAAAGAAAATGTGGTACATATACACCATGGAATACTATGCAACCATAAAAAGGAATGAGATCATGTCCTTTGCAGGAACGTGGATGAAGCTGGAAGCCATCACCCTCAGCAAACTAACACAGGGATGGAAGACCAAACACTGCATGTTCTTACTCATAAGTGGCAGTTGAACAATAAGAACACATGGACACAGGGAGGGGAACAACACACACCGGGGCCTGTCGGTGGGTGGGGGTGAGGGGAGGAAGAGCACTAGGGCACATAGCTAATGAATGTGGGTCTCAAAACCTAGATGACGGGTTGATAGGTGCAGCAAACCACCATGGCACACCTATACCTATGTAACAAACCTACACATTCTGCACTTGTATCCTAGAACTTAAAGTAAAATTAAGAAAATTTAAAAACAAGAAAACAATTTTTAAAAAGGGTTTATGAATTATCTGATAAAGAATTCAAAATAACCATCTTAAAAATGCTCAATAACTAAAAGAGAAAACAGACAAAATGAGAATATCAATAAAGAGATAGAACCTATTTTAAAAAACTAAGTTCTGAGGCTGAAGAATAGAATAATGGAATTGCAAAATTTGGTAGAGGGGTACAAAAGCAGACTAGATCAAGCAGAACAAATAATTAGCAAACCTTAAAATAGGTCATTTAAAATTTTCATCTCAGATGAGCAAAAAAGAAACAAATGAAGGAAAGTGAAGAGAGTCTAAGAAACTCATGTGACACCATCAACCGGACAAATGTATGCATATGAAATACCCATAAAAAAGTAAAAGGGAAGAGGAATTATTTGAAGAAAGAAGGCCAAAAACTTCTCAATTTTGAGGAAAGTTACATAAAAATGGGAAAAGCTAAAAAATGAAACTCTAAGATAAACCCAAGCAGACTCATACCAAGACAAATTATAATCAAGCAGTCAAAAATCACAGATAAAGAGAGAATCTTATAGGTAGCAGGAGAATAGCTACTCACTGTGCAGAAAGAAGTTTCCATAAGACTATCACCATATTTCCCAGCAGAAACCTTACAGTACAGAAAGGACTGGAATGATATATTCAAAGGGCTGAGAAAAAAAAAAAAACACCCTGAAAAATAAAAACACTATGTTCAGCAAAACTGTTCTTCAAAACTGAAGGAAAAATTAAGACCTTCCAAGATAAACATAAACTGAGGTTTTTCATCCCCTTTACACCTGCCATCAAGAATTGCCAAAAGGAGTCCTTCAAGTTGAAATCAAAAGACACTTGTTAGCAACATAAAACCATAAATAACAAAGATCTCTGGTAGAGGTAAATACGCAGACAGATATTAAATCCTGTGATACTATAATATTGGTTTATAAATCACTTCTAATTCTGGTATGGAGATTAAAGGACAAAAACATGAAAATAACTATGAATCTATGATACCAGATGCACAATATAATTTTGACATCAATAACATAAAGAGGGGCAGATATGTACAAGAATAAAGTTTTCATATGTGGTTGAAGTTAATTTGTTGTCAGCTAAAATATATATTATTTGGGACAGGTGCAGTGGCCAGGCCTAAATAATGTACAAAACATGATTTCCAATCTATTGGAATAAAACTAGAAATCAATAGCGGAAGGGAAACTAGAAAATCCATGAAGACTGGAAATTTAACAATATACTCAAACAACCAACAAGTGAAAGAAGAAATCAGAATGAAAATTAGAAAATACCTTAAGACAAATTAAATTACAACATACCTAAACATATGGGATGCAGCAAAAGCTATATAAACAGGTTGGTATGTAGCAGTAAGCATTTACATTAAAGAAGAAGGAAGATCTCTTAGGAGTAAAATCATGGTTACCAGAGGCTGGTAAGGGTAGTGAAGGATGAGGGGAGGGAGGATTGTTAATGGGTACAAATACATAGTTAGATAGAATAAATAAGATCTAGTGTATGATAGCACAACAGTGTGACTACAGTCAGTCAACAGTAATATATTGTACATTTAAACATAACCGAAAGAGTATAATTGGATTGTTTGTAACACAAGAAGAGGATAAATGCTACAGGTGATGAAAATCCCATTCACCCTGATATGATTACTATGCATTTTATGCCTGTATCAAAATATCTCATGTACCCCATAAATATATACACCTACTATGTACCCACAAAAATAAAAAATAACTCACAAGTGCTGACAAGGATGTAGAGGAATCAGAAATTTTTGTACTGTTGCTGGGAATGCAAAAAGGTTCAGCCTCCATTAAAAACATTATGAAGATCCCCCAAAAATGTAAAAATAGGAGATTCACATGATCCAGCAATCTCACTTCTAGATATTTATCCACCTAAATACTCAGATCTTGAATTCTAGAATTTCAAAGAGATTTAGCATTCTGAATATCAATGCAGCACTACTTACAATAACCAAGAGGTGGGAATAACCTAAATGTCCATCAACAGATGAACAGGTTGAGAAACTCTCTCTCTATATATATACACACACACACATACATATATAATGGAAATTGTTGAGCCTTCATAAACAAGGAAACCTTGCAAAATGCAGCACTATAAATGCATCTTGAGGACATTATGCTAAATAAAACAGAAGGACAAATACTGTGTGATTCCACTTATATGAGTTATCTAAATTTGTCAAACTCATAGAGGCAGAGAGTGAAATGATGATTGTCAGGAGATGGAGAAAGGGAGAAATGGGGAATTGCTATTCATGTGATATAAAGTTTTGGTTATGCAAGATGAATAAATACTAGAGATCTGCTGTAAAGTATTGTGCCCAAATGAAGACTACTGTTTGGAAACTTAAAAATCAGTTAAGAGGGTAGGTGTCATGTTAAATGTTCTTACCAAAATACAATACAATTTTTTAAATAAAATTTAAAAAAAAAAAAGATCTCAAACTAACTACCTAACTTTTCACCTCAAGGGACTAGGCAAAGAAGAACACTATAAAGCCAACCTTATCTGAAGGAAAGAAATAATAAAAAGTAGAGCAGATTCATCCATGTCCCTGCAAAAGACATAAACGTATCCTTTTTTTATGGCTGCATAGTATTCCATGGTGTATATTTGCCACATTTTCTTTAACCAGTCTATCATTGATGGGCATTTGGGCTGGTTCCAAGTCTTTGCTATTGTGAACAGTGCTTCAATAAACATACATGAACATGTGTCTTTATAGTAGAATGATTTATAATCCTTTGGGTGTATACCCAGTAAAAGGATTGCTGGGTCAAATGGTATTTCTGGTTCTATACCCTTGAGCAATCACCACACTGTCTTCACAATGGTTGAACTAATTTACACTCTAACCAACAGTGTAAAAGCATTCCTATTTCTCCACATCCTCTCCAGCATCTGTTGTTTCCTGACTTTTTAATTATCGCCACTCTAACTGGCATGAGATGGTATCTTATCGTGGTTTTGATGTGCATTTCTCTAATGACCAGTGATGATGAGCTTTTTTTCATACATTTGTTGTCTGCATAAATGTCTCCTTTTGAGAAGTCTCTATTCATATCCTTTGCCCACTTTTTGATGAGGATGTTTGTTTTTTTCTTGTAAATTTTGTTTAAGTTTCTTGTAGATTCTGGATATTAGCCCTTTGTCAGATGGATAGATTGCAAAAATGTTCTCCCATTCTATAGGCTGCCTGTTCACTCTGATGATAGTTTCTTTTGCTGTGCAGAAGCTCTTTAGGTTATTTAGATCCCATTTGTCAATTTAGGCTTTTGTTGCCATTGTTTTTGGTGTGTTAGTCATGAAGTCTTTACCCATGCCTATGTCCTGAATGGTATTGCCTAGGTTTTCTTCTAGGGTTTTCATGGTTTTAGGTCTTACATTTAAGTCTTTAATCCATCCTGAGTTAATTTTTGTATAAGGTGTAAGGAAGGGGTCCAGTTTCAGTTTTCTGCATATGGCTAGCCGGTTTTACCAGCACCATTTATTAAATAGGAAATCTGGAAACCATCATTCTCAGCAAACAAACACAGGAGCAGAAAACCAAACATCACATGTTTTCACTCATAAGTGGGAGTTGAACAATGAGAACACATGGACACAGTGAGAGGAACATCGCATATCAGGGCTTGTCAGAGGGTGGAGGGCTAGGGGAGGGATAGCAGTAGAAAAAATACCTAATGTAGCTAGCGGGTGGATAGGTGCAGCAAATCACCATTGCACGTATATACCTATGTAACAAACCTGCACATTCTCCACATGTATCCCAGAACTTAACGTATAATAATTAAAATAAATAAATAATAAAAATTAAAATTAAAGCAGTGATAAATAAAATAGAATTTAGTAAGTTAAAAAATCAACAGAAAAAACAACAAAATTAAGAACTGGGTTTAGTAAGATATCAACAAAATTGACAAGCTTGTAGCTAGGTTGACTAAGAAAAAAGAGAAACCTCAAGTAACTAAAAACAGAAATAAAAGAGCGGACATTATAAATGATGCCACAGAAATAAAAAGTATTATAAAGCAATACATTAAAAAATATAGATCAATAAATTTGGTAACCTAGAGAAAATCTATAAATTATTAAAAACACACAACATACTAAGAGTGAATCATGAAGAGAGAAAAAATCTGAAAGAACCTATAGCTAGTAAAGAAATTGAATCAGTAATTTAAAACTTCACAGCACAGGAAATCCCAGGAACAGATACCTTCACAGAAGAATTCTATCTAACTTTTTTTTTAAATAATACTAATCATCTTCAAATTCATCCAAAAATTGAATATAATATTTCCAAACTCATTTTACAAAGCCAGTGTTACCCTGATACCAAACCATATACTGTTACTACAAGAAAACTATAGACCAATATCCCTGATAAACATGGATGCAAATATATTCAACAAACTACTAGTAAAATAGAATCCAAGAACACATTACAAGAGTGGCCATGTAAAATGTATTGCTGGAATGAAACAATTGTCCTAAATATGAAAATCAATGTATTAATCCACATTAATAAAATTAAGAGAAAACCCAGATGACTATCTCAATTGATGCAGAAAATCATATGAAACAATTCAACCCTCCTTCATGACAAAAAAGCCAACAAATAAAGAATAGACAATAATTGCCTCAACATAATAAAGGCTATATATGAAAAGTTCAAAGCTAACATGCTCAATGTTGAAAGACTGAAAATTTTTCATCTAAAATGAAGAACAAAGAAGGAATGACTATTCTTGCCCCATCTATCCAATATAAAACTGAAAGTTCTAGTCAGAATAATTAAGTGACAAAAATAAATAAAAGACAACAAAATTTGAAAGGAACACATGAAGTTATTTCTGCAGATTGCATGATCGTGTATGTAGAAAACCCTAAAGAGTCCATAAAGAGAAACTGCTAATGGTTAAAAATGAATTCGAAGAAGTTAATAGTTATTAAAAAAAAATAAATCAGTTACACTTCAATGAACTAATAATGAACAATCTGAAAATGAAATTAAGAAAGCAATCCCATTCACAATGGCATGAAAAGGAGTAAAATAGAAACAAATTTAACAACAGAGGAAAAATATTTGTACATTGAAAACTACAAACCATTGCTGAAATAAAGCATAAATACATGGAATGGCATTTCATGTCCATGGATTATTTTTTCTTCCCTTAGAAATGTGTTTTATTCTCATGGGTTGACACCTAATTGTTAATATAAATGGTAAATTTCACATTGTTCCCTAAAATAAGACAGATATTCTGCTGGCAAGTAGAAAAATAGACTAATTTCATTTTTATCTGTTATCTTACTAAAAAAAAAGACAAAGAAGCCAATTTTAAATTTTAGAAACAAACAATTTTGGCACATGTTTAACCAACACATGTTTTTGTATTCAGAACTAACCTAAGAGGTAAGTATTATCTCATTTTCAAAGGTGGGGAAACTGAGACTCTGGAGGTTATTTAAAATAACAAAAGTGCATATTTAGTAACAGGCATAGTTACAATTCAAATTCAAAAAAATGTTTATTCCTGTATAAATGTAATACCTACTTAGTAGAGAATATTTGATAAAAAAGTAAGAAGAAAATGAACGCAAATTCCTGGCAGTGCTAGCCAGATAAACATTTTGGTACACTCTGTTCAGTCCTTTTGCTGTGTATATGTTTTAAAATGTGAACACAAGACATATCAAACTAGACATATTAATATTTTAAAAATTAGCATCTAATTTTTTAAAAAAGCATACATATATTATGGAAAATTTGGAAAATACTGAAATGAATAAAAATTAAATTTACCTAGAATCTCATTAGCAAAAAATACCCATAATTAATATTTTCATATGTTCCCTTAGTCTTTTTATCTCAATTTTCTTTTTACATAGTTAAATTCATAAAGTACAAGATTTTTATGTATACTTAACAAAGGTTTACTTAGATGACAACACAGACAAACTTGGTGACAGATTTGCCACTGAAGTAATTCAGTGGGTTTTAGTTTTGTACAAATTTATGAGATGTATGTGCAGTTTTGGTATATGCACAGGTTACATAACAGTCAAATCAGGGCTTGCAGGGTATCCATCACCTGAATAATGTGCATTGTACCCATTAACAAATTTCTAATCGTGTTCCACTCTCTCAGCCTCACCCTTCTGAGTGTCCATTATCTATCATTCTACTCTCTGCATCCATGTAAAAAACGTTTTTAGCACCCACTTATTGGGGAGAACACGTAATACTTATCTTTCTGTAACGGGCATGTTTTGCTAAATATAATGATGTCAGTTCCATCCATGTTGCTGCAAAAGACATGATTTCATATGGCAGAATAGTATTCCATTGTGTATATATACCACAATTTATTTATCCAATCATATGTTGATGAACACTTAGGTTGATTCCATATCTCTGCTATTGTGAATAATGCTGTATAAACATACAAGTGCAGGTAGCTTTTAATATAATTGATTTCCCTTTGGGTAGCTATCCAGTAGAGAGATTGCTAGATGAAATAGTAGTTCTATTATTACCCCTTTGAAAAACCTCCATACTGTTTTTCACAGACTACACTTGTTTATATTGGCACAATGTGTAAGATTTCCTTGTCTCCAAATCCTCGCCAACATCTGTTACTTTCTGTATTTGTAATAATGCCCATTCTGACTGGAGTAAGATATAATCTCACATTGGTTTTGACTTGCATTTCTCTGATAGCTAGTGATACTGAGCGTTTTTCATATACATATTGGCCATTTGTATATCTTTTATTTGAAAAATGTCTGTTTATGTCCTTTGCCCAGTTGTGAATGAAATGTTTTATCATTGTTGAGTTGAGCTTGTTATATATTCTGAATATAAGTCTTCAGTTGAATGAATAATTTGCAAATACTTTCTTCCATTCAACAGGTTGTTTCATCACTCTGTTGATTACATCTTTGCTAGGCAAAAGGTTTTAAATTTAATTAAGTCACATTTGTCCATTTTTGTTTCTATTGACTGTGCTTTTGTGGTCTTAGTCATAAAGTATTTGCCTAGACAGATGTCCAAAATAATTTCCCCTTGGTTTTCTTTTTTTTCTTTTTTTTTTTTTAATAATTTGGGGTCTTCTGTTTAGGTTTTTAATTAATTTTGAGTTGATTTTTGTATATGACAAAATAAAGTAGTCTAGTTTCATTCTTTTATATATGACTATCCAATTTTCCCAGCACCATTTATTGAAAAGTGATTCACTTCCACAATGTATATTATTGCTGCCTTTGTCAAAGATCACTTGGCTGTATTTATGTGGCTTTATTTCTGGGTTCTCTATTCTGTACCATTGACCTATGCATCTGTTTTTTTACCAGAACCATGTTGTTTTGCTTACTGTCGCCTCATAATATTACCGAAGTGAGGTAATGCACTATTCTAGCTTTTTTATTTTTGCTCAGGAACACTTTAGTTATTAGGGTTCTTTTTTGGTTCCATATAAATTTTAATTTTTTATAATACTGTGAAAATGATGTTGGTATTTTGATAGGAATTGCACTGAATCTGTAGATTTCTTTGTGTAATATGGTCATTTTAATGATATTAATTCTTCTGACGTATGAGCATAGAATGTTCTTCCATTTGTTTTTGAAATCTTCAATTGCTTTTATCTGTGTTTTGTAGTTTTCTTTGTAGTAATCTTTCTCCTCCTTGGCTAAATTTATAAGCAGGTATTTTGTTTGTTTTTGTAACTATCATAAATGAGATTGCCTTCATGCTTTCTCAGATCATAATTAGCACATATAAATTATACTGATTTTGTGTGCTGATTCTTGTATCTTGAACCTTTCCTGAATTCATTTATCAAATTTAAATATTTTTGGTGAAGTTCTTAGGGTTTTTCTATATCTAAGATTATATCTTTGGCAAACAGAGATTATTTAACTTCGTCTTTTTCTAATTGGATGTCTTTTATTTATTGCTGTTGCCTGGTTGTTCAAGTTATCACTTCCAGTACTACATTGAAAAGTAGCAAACATGGGTATTCTCGCTTTGTTCCAGTTGTTAGAGGAAGTGCTTTCAGCATTTCCCCAGTTAGTATGATGTTACCTGGTGGGTTGTCATATGTGGCCTTTATTATTTTTAGGTATGTTGCTTCTGTGGCTAGTTTTTTGATTTTTTTACCATGAAGGCATGATAAGTTTTATCGAATGCTTTTTCTTTGACAATTGAAATGATAACAAGGTTTTTGTTCTTGATTCTGTTGATGTGATATATCACATTTACTTATTTGCCTATGTCGAACCATTTTTACATCCCTGGTATAACACCCACTTAATCATAGTATGTGGTCTATTTGACATGTTGTTAGATTCAACTTTGCTAGTATTTTGTTGAAGATATTTGTGTCTAGCTATATTAAAAATATTGGCATATATATATATGTGTATATATATGTGCATATATATACACATATATATATATGTGCATATATATACACATATATATATATGTGCATATATATACACATATATATATGTGTATATATATATATATACACATATATATATGTATATATATATATATACACACACACATATATTTGCTTCCTTATTTTGTTTTGGTATCAGAGTGATCCTGGCCTTGATGAAGTTGGAATTAATTCACTCCTTTTCAAGTTTTTGGAATAATATCAGTATGATTGGTATAGTTCTTTATTTATTTGGTAGAATTCAGCTGTGAATAATCCATTCTTGGCTTGTTTTTGTTTTGAGACTCTATAGCAGCCTCAGGCTCATTACTCATTCGTTGTCTGCTCAGATTTTCTATTTCTTCCTGAATCAATCTCAATAGATTTTATGTTTCCAGAAATGTATCTGTTTCTGATAGGTTTTCTAGATTCTAAGCATACAGTTTTCATAATAGTCTCCAATAATCTTTTTTTATATCTGTGGTATAAATTTCAATGTTTCCTTTGTCATTTCAGTGTTTATTTGGGTCTTCTTCCTTTTTTGTTAGCTTAGCTCACAGTTGATCAATTTTCTTTATCTGTCCAACTTCAAATTTCATTGATTCTTTGTATTATGTTTTTAGCCTCAACTTCATTTAGCTCTGTTTTAATATTTGCTATTTCTTTTCTTCTGCTAAATGTAATCTTGATTAGTTCAGGCTTTTCTAGTTGCTTAATATGCATCATTAAATTGTTACTTTGTAATCTTTGTACTTTTTTTGGACGTAAGCCTTTATTACCATATACTTCTCTCTTAACACTCCTTTTGCTGTAACCAACAAGTTTTACTACATTGCATTTCCATTTTTGTTTCAAATATATTTTGCTTTCCATCTTAAATTCTTTATTGACCCAATGGTCATTCACAAACATGTTGTTTTCTTTCCATATATTTGTATACTTTCTAAAGTTCCTGTTGGTATTAATTTCTAGTAGTGTTCCACTGTGGTCTGAAAAGATACTTGATATAATTTCAATTTTTAAAAATTGTGTTGAAGCTTTTTCTTGTGGCCTATCCTGTGGTTCATATTGGAGAATGTTCGATGTGTTGATGAAAAGAATGTATATTCTTCAGTTGTCAGGAAGAATGTTCTCTAAATATCTATTACATCCATTTAGATTTATAGCCTAGTTACAACAAATGTTCTTTGTTGAATTTTTGTCTTGACAATCTGCCTAATATTGTGAGTGGAGAATTAAATCCCTAATTATTATTGTATTGCAATCTATCTCCTCTTTTGGTCTAGTGATATTTATCAATTTGGATGCTCCAATGTTGGGTAAATACATAATTAGAATTGTTACATTCTCTTGCTGAATTGATTTCTTTATCATTATATAATCACCTTTTTAATTGTTTTTGACTTAATGTCTGTTTGATCTTATAAAAATGTAGCTACTCCTGCCCAATTTTGATGTTCATTTGGAAGGACCATTTTTTCTACCCCTTTTCTTTCAGTTAATAGTTCTTTTAAAATAAAGTAACTTTCTTGTAAGAAGAATTTGGTTAGATCGTTTTTTACCATTTTGTCAATCTGTATTTTTTAAGTTGAGATTTTAATATGTTTATGTTCATAATTATTATTGACAATTGAGGTTTTCTTCCTGCCATATTGTCAACTGTTTTCTGCTTGTTTCATAAGTTATTTTTTTTCCCACGTTGTTTGTCATTGTGGTTTGGTGGAATTCTGTAGTAGTGCCATTTGATTCCTTTCTCTTCCATTTTTGTGTGATTGCTTTTCTAGTGAGTTCTATTTTTGTGTGTTTTCATAATGGTAAATGTCCTTTTGCTTTCATGTGTTTTCATAATGGTTAATGTCCTTTTGCTTTCATGTTTAGGACTTCTTGAGCATTTCTTGTAGGGCCAATCTAATCGTGACAAATTCCCTCAGCATTTGTATGGGAAAGACTTTATTTATACTTCATTTATGAAGGCAAGTATTGCTGAATATAGTATTCACCGTCAGCAGGGTTGTTTTTCTTTCTACACTTTGAACATATCATCCATTTATTTTCTGGCCTTTGAAGTTTCTGCTGAGAGGGTCATTGTTAGTTGGATAGTTTTTCTTTAATAGGTAAATAGATGACTTTCTCTTGCTGTTTTTAAAAATCATTGTTCACACTGACTTTAGACAGTTATATTATAATGTGCTGTGACGAAGATTTTTTGTATTCTATTTCTTTGGATCACTGAGCCTCTTGTGTTTGGATGTCTAAACCTCTTGGTAGACTTGGGAAGTTTTCATCTGTTATTTCATTAAATTACATTTTCTAAGCTTTGATCTATCCTCACATTTAGGAATATTAATAACTTTCATATTCAGTTGATTTATGTTGTCCCAAAGATCTTGGAGGCCTTGGTTTTTTTTAATTCTTTGTTCTCTTATTTTTGTCCAAAAGAATTATTTCAAAAGACCTTTCTTTAAGTTGTAAGTGTTTTTCTTCTATTTTGTATAGTCTATTTTTGAAGCTTTTGAATGTATTTTGTATTTCCTTAAATTAATACTTCAGTTCTAGAATTCCTGTTTTAAAATAGATATATATATATAAAACATTTAAAATATATATGTGTATAAAACATTATATATGTGTATATATGTATATATGTGTATATATATGTGTATATATGCATGTATGTATATATATGTATCTATGTGTATATATGTATATATATGTATATATGTGTATATACACACATATATACATATATATTAAAATAGATATATATAAAACATTTAAAATATATATGTGTATAAAACATTATATATGTGTATATATGTATATATGTATGTATGTATATCTGTGTATATATGTATATATGTATATATGTATATACATATATACACACAGATATACATACATATATACATACATACACATATATATGTATATATGTATATGTATATATACATATATGTATACATATATATGTGTATATATTATACATATATATGTATATAATATATATATGTGTATATATTATACACATATACATTATATATATAATATATATATGTGTATATATAATATATATATATATTTCTCATTTATACACTGATTTGTTTTTCTGAGTTCTTTGTATTGGTATTCAGACTTCTCTTGCATCTCACTGAGCGTCTTTATTTTGGATTCTTTAAATGGCATTTTGAGATTTTTTTTCTGTTGTTTGAATCTCTTGCTGGTGAATTATTGTGTTCCTTTAGGGGTGTCATATTTCCATGCTTTTTTATGTTTCTGTGTCTTTATGTTGACATCTCTGCATCTGGTGTAACAATCACTTCTATTTTTAAATTTACTTTCCTTAGGGGAGACTTTTTCCTGAAGGTGTTTCTATAATGTTGGTTGTGTTGAGCCCTTTGGCTTTGGCTCAAGACGCATGCAGCAGTTAAATCTCTGTATAGTATTTTTGGTTGTAAAGAGCTATCTGCGGTTTCCTTCTGTGTGTTTGGGTATGCTTGTTAGTGAAGGCTTTAGTAAAGCTGTGCTAGGGACTGACACCAGTTGGGCCTGTCTTCAGGCTTCAGCGGTCACAGTGGTAGCTAAGAGCATCCATCCTCGTGCCAAGGGGTGGTGTACACTGGTACCCACATTGGTGGTTCCAGGTGGGCCAATTCTTGGGCCCCTGGGTGTCTTTCTTGAATGGCAATTGTGTTATCAGTGAACTAAGTAGGAAAGTGGGCTCTTAAGCCCCTGTGCAGTCAACATAGTGTAGTCAATAGCAATAGCAATGTAAGATGTCCTTCTGGTTCCCAAGCATTATGTGCTCATGTTGGCAGTGGTCGTGATGGGCTTTTTGGGCCAGCAACTAACACTTCCAAGTAGAAGCCAGTTGACGTGGTAGTTGCAGGGTGTTTAGGCCAAATCTCAGTTCCCTAGGAAGAGTGCTCAGGTGCCTCAAGTGGTGGATGGGGTTGTGCAATCTGCAGGATCCCGAACCATGCATTCTCTGAGGCAAAGGCAAAGCTGGACCTGTGGGCTTACACTTATGTCCTTCAATGGTGAGTGCAGGGAAGGTCTGCAGCCTGGAGCACCTAAAATAGGAAATGTAGGCACTGCACTAGTGATCAGAGGATGTTCCACCAAGGCCTAGAATCAGACCCAATGAGGTCATTTCTCTCCAACAAACCACAGATAACTACTATGAACATTCAGAAATGCAGAAGAGTCACGTTGTTGAGTAAGCGCCTATCTACCAGCCATTACCATTATATGCCATTTACTAGATTACAGCCTAAGTAACAACATCAAAAAATTTTTTGCCAGTATACAGTGCCTGAGAAACCCAAGGCAAAAATCCAATCACTAATAAAGATCTTATAAAGAGCCCTGGTCTCCTGAAAGCACACAGAATTAAAACCAACTGACTATAATCAGCTTTCAACACAGTTAAGGGAACACCAGCCCCCTCAGAGGAGAAAGAATAAGTGCAAGAATTATGAAAATTAAAACAACAACAACAGCAAAAAAAAAAAAAAAAAAAAAAAAAAAAAAAAACTTAGCATCCCCTTACCTCCAAATAAACAAACTAGCCTTTTTGACAGATATGGAACTCATTATCTGAATGGAAAGAAAACTCATCGAGATTCAGGAGAAAGTTGAAACCCAATCCAAGGAATCCAGGGAATCCATTAAAATGATCTAAGAACTGAGAGATGAAACAGCCATTTAAAGAAAGAACCAAACAGACCTCCTGGAATTAAACATTTCACTACAAAAAGTTCATAATACAGTAGGAAGTATTGACAGCAGAATAGACCAAGCTGAGGAAAGATTCGTAGAGCTCAAAGACTAGTTTTTCAAATCAACTCAGTCAGACAAAAATAAAGAAAAACAAATAAGAACAATATACAAAACCTCCAAGAAATATGAGATTATGTAAAGCAACAAAATCTATGCATCAGTGGCATGCCTGAGAGAGGAGAGAGAATAATTAACTTGGAAAATATATTTGAAAATATAGTCCATAAAAATTTTCCTAATCTTATTGGAGAGTGTGACAGGCAAATCAAAGAAATACAGAGAACTCCAGCTAGGTACTATACAAGATGACCATCCACAAGGAACATAGCCATCAGATTCACCAAGGTCAATGGGAAAAGTAAAATCCTTAAAGGCAAGTAAGGGAAAAGGTCATGTCACTTTCAAAGAGAACTCCATCAGGATAGCAGCACACCTCTCAGCAGAAACCTTTAAAGGCAGAAGACACGGGGGTGTATTGTCAGCATCCTCAAAGAAAAGAAATTCCAACTAAGGATTTCATGTCCTGGCAAACTAAGCTTCATAAATAAAAAATAAAGTCCTTCCCAGATGAAGTGTGTTACCACCAGACCAACCTTAAAAGGGGTCCTTAAGGGAGTGCCAAACATAGAAACAAAAGAATGATGCCTGCTACCACAAACAATTCAAGCAAATAGCCCACAGATAATATAAAGCAATTACACAATGAAGTCTACAAAACAACTAGCTAACAACATGAGTACAGAATCAAAATCTCATCCATTAATACTGACCCTGAATGTAAATGGTCTAAACACCAAACTAAAAAGGCAACCATCTGCTCTCTTCAAGGAATTTCTCTCACATGTAACAACACTGAAAGGCTCAAAGCAACGCGATGGAGAAAAACTTACCATGCAAATAGCAAACAAGAAAAGCAGGAGTTGCTATCTTTTTATAAGATAAAACAGATCTTAAACCAACAACAATCAGGAAAGACAAAGAAGGGCATAATATAATGATAGAGGATTCAATTCAACAAGAAGACTGAATTATCTTATATATACATGCACCCAATTTGGAGCACTCAAATTCATAAAACAAGTTCTTTTTGACCTAAGAAAAAACTTAGCCACACAATAATAGTGGGAGATTTCAAAACCCCACTGACAGCCTTAGACAGATCTTTGAGGCAGAAAACTAACCAATAAATGAAGGATATAACCTTAACATTTGACTAATTGCACCTGATAGACATCTGCAAAATAGTCCACCCAACAATCATGGAATATATATTTCTCTCATCTGCACAAGGAATGTATTCTAAGATTGACCACAAGTTTGGTCATACAGCAAGTCTCAATAAATTCAAAAAAATTTAAATCATACCAAACACACTCTTGGATCAGAGTGCAAAAAGTATAGAAACCAATATAAATAAAATATTTCAAAAATTCACAAATACATGCAAATTAAATAACTTTTTCCTGAATAACTTTTGGGTGAACGATGAAATTAAGGTATATATCAAAAGATTATTATAAGTTAATGAAAATAAAAAATAACTTACCAAAATCTTTGTGATTCAGGTAATGCACTGTTAAGAGTAAAGTTTAAGATGTTAAAAGCCTGAATCAAAAAGTTAGAAAGATCTAAAATCAGTGATCTAATCACACCCAAAGGAACTAGAAAATAAATTGCAATCCAAACTCAAAGCTTGCAGTAGAAAATATGTAACTATAATTGGGTAGAACCAATGAAATTGACATGCAAAAGTTCATACAAAAGATCAATTTAACCAAGAGTCTCTTTTTTGAAGGAATAAACAAGATAGACTGCTGGCTAGATTAACAAAGAAAAAAAAAGTCCAAATAAATGCAATCAGAAATGACAAAGGTGAAGTTACAACTGATCCTACAGAAATACAAAAGATCCTCAGTGGTTTTTATGAACACCTCTATGGACACAAATTAGAAAATCTAGAAAAAATGGATACATTTCTGAAAACACACAACCTCTGAAGATTGAACCAGGAAGAAAGAGAAATCTTGAAAAGACAAATAACAAGCTTCGAAATTAATTCAGTAATTAAAAAAAACCTACCAATGCACAAAAGACATCGACCAGATGGATTCACAGCTGAAGTCTACCAGGAATGCAAAAAGAAAGGGAAGGGAAGGGGAGGGGAGAGGAGGGAAGGGAAGGGAAGGGAGAAAACCTGGTACCAATACTACTGAAACTATTCCAAAAAAAAAAAAAAATTGAGGAGAGGATGCTCTTTAACTCATTCTAGAAATCAAGCATCCTGATGCCAAAATCTGGCACAGACACAACAACAAAAGTCATGACTATATCCCTGATGAATACAGACAGAAAAAATTTCAACAAAATACTAGCAAACTTATTTCAGCAGCACATCAAAATGTTAATTCACAACAGTTGAGTAAGCTTTACTCCTGGGATGCAATGTTAATTCAACATAAGCAAATAAAAAAAAGTGATTTACCACATACACAGAATTTAAAACAAAAAAAGATATAATCATCTCAATAGATTCAGAAAGAGACTTCAATAAAATCAAACATTCCTTCATGATAAAAACCTTAGAAGAATAGTCATCAAAAGAGCATACATCAAAATAATAAGAGCTAATTATGACAAACCCACAGCCAACATCATATTGAATGGGCAAAAGACAGAATAATTCCCCTTGAGACCTGCAGTAAGACAAAGGTGTCCAGTCTCACCACTCCTATTCAACATAATACTGGAAGCCCTAGCCAGAGCATTTAGGCATGAGAAAGAAATAAAGGGCATTCAAATAGGACAAAGACAAAGTCAATCTCTCTCTGCTGACAATATGATTCAAAAAGACTCTCCCAAAAGGCTCCTGGAATTGATAAATGACTTTAGTAAAGTTTCAGGACACAAAATTCATGTACAGAAATCAGTAGCATTTCTACACTTCAATAATATTCTTGGTAAGCCAAATAAAAAATGCAATCCCATTTACAATAGCCACACCAAAACTACAATATCTAGAAATACCACTAACCAAAGAGGTGAAACATCTTTACAAAAAGAACAACAAAATACTGCTGAAAAAATATGAGATGAAACAAACAGAAAAATATTCCATTATCATGGATTGGAAGAATCAATATCATTAAAATTGCCATACTTTCCAAAGTAATTTACATATTCAATGTTATCCCTATCGAAATACTGTTATTTTTCACAGAATTTAAAAAAAAAAAAAGCTATTCTAAAACTCATATGGAACCAATAATACATCTGAACAGCCAAAGGGATCCTAAGGAAACAAAAGGCAAATAAATCACTTTACCCAACTTAAAACTGTATTGTACGACTAATGTAACCAAAACCACATGAAGCTGGTATAAAAACAGATATATAGACCAATGGAACAGAATGGAGATCCCAGAAATAAAGCTGCAAACCTACAACGATCTGATCTTAGACAAAATTTACAAAAGCAAGGGTAACAGGACTTCCTATTCAATAAATGGCGCCGGGATAACTGGCCAGCCATATGCAGAAAAATATAACTGGATCCCTACCTTTCACCATATGCAAAAATTAACTAAATATAAATTAAATATTTAAATGTAAGATCCCAACCTATAAAAATGCTAGAGGAAAGCCTAGGAGATACCCTTCTCAACACTGGACTAGCAAATAATTTATGGCTAAGTCTCCAAAAGCAATTTCAAAGAAAATTTGGCAAGTGGGACCAAATTAAGCTAAAGAGCTACAGCATAGCGAAAGAAATTATCAAAAGAGTAAACATACAGTCTACAGAATGGGAGAAAATATTCAGAAACCATGCATCCAACATAAGTCTAATATCCAGAATCTATAAGGCACTTAAAGAAATCAACAAGCAAAAAGTAAATAATCAATTAAAGAGTGAGAAAATGACATGAATGGACACTTCTCAAAAGAAGATGTACAAGCAGCCAAGAAACCTATAAAAAATGATCAACATCACTAATCATCAGAGAAATGCATATAAAGACCACAATGAGATACTGTCTCACACAAGTCAGAATGGCAATCATTGAAAAAATCCAAAAATAACTGACACTGATGAGGCTGCAGAGAAAAGAGAATGCTTATATACTGTTGGTAAGAATGTAAATTAGTTCAGCCCTTTGGAAAGGAGTTTGGAGATATCTCAAATAACTTAGAACTGCCATTTAACCCAGTGATCCCATTACCAGATATATACTCCAAGGAAAATTATTTGTTCTACCAAAAAGACAAATGAACTCATATGTTTATCACAGCAGTATTCAGAATAGCAGAGACATGGAATCAATCCAGCTTCCCATCAACAGTGGACTGAATAAAGAATATGTAGTACCTTTACACCATGAAATACTATGCAGCCATAAAAAGGAATAAAATATTCCTTTGCAATAGTATGGATGCAGCTAGAGGCCATTATTATCCTAAGCTAATTAACACAGGAACAGAAAAGAAACTACCACATCTTCTCACTTGTATGTGGAACTAAACCTTGAGTACACATGGACAGAAAGAAGAAAACAAGAGAAACCAGAGCCTACTTAAAGGTGGAGGATGGGAGGAGGGCAAGGATCAAAAAACTACCTATCAGGGACTGTGTTCACTACGTGAATGATGAAATCATTTGTACACCAAACCACATGGACACACAATTTACCCATGTAATAAGCCCGCATATGTGCCCCCTGAACGTAGAATAAAATATGGAAGGGAAAAAAAATAGGTCAACTCCTAGCAGGCCAATTTTCAGTACTCTTTTTGTGCGTAATTCTTTAAAGTCATGAAGAGCTAGGATTTATCTTTCTTTTTAACTTTTAAGTTTAGGGGTACATGTGCAGGTTTGTTACATAGGTAAACGTGTCATGGGGGTTTGTTCTACAGACTATTTCATCATCCAGGTATTAAGACTAGTACCCATTATTTATTTTTCCTGATCCTAACCATCCTCCCACCCTCTGCCCTCTGAAAGGTCCCCAGTGTTTGTTGTTCCCCTCTATGTGCTCACATGTTCTCAACATTTAGCTCCCACTTATGAGTGAAAATATGTCACATTTGGTTTTCTGTTCCTGCGTTAGTTTGCTAAGGATAATGGCCTCCAGTTCCATCTATGTCCCTGCAAAGGAAATGATCTTGTTCTTTTTCATGGCTACATAGCATTCCATGGTGTATACGGACCATTGTTATAGTACTGATTCCTAAAAACCATGATCAAATGAGGATTTATTCTTAGCATATTTTTATGATTAATCTAAAGTTCAAAATATTCTGCTTTACTATACCACAATTATATTTATTAGACTACCTTATATTACCTTTAAATCACTTTTTGAAAGCCTAGAAGATTTTAAGTTCCTTGAATGCAGGGAGTCTGCTTTGACATTCTTACCACCATAAATAATACAAAATAAATACTCCTTGAATTCATTGAAAAAACAGTAAATGCCAATAACTGGAGTTTCTAGGTGACAGAATTTTTCTTTCCACTGTTTCTGAAACTGTGTTATTTTACCCTTTAAATGAGGGAAAATCAAATTTAACTGATAAGTCATTTTAGTACAGTGGATAGAAAACAGCCTCCTGTAATCCAAGTAGGTTTGAATCCTAGCACTATGATTTACTTGTTTAACTATTTAATTTGGAGCCGGTTTATTTAATCTTTCTGAGCTTTGAATTTGTCATTTGTAAATTGGGGATAACTTTCTGAAAAAAAAAAAAACAACTATTATAACTATTGAAAGACATTAGTTATAGGAAAGCCTTGCACAATTTTGTGCACCAATCCCAGAGTTGGTGCTCAATAAACAGTAGCTAGTTTTATTTAAGAACATTGAGAAATATATAATAATCACCCTGATAAGCAAGATAATCCTGCTAGAACAAAATTTCTGAATTGCTCTGAATTATAAAAGTAGAACCACCCTTCTGATCATATTAACATTACCTGGAGAAGGCTTGTGTCCAAATATACCATTGAAGAAAGCAGGCATTCGAATGCTACCACCAATATCAGAGCCCACACCAATAACTGAGCAGGCAGCTGCCAGTGTGCAGCCCTCACCACCTACAAGAAACACAAAATACTTGCAAATAAATAATCTAATATACTATTTGCATGGAATATCTTTTTCCATCTTTTCACTTTCAACCTTTTTGTGTCTTTAGATCCAAAGTGAGTCTTTTGTTCACAGCATATATTTAGATCATAATTTTATTCTATTCATCTATATTACTTGAGAATATTAAGCCATTTACATTTTAAAGTAATTACTGATAAGGTTTTCCCTGAGGATATTTCTTCCCCGGGTCTGTGTTTGTGTGTCTGCTTTTTCTTAATTCTCTCATATAGAAAAGAGTTCTTATTTTTTTTTTTCCATCAACTTTTAAGTTCTGGGGTTCATGTGCAGGATGTGCAGGTTTGCTACACAGGTATATGCGTGCCATGGTGGTTGGCAGCACAGATCAACACATCACCTAGGTATTAAGCCCAGCAGCCATTAGCTATTCTTCTTGATGCTCTCCTTTCTCCCAACATCCCCCAACAGGCCCAAGTGTGTGTTGTTCCCCACCATGTGTCTATGTGTTCTAATCATTCAGCTCCCATCCCACTTATAAGTGAGAACATGCTGTGTTTGCTTTTCTATCCCTGCATTCGTTTACTGAGAATAATGGCTTCCAGCTCCATCCATGTCCCTGCAAAGGACATGATCTTGTTCCTTTTCATGGCTGAATAGCATTCCGTGTTGTATTTGTACCACATTTTATTTATTCAATCTATCATTGATGGGCATTTGGGTTGATTCCATGTCTTTGCTATTGTGAATAGTGCTACAATGAACATATGTGTGCATGTATCTTTATAATAAAATGCTTTATATTCCTTTGGGTATATACCCAGTTTGATGGTTAATACTGAGCGTCAACTTGATTGAATCAAAAAATGCAAAGTATTCTTCCTGGGTGTGTCTGTGAGAGTGTTGCAAAGGAGATTAATATTCGAGTCAGTGGACTGGGAGAGGCAGGCCCATCCCCAGTCACAACAGGCACCATCTAATCAGCGTGGCTAGAATAAAGCAGATAGAAATTGGAAAGAGCAGAGTTGCTGTGTCTTCCAGCATTCATCTTTCCTCCATGCTGCATGCTTCCTGTCCTCAAACATCGGACCCCAAGTTCTTCAGCTTTTGGACGCTCGGACTCACACAAGTGGTTTGCCGGGGGCTCTTGGGCCTTTGGCCACAGATTAAAGGCTGCATTGTCAGCTTTCCTACTTTTGAGGTTTTGGGACACAGACTGGCTTCCTTGCTCCTCAGCTTGCAGACGGCCTATTGTGGGACTTCAACTTGTTATCCTGTGAGCCAATACTCTTTAATAAACTCCCCTTCATGTATAAATCTATCCTATTAGTTCTGTCCCTCTAGAGAACCCTGACTAACACACCCAGTAATGGGATTGCTGGGTAAAATGGTATTTCTGCTCCTAGATTTTTGAGGAATTGCTACACTGTCTTCCACAAAGGTTGAACTAATTTACATTCCCAACAACTGTGTAAAACATTCCTTTTTCTCTGCAAGCTAGCTAGCATCTGTTGTTCCTTGGCTTTTTAATAATTGCCATTCTGACTGGTGTGAGATGGTATCTCATTGTGGTTTGATGTGCGTTTCTCTAATGATCAGTGATGTTGAGCTATTTTTAATGTTTGTTGGCTGCATTAATGTTTTCTTTTGAGGAGTCTCTGGTCATGTCCTTTGCCTACTTTTTAATGTTTTTTTCTTGTAAATTTGTTTAAGTTCCTTGTACACTGCATATTAGACCTTTGTCAGATGGATAGATTGCAAAAATTATCTCCCATTCTGTAGGTTGTCTGTTCACTCTGATGATAGTTTATTTTGCTTTGCAGAGGCTTGTTAGTTAACTAGATTCCATTGGTCAATTTTTGCTTTTGTTGCAAATGCTTTTGGTGTTTTCATCATGAAATGTTTGCCCATGCCTACGTCCTGAATGGTACTGCCTAGACTTTCTTCTAAAATTTTTATAGTTTTGTGTTTTAGGTTTAAGTCTTTAATCCATCTTGAGTTAATTTTTGTACAAGGTGTAAAGAAAGGGTCCAGTTTCAACTTTCTGCATATGTCTAGCTAGTTCTCCCAGCACGAATTATTAAATAGAGAATCCGTTCCCCATTGCTTGTTTTTGTTAGGTTTGTAGAAGATCAGATGGTTGTAGTTGTGCAGTCTTATTTCTGAGTTGTCTATTCTACTCCATTGGTCTATGTGTTTGTTTTGGTACCAGTACCATGCTGTTTTGGTTACTGTAGCCCTGTAGTATAGTTGGAAGTTGGGTACCATGATGCCACCAGCTTTGTTCTTTTTGCTTAGGATTGTCTTGGCTACTCGGGCTCTTTTTTGTCTCCACGTGAATTTTAAAATAGGTTTTTTTTTCCTAATTCTCTGAAAAATGTCAATGGTAGTTTAATAGGAATAGCATTGAATCTATAAATTACTTTGGGCAGTATGGCTATTTTCACGATAATGATTCTTCCTATCCATGAGCATGGATTTTTTTTTTCCATTTGTTTGTGTCCTATCTGATTTCTTTGAGTAGTTTGTAGCTTTCCTTGAAGAAGTTCTTCACTTTCCTTGTTAGCTGTATTCTTAGGTATCGTATTCTTTTGTAGCAATTGTGATTTGGAGTTCATTCATGATTTGTCTCTACTTGCCTGTTGTTGGTGAATAGAAATGCTGGCAATTTTTGCACATTGAGTTTGTATCCTGAGTGTCAGGCCTCTGAGCCCAAGCCAAGCCATCGCATCCCCTGTGACTTGCAAGTATATGCCCAGATGGCCTGAAGTAACTGAAGAATCACAAAAGAAGTGAAAATGTCCTGCCCCACCTTAACTGATGACATTCCACCACAAAAGAAGTGTAAATGGCCAGTCCTTGCCTTAACTGATGACATTCCACCACAAAAGAAGTGAAAATGGTCGGTCCTTGCCTTAAGTGATTACATTACCTTGTGAAAGTCCTTTTCCTGGTTCATCCTGGCACAAAAATCTCCCACACTGAGCACCTTGCGACCTCCACTCCTGCCCGCCAGAGAACAAACCCCCTTTGACTGTAATTTTCCTTTACCTACCCACATCTTATAAAATGGCCCCACACCTATCTCCCTTTGCTGACTCTCTTTTCAGACTCAGCCCGCCTGCACCCAGGTGATTAAAAGCTTTTATTGCTCACACAAAGCCTGTTTGGTGGTCTCTTCACACGGACGTTCATGAAACTGAGACTTTGTTGAAGTTGCTTATCAGATTAAGAAGCTTTTGGGCTGAGATGATGGGGTTTTCTAGATATATGATCATGTAATCTGCAAGCAAAGGTAGTTTGACTTCCTCTCTTCCTATTTGAATATGCTTTATTTCTTTTTCTTGCCTAATTGTCTGGCCAGAACATCCAATACTATGTTGTATCAGAGCAGTGAGAGAGGGCATCCTTGTCTTGTGCTGGTTTTCAAGGAGAATGCTTCCAGCTTTTGCCCATTCATTGTGATATTGACTGTGAGTTTGTCAAATACAGATCTTATTATTTTGAGGTATGTTCCTTCAATACCTAGTTTATTAAAAGTTTTTAACATAAAGGGATGTTGAATTTTAGTGAAGGCCTTTTCTGCATCTATTGAAATAATCATGTTTTTTATCTTTAGTTCTGTTTGTGCAACAAATGACATTTATTGATTTGCATATGTTCAGCCAAACTTGCATCGTAGGGATGAAACCAATTTGTTCATGGTGTATAAGCTATTTGATGTGCTGCTAAATTCTGTTTGCCAGTATTTTATTGAGGGTTTTTGCATTGATGTTCATCAAGAATCTTGGCCTAAAGTTTTCTATTTTTATTTTTTCTCTGCCAGGTTTTCTTATCAGGATGATGCTGGCCTCATAAAATGAGTTAGAAAAAAATCCCTCTTTTTCAATTTTTTGGAATAATTTCAGTAGAAATGGTATCAGCTCCTCTTTGTACCTGTGGTAGAATTCAGCTGTAAATCCATCTGGTCCTGGGCTTTTTTTTTTTTTTTTCGATTGGTAGGCTATTTATTACTGCCTCAATTTTAGAACTCATTATTGTTCTATTTAGAGATTCAATTATTTCTTGGTTCGGTCTTGGGAAAGTGTATGCCTCCAGGAATTTTTTTCCATTTCTTCTAAATTTTCTAGTTTTGTCCATACAGGTGTATATAGTAATCTATGATGGTTGTTTGTATTTCTGTGGGGTCAGTGGTAATAACCCCTTATCATTCCGATTTTGTCTATTTAATTCTCTCTTTTCTTCTTTATTAGTCTAGCTAGTGCTCTATTTTATTTATTTATTTTTTTTTTCAAAAGAATAGCTCCTGGATTCGTTGATTTTTGAAGGATTTTTTGTGTCTCTATCTCCTTCAGTTCTGCTCTAATCTTGGTTATTTCTTGTCTTCTCCTAGCTTTGGGATTTGTTTGCTCTTGCTTCTCTACTTCTTTTAGTTGTGATGTTAGGTTGTCAGTTTTAGACCTTTCTAGCTTTTTGATGTGGGGATTTAGTGCTATAAATTTCCCTCTAAACAGTGCTTTAGCTGTGGCCCAGAGATTCTGATATATTGTGTCTTTGTTCTCATTAGTTTCAAAGAACTTCTTGATTTCTTTGTTAATTTCATTATTTACCCAAAAGTCAAAAGTCATTCCGGAGCAGGTTGTTTGATTTCCCCGTAGTTGTGTGGTTTGGTGTGGGATGACTTTCTTAATCTTGAGTTCTAATTTGATTGTGCTGTAATGTGGGGAAAAGAAAGAGAGATCAGATTGTTACTGTGTCTGCGTAGAAAGAAGTAGACATAAGAGACTCCATTTTGTTCTGTACTAAGTTTCATGCGCGTCCGTGTGAAGAGACCACCAAACAGGCTTTCTGTGAGCAATAAAGCTGTTTATTTCACCTGGGTGCAGGTGGGCTGAGTCTGAAAAGAGAGTCAATGAAGGGAGATAGGGGTGGGGCCATTTTATAGGATTTGAGTAGGTAAAGGAAAATTACAGTCAAAGAGGGGTTCTTCTCTGGCGGGCAGAATGGGGGTCTCAAGGTACTCAGTGGGGGAGCTTTTGAGCCAGAACGAGCCAGGAGAAGGAATTTCACAAGACAATGTCATCAGTTAAGGCAGGAACAGGCTATTTTCCCTTCTTTTGTGGTGGAATGTCATTAGTTAAGGTAGGAACCAGCCATCTGGATGTGTACCTGCAGGTCACAGGGGATATGATGGCTTAGCTTGGGCTCGGAGGCCTGACACTAAGAAAAATTCTTCTGCCTTGAGATGATGTTGATCTGTAACCCTACCCCCAACCTTGTGCTCCCTGAAACATGTGCTGTGTCAACTCAGGGTTAAATGGATTAAGGGCTGTGCAGGATGTGCTTTGTTAAACAAATGCTTGAAGGCAGCATGTTTGCTATGAGTCATCACCACTCTGTAATCTCAAGTACCCAGAGACACAATACACTGCAGAAGGCCGCAGGTACCTCTGCCTAGGAAAGCCAGGTATTGTCCAAGGTTTCTCCCCATGTGATAGTCTGAAATATGGCCTCGTGGGAAGGGAAAGACCTGACTGTCCCCCAGCCCAACACCCGTAAACGGTCTGTGCTGAGGAGGACTAGTAAAAGAGGAAGGAACGCCTCTTTGCAGTTGAGATAAGAGGAAGGCATCTGTCTCCTGCTCATCCCTGGGCAATGGAATGTCTTGGTGTAAAGCCCAGTTGTATATTCCATCTACTGAGATAGGGGAAAACTGCCTTAGGGCTGGAGGTGGGACATGCTGGCAGCAATACTGCTCTTTAAGGCGTTGAGATGTTTATGTATATGCACATCAAAAGCACAGCACTTTTTTCTTTACCTTGTTTATGATGCAGAGACATTTGTTCACGTGTTTACCTGTTGACCTTCTCTCCACTATTATCCTATTGTCCTGCCACATCCCCCTCTCCGGGAAACGCTGGATAATGATCAATAATAATACGGGTCCTCCTTATGCTGAACGCCGGTCCCCTGGGCCCATTTTTCTTATTTTTCTTTCTCTATACTTTGTCTCTGTGTCTCTTTCTTTCTTTTCCAAGTCTCTCATTCCACCTAACGAGAAACGCCCACAGGTGTGGAGGGGCAACCCATCCCTTCACTGTAATCTGAGAGACTGTTTGTTATGATTTAAGTTCTTTTGCATTTAATGAGGAATGTTTTACTTCAAATTATGTGATAAATTTTAGAGTAAGTGCTATGTGATGATGAAAAGAATGTGTTTTCTATTGTTTGGGGGTGGAGAGTTCTGTAGATATCTATTAGGTCCACTTGATCCAGAGCTAAGTTCAGGTCCTGAATATCTTTGTTAATTTTCTGTCTCAATGATCTGTCTGATATTTTCAGTGGGGTGTTAAGTTCTCCCACTATAATTGTGTGGGAGGCTAAGTCTCTGGTTTTAAATGTTTCCATTTATTCTCCTCTCTTGCCACTTAATGCATACTTTTTTGTTACTTTAATATTTGCCCTTGAGTTTGCAATATACATTTAGAACTAACTCAAGTCTCCTTCAAATGATACTCTGCCACCTCCCAAGTAGTGTAGTTATCTTATAAAGGAACATTCCCAATTCCTTTATCCCATCCCATATAACAATGTTGTCATTCATTTCACTCATAGACAAGCTATAATCACCCAACACATTGTTGGCATTATTATTTTGAACAATTACATGTTACAGCAATCAATAATTTAAAAATACATTATTTTACCTTTGTTCAATCTTTCTCTAATAATTTTCTTTTTTTTTTTACATTAATTCAGGTTTTTGGTTTGTATTCTTTTTTTCTCTATGAAGAACATCTTTTAACATTTCTTGCTCTGTTGCTCTACTGGTAACAAATTCTGTCAATATGTCTTTGTCTCAGAGCATCTTTATTTCTTTTTCACTTTTGAAGAATAGATCTGCTAGACAGAGATTTAAGTTGATGGTTCTTTCAGTGGTTTAAATATTTGACTCCCATCTTTGTGTGTGTGTGTGTGTGTGTGTGTGTGTGAGACGGAATCTCCCTCTGTCACCTAGGCTGGAGTGCAGTGGCATGATCTCGGCTCACTGCAACCTCCACCTCTCGAGTTCAAGCAATTCTCTTGCCCCAGACTCCTGAGTAGCTGGTATTACAGGCACCTGCTGCCAGGCCTGGCTAATTTTTGTATTTTTAGTAGAGATGGGGATTCAACATGTTGGCCAGTCTGGTCTCAAGCTCCTAACTTCAAGTGACCCAACTGCCTTGGCCTCCCAAAGTGGACTCCCATCTCTTATTGTTTGCATGGCTTCTGAAGAAAATACCAATATAATTCTGTCTTTGCTCTTCTACAGATAAGGTATGTTTCTCCTTCTTCTTTAAATATTTTCTTCTTTCTCCTTAACCTTCTAAGGATGAAATATTATGCTAGGTGTAGTTTTTTTCAAACATTTATTGCTGTTTCTTAAAATCTTTCTTCTCTTCCTAGTGTTCCAATTACATATGTGTATTATATGCATTTGTAATCCAACAGTTATTAGATAGTCTCTTCTGTCTTTTTCAATCTTTTTCTTCCTCTTTGCATTTCAGTTTTGGAAGTTCTTTTTGACAGATCTTCCACATCACCGAAGGTTTCCTGTTTTGTATACAATATATTGATGAGCCCATCAAAGATGTTCTTCATTTCTGTTATATTTTTTTTTTATTTCTAGCATTTGCTTTTGATTCTTGAAGTTCCCATCTGTCTTCTTACATTACAGATCTGTACTTGCATGTTGACCAGTTTTTCCATTATAGCCCTTACTATATTAATCACAAATGGTTTCAATTCTCAGTCTGATAATTTCAATATCTCTTCCATATTGGAGTCAAATCTTGATGGTTGCTTTCTCTTTTCAAACTGTGATTTTGTCTTTTAGTATGCCTTATAATTGTTTTGTTGAAAGCCAAACATGATGTACTGAGATAAAAGAACTGGGGGTATTTGGCCTTTAATGTGAGGTTTTATGTTTCCCTGGCTAGGGGTTAGTCTGTGTTTACTGTCTGCTGTAGCCATAGGTGTCAGGTGTAAAATTTTCAACTAGTGCCATTGTTTCCACCTCCTCTGTTGTCTTTGAGTTTCCCTAGAGACTTCTTAAATAACACCTATGATGTACTGTTCTTCTGGTTTATATAGAACTCCCATTATAGAAAATCCCTATTTGTGTAGTGATAAGGTGTGTGGAGACAAGGAGAGGAAGTATTTTATAGTCATATGATTAGGTCTCAGTCATTTAGTTAGCATGTGCCCCTGCTCTGTGACCCTAACATGTGCTTCCCAATTTTATTCTGCTTTGACCCCTTCAGTAGGACAGGAAACCTAGAGAGGACTGGAGTTGGATATTTCATTTCCCCTAGGTCAAGTCCATTAGTTTCTTGTAAAACCTTACTAAGTTAGGTTCTGAAAAAATAGTTTCTCTGAGGACATTCCTTGTTAGAAGAACAGTATGCTTTGGAAGCAGAATTTCAAAATGGCTACTTTTTCCCTCCCTGTGCAAGAAGCAAGAGAAGATTTCTCTCCAATCTTCACTCAGGAACACAGTAGGACTCCTGAAGGTAAAACTTTTGAAATTGTGTGGGGCCCCTAAGATCCCCCCACCCAACCACCACATACATTTTGATTCTCAAACTTTTTCACAATGAACCTCCAGCAAGTCATCAGTTATAGCTTAGGTTTCTCTAAAGCTGTGCTGGTTCCCCTGAAATTTTCTGCTCCTAGGCTTTTGTTCTAGCAAGTTTCACTTCTTTGTATCTGCCTGTCTTTTCATTCAGTTTTGGGAAGAGTGGTTTTCCCGTTACCTCAGCATATTGATAAATTTAAGAATTGTCATTAACTTTTAGTTTGTTCAGCTTTTGTTCTTATTGTGTGAATTGGAGTAAAAACTTCTAAACCCCATATATGCTAGACCAGAAACCTGAAGTCACACTTAAATTTTTAATCATCACAGTAACCTTACAAGTCTGATTTCTTTCATATGGCCATCTTACAAGCAAAGAAAACTGACTTAATGAGCACCTACTTCATGTGACCAAGGTCATATATTAAAAGAAGTCTCAAATGTCTATGTAGCTTTAGCACCCACAAGTTTAAACATCATATTTTGCTAACCCACATATGCATCCATTCAGGCTTAATAAAAGCCTTGTCAATTCTAGTGTCTATACACTTTTTTTTCCTAGTCTCTAAACACTTTACGATGTTTCCTATCTACATCACTTGTAGTTCATTCTCAATTCCCTTTGCTGGCTACTTCTCCTCTATCTATCTTCAAAATATCAGAGTTGACCAAGGCTGTTACATGACTCCCATTTCTTCTCCATCAACACACAAATATCCTGGGTTTTTGCATCCATTCTTATAGGTCATAGATGCTATACTGTATCATGTTTATTAATACAATTCATAATTATTATTGTTAGCATAGCTATTCATGCCATACTAAAATGTCCAACTCACCAGAACTTCCACCTACAATATGCTGTAAATCATATGGGTTGTTTGATCGGCCATAGATCTTGTTACTGGATTCATACCACATACACAACTCACTACAGTTGGTTATGCCAAGAGGAATGGCACCAGCTCCCTTCAGTAATGCCACCACAGTGGCATCTGTTTTGGCAATGGCATCACGACGGTTCATGAGTCCAGAAGAATTGGGCATTCCTAAAAGAGTCACAGAAAAGAATGTTTAAAAATTATTAAATAAAAATAGTTGTTTTCTCCTGAGGGGCAAGATGGCCAACTAGATGTAGCCAGAAGGAACATCTCCCACAAAGGGTTGGGGCATTGGAAAGACTGGCACACTGCTAGCAGATCTTCAGAGAGAAGGCATTGAGGGTGGATGGAGGGAAGACACAGATGCTGGGCTGAATGGGGAGGAAGCTGGGAACCCTGCACAGGGCTACTGTTCACTGGGACTTGCTCCTTGCTCCCAGCAACACCTGGGGAAAAGGTGAGTTGAACAGTCAAGGAGCAACCCACTTTCTACATGGGCCTCTAGAATCATAGAAGGAAAAATACCCTTGACCACCATGGACACTTGGATTAGCAGGGAGAGGTGCTCAGAGAAGTGGTAGGGGCAGAACTCAAGCTGGAGCAGAGCCTGGAAGACTTGATGCCAGAACATCTGGAGGAGCACAACAAGGGTTGCCCATGCCCCTAGGCTAGACTGGCTCCCACAGGAGACTTAAGCCCTAGGGGAACTGTCAGACCTGAAATCTGCAGGGTGGTTTTGCCCATGATTCAGGTCCAGTCCAATCTGAGCACCCCTCATTCTGCTGGCTTCTCCCAGGGCCCAAGTCTGATCCTGCCTGCTTGCAGTGCAGCCCCTAAGTACGTCCTGGGGCCCTGCATCACAATTCCTGACCTGTCAGGTGGATAGCACCTGACCTGCAAAGTCCTGGAACAGACCTGCCACAGAAGACAAGCCCAGCTAGCCCATACCCTCCTATTGGGGAACCTGCCCCGATAGTCACATAGGTTCTTTTCTATTTTCCCTAAGCATCAGCCAGTTTGAGAAATAAAGGAACAGAGTACAAAAGAAAGAAATTTTAAAGCTGGGCATCTGGGGGAGACATCACATGTCGGTAGGTTCCGTGATGCCCCACAAGCCGCAAAACCAGCAAGTTTTTATTAGGGACGTTCAAAAGGGGAGGGAGTATACAAATAGGGTGTGGGTCACAAAGATCACCTACTTCACAACATAATAGAATATCACAAGGCAAATGGAGGCAGGGCAAGATCACAGGACCTCAGGACCGGGGCAAAATTAAAATTGCTAATGAAGTTTCGGGCACCATTGCCATTGATAACATCTTATCAGGAGACAGGGTTTGAGAGCAACCAGTCTGAACAAAATTTATTAGACAGGAATTTCCTTTTCCTAATAAGCCTGGGAGCGCTATGGGAGACTGGGATTTATTTCATCCCTAAAGTTTCAACCACAGAAGACGGCCACACCCAACGGGGCCATTTTAGAGACCCACCCTTGGGGCGCATTCTCTTTCTCAGGGATGTTCCTTGCTGAGAAACAGAATTCAGTGATATTTCTCCCATTTGCTTTTGAAAGAAGAGAAATATGACTCTGTTCCACCCGGCTCACCGGTGGTCAGAGTTTAAGGTTATCTCTCTTTTTCCCTGAACAGTTGCTGTTATCTTGTTCTTTTTTCAAGGTGCCCAGATTTCATATTGTTCAAACACACATGCTCTACAATCTGTGCAGTTAACGCAATCATCACAGGGTCCTGAGGTGACATACATCCTCCTCAGCTTGTGAGATGACAGGATTAAGAGATTAAAGTAAAGACAGGCATAGGAAATCATAAGGGTATTGATTGGGGAAGTGATAAGTGTCCATGAAATCTTCACAATTTATCTTTAGAGATTGCAGTAAAGACAGACATAAGAAATTACAAAAGTATTAATTTGGGGAACTAATAAATGTCCACGAAATCTTCACAATCCAAGTTCTTCAGCCATGGCTTCAGCTGGTCCCTCTGTTTGGGGTCCCTGACTTCCTGCAACACCCTGCCACTACGGCAGCCTCCCTTGTGCCACTTTGCCTACATGCACTCGCCCACGATGACCTCCAACATTGCTTTATTGGTACTTGTGTGTGTGTGTGTGTGTGTGTGTGGACCTTGTCTTCCCTTCTCTACCAGCACACATAATTGTGTGCACCCTGCCATGCCACTACTCCTGGCATGAGTGCACCCTACCTCTTCCCCCCACTGCACCACCATTGTTGTCAGATCATTGGCAAGCAGAAAGCACATCAGCACTGCCCCCAACAGTACCTACTTTCAGTGCTGAAACAGCTGCCGGCAGAAACTAGGCATGCAAAAAGTGGACCCACCCTCACCCTGAGTAGCCACTGCCACCTACAGGAACATGCATAGAGGGCCCACACAGACTTGTGCCAACCAGAGCACCCCACCTCCATGATAACAATGCCACCAGTGTAAATGTATGCACAGTTGCTGCTAGAAAGCCCTATGCCCCCAGTCATACTGTCAATGCAACCAACAACTGCAAACACCTGCATGATGGCCACCTACTGGCCCACAAAAGGCAATGCAGTCAATATTGCCAATTGCTGTGAATGATCTCACAAAGGTCAGCACCCTGGTACCTGCTAGCACTGTGCTGCAGCTGAGGAGCATAAACCCATACATACTGCAGTGGGAGTTGCAACTGGCACATAAAAATAAGGGCAGATACTGCTGCCAGAGCCCTATGAAGTTCTTTGGCTGGCACTTACCCATTGAAGTATTATGACCAGTGATCTGGCAGCACCTTGTCCCTTCTAGTGGTCCAGGAGGACCTCAGCCCTCCCAGAAGGTTCCTAACCTTCAAAAGTCAGAGAAGAAAGTGGGGACCTCATACCAGTCCCCCAGAGTTAGAGCATGCAATCCAGGAGTACTGAGCTGAGTCTTGGCCACTTTAAATGTTCCAGAAATGAAGCCAGTCAAATGAACCTACCTTATACCATAATCAAATCGCCCAAGGTTATCAACTAGAATAAAAGAAAAACTCTCACCCAAAAAACAACTTTAAATGTTGAAGAAACAACAGACCCACAAAAATAAGAAAGAACCAGCACAAGAACTCTGACAATTCAAAAAATCAGAGTGTTTTCCTTCCTCCACACAAACACACTAGTTCTCAAGCAAGCATTCTTAAGCAGGCTGAGATGGCTGAAATGAGATAAATAGAATTCAGAATATAGATAGAAAGAAAGATCATTGAGATCCTGGAAAATATTAAAACCCAATCTAAGGAAGCTAGAATTCACAATAAAAACATACAGGAGCTGAAAGACAAAATAGTCAGTATAGAAAAAAAACACAATCAACCTGATAGAGCAGAAAAACATACTATAAAAATTTCATGAAAAAATAACAAGTGGCATAGTGGTTCTCCCAGCACGCAGCTTGAGATCTGAGAATGGACAGACTGCCTCCTCAAGTGGGTCCTGACCCCCGAGTACCCTAACTGGGAGGCACCCCCAAGTAGGGGCAGACTGACACCTCACACGGCCAGGTACTCCTCTGAGACAAAACTTCCGGAGGAACGATCAGGCAGCAACATTTGCTGTTCACCAATATTCGCTGTTTTGCAGCCTCTGCTGCTGATACCCAGGCAAACAGGGTCTGCAGGGGACCTCCAGCAAACTCCAACAGACCTGCAGCTGAAGGTCCTGACCGTTAGAAGGAAAACTAACAAATAAAAAGGACATCCACACCAAAAACCCATCTGTACATCACATCATCAAAGACCAAAGGTAGATAAAACCACAAAGATGGGGAAAAAACAGAGCAAAAAAACCAGAAACTCTAAAAATCAGAGCACCACTCCTCTTCCAAAGGAATGCAGCTACTAATCAGCAATGCAACAAAGCTGGATGGAGAATGACTTTCACGAGTTCAGAGAAGAAGGCTTCAGATTATCAAACTACGGCAAGCTAAAGGAGGAAGTTTGAACCCATGGCAAAGAAGTTAAAAAAACTTGAAAAAGGATTAGATGAATGGCTAACTACAATAATCAAGGCAGAGAAGTCCTTAAAGGACCTGATGGAGCCAAAAACCACAGCACCAGAACTACATGATGAATGCACAAGCCTCAATAGCTGATTTGATCAAGTGGAAGAAAGGGTACCAGTGATGGAAGATCAAATGAATGAAATGAAGTGAGAAGAGAAGTTTAGAGAAAAAGGAATAAAAAGAAATGAACCAGCATCCAAGAAATATGGGACTATGTGAAAACACCAAATCTATGTCTGATTGGTGTACCTGAAAGTCACGGGGAGAATGGAACCAAGTTGGAAAACACTCTGCAGGATATTATTTAGGAGAAATTCCCCAATCTAGCAAGGCAGGCCATCATTCAGATCCAGGAAATACAGAGAACAGAACAAAAATAACCCTCAAGAAGAGCAACTCCAAGACAAATAATTGTCAGATTCACCAAAGTTGAAATGAAGGAAAAAATGTTAAGGGCAGCCAGAGAGAAAGGTTGAGTTACCCAAAAAGGGAAGCCCATCAGACTAACAGCTGATCTCTCGGCAGAAACTCTACAAGCCAGAAGAGAGTGGGGGCCAATATTCAACATTCTTAAAGAAAATAACTTTCAACCCAGCATTTCATATACAGCCAAACTAAGCTTCATAAGTGCAGGAGAAATAAAATCCTTTACAGACAAGCAAATGCTGAGAGATTTTGTTACCACCAGGCATGCCCTGAAAGAGCTCCTGAAGGAAGCACTAAACATGGAAAGGAACAACCGATACCAGCCACTGCAAAAACCTGCCAAATTGTAAAGACCATCAAGGCTAGGGAGAAACTGCATCAACTAATGAGCAAAATAACCAGCTAAGATCATAATGACAGAATCAAATTCACACATAAAAATATTAACCTTAAATGTAAATGGACTAAATGCTCCAATTAAAAGACACAGATTGGCAAATTGGAAAAGGAGACAAGACCCATCAGTGTGCTGTATTCAGCAAACCCATCTCACATGCAGAGACACACATAGGCTCAAAATAAAGGGATGGAGGAAGATCTACCAAGCAAATGGAAAACAAAAAAAGGCAGGGGTTGCAATCCTAGTCTCCGATACAACAGACTTTAAACCAACAAAGATCAAAAGAGACAAAGAAGGCCGTTACATAATAGTAAAGGGATCAATTCAACAAGAAGAGCTAACTATCCTAAATATATATGCACCCAATACAGGAGCACCCAGATTCATAAAGCAAGTCCTTAGTGACCTACAAAGAGACTTAGACTCCCACACAATAATAATGGGAGACTTTAACACCCCACTGTCAACATTAGACAGATCAACGAGACAGAAAGTTAACAAGGATATCCAGGAATTGAACTCAGCTCTGCACCAAGCGGACCTAATAGACACCTACAGAACTCTCCACCCCAAATCAACAGAATATACATTCTTCTCAGCACCACATTGCACTTATTCCAAAATTCACCACATAGTTGGAAGCAAAGCACTCCTCAGCAAATGGAAAAGAACAGAAATTATAATAAACTGTCTCTCAGACCACAGTGCAATCAAACTAGAACTCAGGATTAAGAAACTCACTCAAAACCCCTCAACTACATGGAAACTGAACAACCCGCTCCTGAATGACTACTGGGTACATAACGAAATGAAGGCAGAAATAAAGATGTTCTTTGAAACCAATGAGAACAAAGACACAACATACCAGGATCTCTGGGACACATTCAAAGCAGTGTGTAGAGGGAAATTTATAGCACTAAATGCCCACAAGAGAAAGCAGGAAAGATCTAAAATTGACACCCTAACATCACAATTAAAAGAACTACAGAAGCAAGAGCAAACACATTTAAAAGCTAGCAGAAGGCAAGAAATAACTAAGATCAGAACAGAACTGAAGGAAATAGAGACACAAAAAACCCTTCAAAAAAATCAATGAATCCAGGAGCTGGTTTTTTGAAAAGATCAACAAAATTGATAGACCACTAGCCAGACTAATAAAGAAGAAAAAAGAGAATAATCAATTAGACGCAATAAAAAATGACAAAGGGCATGTCACCACTGATCCCACAGAAATACAAACTACCATCAGACTACTATAAACACCTGTATGCAAATAAACTAGAAAATCTAGAAGAAACGGATAAATTCCTCGACACCTACACTGTCCCAAGACTAAACCAGGAAGAAGTTCAATCTCTGAATAGACTAATAACAGCCTCTGAAATTGAGGCAATAATAAATAGCCTACCAACCAAAAAAAGTTCAGGACCAGATGGATTCACAGCAGAATTCTACCAGAGGTACAAGAAGGAGCTGGTACCACTCCTTCTGAAACTATTCCAATCAATAGAAAAATAGGGAATCCTCCCTAACTCATTTTATGAGGCCAGCATCATCCTGATACCAAAGCCTGGCAGAGACACAACCAAAAAAGACAATTTTAGACCAATATCCCTGATGAACATCAATGCAAAAATCCTCAATAAAATACTGGCAAACTGAATCCAGCAGCACATCTAAAAGCTTATCCACCATGATCAAGTGGGCTTCATCCCTGGGATGCAAGGCTGCTTCAACATACACAAATCAATAAATGCAATCCAGCATATAAACAGAACCAACAACAAAAACCATTTGATTATCTCAATAGATGCAGAAAAGGCCTTTGACAAAATTCAACAACCTTCATGCTAAAAACTCTCAATAAATTAGGTATTGATGGGACGTATCTCAAAATATTAAGAGCTATCTATGACAAACCCACAGCCAATATCATACTGAATGGGCAAAAACTGGAAGTATTCCCTTTGGAAACTGGCACAAGACAGGGATGTCCTCTCTCACCACTCCTATTCAACATAGTGTTGGAAGTTATGGCCAGGGCAATTAGGCAGGAGAAGGAAATAAAGGGTATTCATTAGGAAAAGAGGAAGTCAAATTGTCCCTGTTTGCAGATCACATGATTGTATATTTAGAAAACCCCATCATCTCTGCCCAAAATCTCCTTAAGCTGATAAGCAACTTCAGCAAAGTCTCAGGATATAAAATCAATGTGCAAAAATCACAAGCATTCTTATACACCAATAACAGAAAAACAGAGAGCCAAATCATGAGTGAACTCCCATTCACAATTGCTTCAAAGAGAATAAAATACCTAGGAATCCAACTTACAAGGAATGTGAAGGACCTCTTCAAGGAGAACTACAAACCACTGCTCAATGAAATAAAAGTGGATACAAACAAATGGAAGAAAATTCCATGCTCATGGGTAGGAAGAATCAATATCATGAAAATGGCCATACTGCCCAAGGTAATTTATAGATTCAATGCCATCCGCATCAAGCTACCAAAGACTTTCTTCACAGAATTGGAAAAAACTACTTTAAAGTTCATGTGGAACCAAAAAAGAGCCCGCATTGCCAAATCAATCCTAAGTCAAAAGAACAAAGCTGGAGGCATCATGCTACCTGACTTCAAACTATACTAAAGGCTACAGTAACCAAAACAGCATGGTACTGGTATCAAAACAGAGATATAGACCAATGGAACAGAACAGAGCCCTCAGAAATAATGCCACATATCTACAAACATATGATCTTTGACAAACCTGACAAAAACAAGCAATGGGGAAAGGATTCCCTATTTAATAAATGGTGCTGGGAAAACTGGCTAGCCATAAGCAGAAAGCTGAAACTGGATCCCTTCCTTACACCTTATACAAAAATTAATTCAAGATGGATTAAAGACTTAAATGTTAGACCTAAAACCATAAAAACCCTAGAAGAAAACCTAGGCAATACCATTCAGGACATAGGCATGGGCAAGGACTTCATGTCTAAAACATGAAAAGCAATGGCAGCAAAAGCCAAAATTGACAAATGGGATCTAATCAAACTAAAGAGCTTCTGCACAGCAAAAGAAACTACCATCAGAGTGAACAGGCAACCTACAAAATGGGAGAAAATTTTTGCAATCTGCACATCTGACAAAGGGCTAATATCCAGAATCTACAAAGAACTCAAACAAGTTTACAAAAAAAAAAAAAAAAAAACAACCCCATCAACAAGTGGGTGAAGGATATGAACAGACACTTCTCAAAAGAAGACATTTATGCAGCCAAAAGACACATGAAAAAAATGCTTATCATCACTGTCCATCAGAGAAATGCAAATCAAAACCACAATGAGATAACCATCTCACACCAGTTAGAAAGGCAATCATTAAAAAGTCAGGAACAACAGGTGCTGGAGAGGATGTGGAGTAATAGGAACACTTTTACAATGTTGGTGGGACTGTAAACTAGTTCAACCTTTGTGGAAGTCCGTGTGGTGATTCCTCAGGGATCTAGAACTAGAAATACCATTTGACCCAGCCATCCCATTACTGGATATATACCCAAAAGATTGTAAATCATGCTGCTATAAAGACACATGCACACGTATGTTTATTGTGACACTATTCACAATAGCAAAGACTTGGAACCAACCCAAATGTCCAACAATGATAGACTGGATTAAGAAAATGTGACACATATACACCATGGAATAGTATGTGGCCATAAAAAAGGATGAGTTCATGTCCTTTGTAGGGACATGGATGAAGCTGGAAACCATCATTCTCAGCAAACTGTTGCAAAGACAAAAAACCAAACACCGCATGTTCTTACTCATAGGTGGGAATTGAACAATGAGAACACATGGACACAGGAAGGGGAACATCACACACTGGGGCCTGTTGTGGGGTGGGGAAAGTGGGGAAGGATAGCATTAGGGGATATACCTAATATTAAATGACAAGTTAATGGGTGCAGCACACCAACATGGCACTTGTATACACAGGTAACAAACCTGCATGTTGTGCACCTGTACCCTAAAACTTAAAGTATAATTAAAAAAAAGGAAAACAAAACAAAACAAAAAAAAAAAGAAATCACAAGCATTAGCAGCAGAATACCCAAGCTGAGAAAAGAATATTGAAGCTTGAAGATTGACTTTTTAAAATAAAACAGTGAAACAAGAGTAAAGAAAAAAGAATTTTTTAATGAACAAAACTTCCATGAATTATGGAATAACATAAAGAGACCGAATCTAGAACTCATTGACATTCCAGAAAAGAAAAAGAGAAAGAAGGCAAATTAGAAAATATATTTCAGGATATCACCAATGAGAAAGTTCTCCAAACTAGACAGAGAGGCCAACATTCGAATTCAGAAAATGCTTAGAACCCACGCAAAATGCTTCATGAGAAGGTCATCCCCAAAACACATAATAGTCAAATTCTCTTCAGTTGAAATGAAAGAAAAAAAAGTTAAAGGCTAGAGAGAAAGGGTAGGTCACTTATAAAAGGAAGTCCAGCAAACTAACAAGAGACCTCTCAGCAAAAATCCTACATGGAAGAAGAGATCGGGGACCTACATCAAATATTCTTTAAAAACAAAAAATGCAGGCCGGGTGCGGTGGCTCACACCTGTAATCCCAGCACTTTGGGAGGCCGAGGAGCGCGGATCACGAGGTCAGAAGATCGAGACCACGGTGAAACCCCGTCTCTACTAAAAATACAAAAAATTAGCCAGGCGCGGTGGCGGATGCCTGTAGTCTCAGCTACTCAAGAGGCTGAGGCAGGAGAACGGCGTGAACCCGGGAGGCAGAGCTTGCAGTGAGCTGAGCGAGACTCCGTCTCAAAAAAAAAAAAAATGCAATCTGGAGTTTCATGTTCAGCCAAACTAAGTTTCATAAACAAAAGAGAAATAAGATCCTTTTCAGGTAAGCAAATGCTAAGCAAATTTGTTGCCACCAGATGTGCCTTATAAGAGCTCCTGGAAGAAGCACTAAATATGGAAATAATAGGTAATTACAAACCACTACAGAAACACACAAGTACACAGACTGGTGACCCTAAAAAGCAAAAACACAAACAAATCTGCATAATAACCAAGTAACAACATGATGACAGCAACAAATCCATACATATCAATACTAACCTTGAATGTAAACAGGCTAAATACCCCAATTAAAAGGCACAGAGTGGCAAGCCAGATAAAGAAGCAAGACTCCTTGTTATGTTGTCTTCAACACACCCATATTACATGCAATGACATCCATTGGCTCAAAATTTTAAAAATTGAGAAAAATCTACCAAGCAAATGGAAACCAGAAAAAAGCAGAGGTTTCAATTGGAAACCTATTTTTTTAATTAAAAAATAATTGAAAAATAGTTTTCAATTGGAAAACTATTTTTTTAAATAGTATAATAATAATTATTATTATACTATAAGTTATGGGATACATATGCAGAACGTGCAGGTTTTTACATAGGTATAAATGTGCAATAGTGGTTTGCTGCACCCATCAACACGTCATCTACTTTAGGTATTTCTCCTAATGCTATCCTTCCCCTAGATCCCGAACCCCCAATGTGCCCTAATGTGTGATGGTCCCCTCCCTGTGTCCATGTGTTCTCATTACTCAACTCCCACTCCTGAGTGAGAACATGCAGTGTTTTCCGATTTGTGTTAGTTTGCTAAGAACGATGGTTTCCAGCTTCATCCATGTCCCTGCAAAGGACATGCATTCATCCGGTTTTCTTTTTTTTTTTGAGATGGAGTCTCGCTCTGTCACCCAGGCTGGAGTGCAGTGGCACCATCTGGGCTCACTGCAAACTCCGCCTCCTAGATTCACGCCATTCTCCTGCCTCAGCCTCCTGAGTAGCTGGGACTACAGGCGCCCACCACCACACCCAGCTAATTTTTTGTATTTTTTAGTAGAGACGGGGGTTTTACCATGTTAGCCAGGATGGTCTCGATCTGCCGACCTCATGATCCACCTGCCTTGGCCTCCCAAAGTGGTGGGATTACAGGCGTGAGCCACCACACCCAGCCAACTCATCTTTTTTTATAACTGTATAATATTGCATGGTGTACATATGCCACATTTCCTTTATCCAGTCCATCACTGATTGGCATTTGGGTTGGTTCCAAGTCTTTGCTTTTATGAACAGTGCCACAAATAAATATACATGTGCATGTTGCTTTATAGTAGAATGATATATAATCTTTTGGGTGTATACCCAGTAATGGGATTGATGGATCAAATGGTATTTCTAGTTCTAGATCCTTGAGGAATCACCATATTGTCTTCAACAATGATTGAACTAATTTACACTCCCACCAACAATGTAAAAGCATTTTTATTTCTCCACATCCTCTCCAGCATCTGTTGCTTCCTGACTTTTTAATGATCACCATTCTAACTAGCATGTGATGGTATCTCATTGTGGTTTTGATTTGCATTTCTCTAATGACCAGGGATGATGAGCTTTTTTTCATATGTTTGTTGGCCACATAAATGTCTTCTTTTGAGAAGTGTCTATTCATATCCTTCACCCACTTTTTGATGGGGATGTTTGTCTTTTTCTTGTAAATTTGTTTAAGTTTCTTGTAGATTCTGGATATTACCCTTTGTCAGATGGATAGATCACAAAAATGTTCTCCCATTCTATAGGTTGCCTGTTCACTATGATGATAGTTTCTTTTGCTGTTCAGAAGCTCTTTAGTTTAATTAGATCCCATTTGTCAATGTTGGCTTTTGTTGCCATTTTTTCTTTGATGTTTTAGTCATGAATTATTTACCCATGCCTATGTCCTGAATGGTATTGCCTAGGTTTCCTTCTAGGGTTTTTATGGTTTTAAGTCTTAAGTTTAAGTCTTTAATCCATCTTGAGTTAATTTTTGTATAAGGTGTAAGAAAGAGGTCCAGTTTCAGTTTTCTGCATATGGCTAGTCATTTCTCCCAGCACCATTAAATAGGGAATCCTTTCCCCATTGCTTGTTTTTGCCAGGTTTGTCAAAGATCAGATTGCTGCAGATGTGTGGCATTATTTCTGAGGCCTCTGTTCTGTTCCATTGGTCTATATCTCTGTTTTGGTTCCACTACTATGCTGTTTTGTTTACTGTAGCCTTGTAGTATACTTTGCAGTAAGGTAACATGATGCCTCCAGCTTTGGTCATTTAGCTTAAGATTGTCTTGGCTATCGGAGCTCTTTTTTGGTTCCATATGAAATTTAAAGTAGTTTTTCCCAATTCTGTGAAAAAAGTCAATTGCAGTTCAATGGGGATAGCATTGAATCTATAAATTACTTGGGCAGTATGGCCATTTTCACAATATTGATTCTTTCTACCCATGAGCATGAAATGTTTTTCCATTTGTTTGTGTCCTCTCTTACTTCCTTGAGCAGTGGTTTGTAGTTCTCCTTGAAGAGGTCCTTCACATCCCTTGTAAGTTGTATTCCTATGTATTTTATTCTCTTTGTAGCAATTGTGAATGGGAGTTCACTCATGATTTGGCTCTCTTTTTGTCTACTATTGGTGTACAGGAATGCTTGTGATTTTTGCACATTGATTTTGTATCCTGAGACTTTGCTGAAGTTGCTTATCAGCTTAAGGAGATTTTGGGCTGAGACGATGGGGTTTTCTAAGCATACAATCATGTCATCTACAAAAAGAGACAACTTGACTTCCTCTCTTCCTATTTGAATATGCTTTATTTCTTTCTCTTGCCTGATTGCCCTGGCCAGAACTTCCAATACTATGTTGAATAGGAGTGGTGAGAGAGGGCATCCTTGTCTTGTGCCAGTTTTCAAAGGGAATGCTTCCAGTTTTTGCCCATTTAGTATGATATTGGCTGTGGGTTTGTCATAAATAGCTCTTATTATTTTGAGATATGTTCCATTAATACCTACTTTATTGAGAGTTTTTAGCATGAAAGGGTGTTGAATTTTATGGAGGGCCTTTTCTGCATCTATTGAGATAATCATGTGGTTTTTGTCATTGGTTCTGTTTAAGTGATGGATTATGTTTATTGATTTGCATATGATGAATCAGCCTTGTATCCCAAGGATGAAGCTGACTTGATAGTGGTAGATGAACTTTCTGATGTACTGCTGGATTCAGTTTGCCAGTATTTATTGAGGATTTTTGCATAGATGTTCATCAAGGATATTGGCTTGAAATTTTCTTTTTTTGTTGTGTCTCTGCCAGGGTTTGTTATCAGGACGATGCTGGCCCCATAAAATGGATTAGGGAGGAGTTACTCTTTTTCTATTGTTTGGAATAGTTTCAGAAGAAATGTTACCAGCTCCTCTTTGTACCTCTGGTAGAATTTGGCTGTGAATCCATCTAGTTCTGGGATTTTTTTATTGGTAGGCTATTAATTACTGCCTCAATTTCAGAACTTATTCTTGGCCTATTCAGGTACTTGACTTCTTCCTGGTTTGCTTTAGACTTGGGAGGATTTATCTGTCCAGGAATTTTTCCATTTTTTCTACACTTTCTAGTTTATTTGCGTAAAGGTGTTTATAAGTATTCTCTGATGGTAGTTTGTATTTCTGTGGGATCAGTAGTGATATCCCCTTTACCATTTTTTATTGTGTCTATTTGATTCTTCTCTCTTTTCTTCTTTATTAGTCTGGCTAGCAGTATATCTATTTGTTAATCTTTTCAAAAAACCAGCTCCTGGATTCATTTATTTTTTTTGAAGGGTTTGTTGTGTGTCTCTATCTCCTTTAGTTCTGCTCTGATCTTAGTTATTTCATGTCTTCTGCTAGCTTTTGAATTTGTTTGCTCTTGCTTCTCTAGTTCTTTTAATTGTGATGTTAGGGTGTCAATTTTAGATCTTTCCTACTTTCTCCTTTGGGCATTTAGTGCTATAAATTTCCCTCTAAACACTGCTTTAGCTGTGTCTCAGAGATCCCAGTACATTGTGTCTTTTTTCTCACTGGTTTCAAATAACATGTTTATTTCTGCCTTAATTTCTTTACCCAGTAGTCATTCAGGAGCAGATTGTTCAGTTTCCATGTAGTTGTGCCGTTTTGAGTGAGTTTCTTAATCCTTAGTTGTAATTTGATTGCACTGTGGTCTGAGAGACTGTTGGTTATATTTTCCATTATTTTGCATTTGCTAAGGAGTGTTTTACTTCCAAATATTTGGTCAATTTTAGAATAAGTGCAATGTGATGCTGAGAAGAATGTGTATTCTGTTGATTTGGGGTGGAGAGTTCTGTAGATGTCTATTAGGTCTACTTGGTCCAGAGCTGAGTTCAAGTCCTAAATATTCTTGTTAATTTTCTGTCTTGTTGATCTGTCTAATAGTGACAGTGGGGTGTTAAAGTCTCCCACTATTATGGTGTAGGACTCTAAGTCTCTTTGTTTGTCTCTAAAAACTTGCTTTATGAATCTGGGTGCTCCCGTACTGGGTACATATATATTTAGGATAGTTAACTCTTCTTGGTACAAAGTCCCTTTATGATTATGTAATGCCCTTCTTTGTCTTTTTTCATCTTTGTTGGCTTAAAGTCTGTTTTATTAGAGACTAGGATTGCAACTCCTGCTCTTTTTCGCTTTACATTTGCTTGATAAATATTCCTCCATCCTTTTATTTTGAGCCTATGTGTGTCTTTGCATGTGCAATGGATCTCCTGAATACAGCAGACTAATGGGTCTTGGCTCTTTATTTAATTTGCCAGTCTGTGTCTTTTAATTGGGGCACTTAGCCCGTTTACATTTAAGGCTAATATTGTTATTTGTGAACTTGATCCTGAGAGCATTTTTCAAATATTTGTTGGCCACTTGTCTGTCTTCTTTTGAGTGATGTCTGATCATGTCTCTTGCTCACTTTTTAATGGGTTATTTGTTTATTAGTTGTTGATTTGCTTAAGTTCCTTATAGATTCTGGATATTAGACCTTTATTGCATGCATAGTTTATGAATATTTCCTCCCAATCTGTAGGTTGCCTGTTTATTCTGTTGATGGTTTATTTTGCTGTGCAGAAGGTCTTTAGTTTAATTAAGTCCCACTTGTAAATTTTTCATTTAGTTGCAATAGCTTTAGGGAGTTGACCATGTTTTTTTGGAGGCGGTGGGGGGAGACAGGGTCAATATAGAGAAGGGTATTTCTTAGGTTTTCATCTCAACTTTTTTAGAGTTTGACGTCTTACATTTAAATATTTATCTATTTTGAGTTAGTTTTTGCCTATGGTGAAAGATAAGAGTGTAGATTCAGTCTTCTGTACATGGCTAGTGAGTTATCCCAGCACCATGTATTGAATAGGGAGTCCTTCCCCCATTGCTTATTTTTGTTGGCCTTGACAAAGATCAGATGGTTGTATGTGTGTGACTTTATTTCTGAGTTTTCTGTTCTGTTCCATTGGTCTATGTGTCTGTTTATGTACCAGCACCATGCTGTTTTGGTGACTGTAGCTTTATAATATAGTTTTAAGTGGGGTAGTGTGATATCTCTGCTTCTATTTGCTTAGGATTGCTTTGGCTATTCAGGCTCTTTTTAGATTCCATATGAATTTTAAAATAGGTTTTTTCCAATTCTTTGAAAAATGTCTTTGGTAGTTTGGTAGGAATAGCGTTAAATCTGTAAACTGTTTTTGGATGTATGGCGATTTCATCAATACTGATTTTTCCAATCCAAGAACATGAAATGTTTTTACATTTATTTATACCATTTCTGGTTTCTTTCGGCAGTGTTCTGCAGTTCTCGTAGAGATCTTTCACCTCCTTGTTTAGCTCTATTCCTAGGTATTCCATTTTATTTCTGACTATTGTAAATGGGATTGTGTGAATCTCAACCAGGACATCATTATACTACCGATTTACTACATTGATTTTGTATTCTGAAACCTTGCTAAAATTGTTTATCAGTTTTAGTAGGATTTTGATGGAGTCTTTAGGATTTTCTAAGCATAAGATCATATCATCAACAGAGAGACAGTTTGACTTCTTTTCCTATTTGGATGCCTTTTCTTTCTCTTGCCTGACTGCTCTGGCTAGGATTTCCAGTACTATGTCAAATAGGAGTAGTGAGAGTGGGCACTCTTTCCTTGTTTCAGATCTCAGGAAGAATGCTTCCAGCTTTTGCCCATTTAGTGTGACATTGCCTGTGTGTTTGGTATAGATGACTCTTATTATTTTGAGGTATGTTCCTTCGATGCCTAGTCTGTTGGGAGTTAGTATAAAGAAGGGGTGTTGAATTATATCAAAAGTTATTTTTCTGCATCTATTGAGATGATCACATGGTTTTTACTTTTAATCATTTACGTGGTGAATCACATTAAATGATTTGCATATGTTGATCCAATCTTGCATCCCAGGAATAATCCCTACTTGATCATAATGAGTTAACTTTTTGTTGTGTTGCTGGATTTGGTTTGCTAGAATTTTATTGAGGATTTTTGAGTTTATGTTAATCAGGGATATTGGTCTGAAGTTTTTGTTTTCTGTTGTGTCTCTGCCAGATTTTTGTATTAGGGTGATGATAGCTTTATATAGAATGAGTTAGAGAGGAGTCCCTCCTCCTCCATTTTTTAGAATAGTTTCAGTAGTATTGGTAGCATCTCTTTTTTGTATGTCTGGTAGAATTTGGCTGTGAATCCATCTAGTCCAGGACACTTTTTGATTGGTAGGTTTCTTATTACCGATTCCATCTCACAGCTCAATATTGGGCTGTTCAAGGTTTCACTCTCTTCCTGATTCAATCTTGGAAGAAGGTGTGTTTCCAGGAATATTTACATTTTCTATATATTTTTTAATTTGTGTGCATTGAATTGATTGTGACAATCTTTCGTATTTCCATGAAATAAGTTGTAATGTTATGTTTGTCATTTCTGATTGTACTTACTTGAATCTTCTCTTTCTTTTTTAATCTAGGTAGCAGTCTAACTTATTTTTGAAAAACAAACTCTTAATTTCATTGATCTTTTGTATAGATTTTTGCATCTATATTTTACTAAGTTCTCTAATTTTAGTTATTTCTTTTCTTCTGCTGGCTTTGGAATTGATTTTTTCTTATTATCGTAGTTCACATTGGCGTTATGTTATATTGTTAATTTGAGATCTTTCCAACTTCTTGAAGAAGGATTTAGTTCTATAAACTTTCCTGGTAACAATGCTTGAGTGGCGCCTTAATGACTTTGGTAAGATGTGTCACTATTTTCATTAATTTTAGAGATTTTTTTTGTTTTTTTGTATTTCTGCCTTAATTTTGATGTTCACCTAAGAGTTATTAATCACTTTTTTTGATTTATGCCTTAATTTCAATGTCCATCTAGGAGTTTTTCATGAGAAAGTTGTTTAGTTTCCATGTATTTGTGTAGTTTTGGGAGATATTGATATTGATTTCTATTTTTATTTCACTCTGGTCCAAGAGTGTGCATGGTAAGATTCAATATTTTAATTTATTGAGACTTGAAGTATGACTGACCGTGTAGAGTATGCTCCATGTACAGATGAGTTGAATGTATATTCCATGGTTTTTGGGTGGAGTATTTTGTAGATGTCTATTAAGCGCAATTGCTCAAGTGTTGAGGTGAAGCCCTGAGTTTCTTTTGTTAGTTTTCTGCCTCGATGATCTGTCTAACACTGTCAGTGGGGTTTTGAAATCTCCTACTATTATTGTGTGGCTGTCTAAGATTTTTCTCAGGTCATGAAGATTTTTTCTGTGAATCTGAGTGCTCCAATGTTGGGTGCATACATATTTAAGATGGTTCAGTCTTCTCATTGAATTAAAACATTTATCATTATATAATGCCCTTCTTTGTATTTCCTGATTGTTGTTGGTTTAAGATCTGTTTTATCTGATAAAAAGAATAGCAACTCCTGCTCTTTTTTGTTTCCTGTTTGCATGATAGATCTTCCTACATCCTTTCACTTTGAGCATGTGGGTGTCATTACATGTGAGATGGGCCTCTTAGAGAAAACAGATGGTTGGGTCTTGTTTTTTCATCCAGCCTGACACCCTGTATTTTAATTGGGACATTTAGTTCATTTACATTCAAATATGTGTGATTTTATTCAAGTCATGCTATTAGCTGTTTGTTATATAGACTTGACTGCATAGTTGTTTTATAGTGCATGCAAGCTATCAGCTTGAGTGTCTCTGTGACAGCCGGTGTCATTCTTTTGAACTCATGTTTAGCACTTCCTTAAGGGCCTCATGTAAGGTTGGTCTAGTTGAAAAATATTCTCTCAGAATTTTCTTGTCTGAGAAGAATTTTATTTCTCCTTCATTTATGAAGCTTATTTGCGAGGAAATGAAATTCTTGGTTGGAATTTCTTGTCTTTAGGGATGCTGAAAGTAGACCCCCAATATCTTCTCATTGTTAAGGTTTCTGCTGAGAGATCTACTGCTTGCCTGATGGAGTACTCTCTGTATGTGACTTAACCCTTCTCTCTAGCTGCCTTTAAGATGTATTTATTTATTTATTTATTTATTTTTGTATTGACCTTGGTGAATCTGATTACTATGTTCCTTGGGGATGGTCATCTTATATAGTATGTGGCCACCATTATCTGTACCACTTTGATTTGCATGTCAACCTCTTCACCGAGACTGGTGTCAACCTCTTCACCTCAAATATATTTTCCAAGTTGATTATTCTCTCTCCTTCTCTCTTGAGAATCCTGATGAGTCATAGGTTTGGTTTTCTTATATCATTCCACATTTCTTGGAGGTTTCATTCATTTTCTAATTTCTTTTTTCTTTATTTTTGTCTGACTAAGGTGATTTGAAAAAAACGGTATTCAAGCTCTGGGATTGGATTCTTTCCTCAGCTTGGTCTACTCTGCTGTTAATACTTCTAATTGTATTATGAAATTCTCATAGTGAGTCTTTAATTTCTAGAAGCTCTGTTTTGTTGTTTCCTAAAATGCCCATTTTTTCTCCCATCTCTTGGATCATTTTACTGGATGCTTTGCATTCCTTGGATTGGATTTCAACTTTCTCCTGAATCTCAGTAAGTTTCATTGACACCCAGATTCTGAAGACTGTGTCATCTCAGTCATTTCAGACTGGTCAAAAACCATTTCTGGGGAGCTATTGGACTTGTTTTGAGGTCAATAAAGATACTCTACTTTTTGGATTTCCAGAGTTCTTGCACTGATTTATTCTAATATTTGAGGATTGGTATTTCTGTAACTGTGGTGTAAGTTCAGTATAGTTAGTTGGCTATATTTGTGGATCCTTTCAGAAGGCTAGTGTTCTGTATAGGATTTTTTTTTTTTTGATGGAGTTTTGTGCTTGTTGCCCAGGCTGGAGTGCAATGGCACGGATTACTGCAACTTCCACCTCCTAGGTTCAAGCGATTCTCCTACCTCAGCCTCCCAAGTAGCTGGGACTACAGATGCCCGCCACCATGCCCAGCTAATTTTTTTTTCTTGTATTTTTAGTAGAGATGTGGTTTCATCATGTTGGCCAGGCTGGTCTCAAACTCCTGACTTCAGGTGATCCACCTGCCTCGGCCTCCCAAAGTGCTGGGATTACAGGCATAAGCCACTGTGCCTGGCCTCTATAGGATCTTTATGTGTGTTTGAATTCTTGCACTTGGTTTCACAGGTGCACATATTAGCCGGATGATTGATTGATGTTGTAGTTTGGGCTGCAATCCAGTAGATGAAGCATAAGAGTAATGGCCGGTAGCTAGTTTAATACCAAGCTGTGCAGCTCTTCTGTATTTCCCTTAGTATGCAGGCATGCTCTTGAGTTGGGAGAGCAGAAAGAGACAGCACCTCCCTCACCAGATCTGCTCCTGGGATTTGGGAGAGCCCCCTGTGATCAATGGTGCTGTGCTGGCATTTCTTTTATTAGCTATTCTGTACCACCAGCCCTCTTGGGCAGGGGCTGCAGCAGAGATATGCCACACTCTATGGACCCACCCTGTGGAGGGAGGCATGCCCCATCTCACCTTGCCCAGAAACCCATGCATCTCTCCCTTCTCAGTGTTCTGGGGTTGGGAGCTCCTCCCCAGCTTCATTACTGTCCACAGATCTCTGCTCCTTACTCTCAAGTAGCACGCTGTAGCCCTGGGTGCACCTGACTGTCTCTTAGCTGGGACTCAGTTCTGCCTGTGCTAGGGGATCCAATATGCTCCAGGCTAGCTAGGAAAGTACTCACGTGCATCAATACACTGAGGTTGGGCTGCAGGGGCTGTTATGTGCACCTGCTCCTGCAGAGTAGCTAGGCATGGATGCTGGGAGTAGCTGAAAGGCAGGAAAGCTTGCAGAGCAGATGCACCTCAGTCCCATGAAGAAGCTGGCTCTGCTCTCTCCTGGGTCAGAGGTCATCCCGGCCTGCACCTCCTCGGAGGAATGGGAAGACTTGGGGATTGGTGCCTATGGCTACTCTCAGCTGGAGCTGCCCAGAGCACCAAAAGCTTCCAGGCTCCAAGCCCTCTGAAGGCCCATCTCTGCCTGCTCTCCATCAGATCTTCCTGCCAGCTCATACACCCACGGGCGACAAGGGTTCCCCTATAGCTAGGATCCCAAAGATTCCTGGTGAAGGTGAGGCCTCAGTTCCCTCACTGACCCCTTTCGCAGGAGCCATTTAAGGCCAGGCTTCAGTTACTGATTTTAAATCTTTCTTTTCATGTATATTCACTGAAAGCCATACATTTCCCTCTAAGTACTAATTTAGCTACATCCCATAAGTTTTGTTATATTATTATATTTTTTCTTTCAGTTCAAACATTTCCTTGTGATTTATTTCTTTGACTTATGGGTTATTTAAAAATACGTTGTTTACTTTCCAAATATTTGGGATTTTCATTTACTTTTGAGGCTAGCAGGAAGTTACAAAATAAGAACTGTATTACAGAGAAAGCACAGGTATTTATCAGAATTCAAGCTTGGCTTTAGCCTAACTACTTTAGGGTCATGAGCCTCAATTTTCTTATCTGAAAAATGAGATCAATAATACTATTCTTATAAGTTTGCTGTAAGGATTAATGGATACTGAGCATAGTGCCCCCATATGCCATACAGAGCTAACAGAGGATGACCATTATCATTTATTTTCCCAATGGAACTTGCTGAATATTTCCTCTCATTTCAAACTGAGGAAGCAGCATGAGTTTGTCCTTCACTTTTATACCATCCTTTTTAGTTTATAAGTTTAGAAAATGTAGCAACTTGTGAATTAAACTCATGTAGCCAAAAATAAAAGAATAGTACCTTGTAGCTGGAAAGCTTCCTTGACTGTCAAAGGAACCCCAAGGAAGGGCCATTTATTTTCCAGGGTGGCTTCATCTTCCTGCTTCTCTGCAAGCTTTTGATCTACAGCATGAGCCTCCTTCATCGCTTCCTCAAACCTAAGAAGAAATAAAACAATGCAAACTTTAACTAAACAAGTCATCCAACCAACTTTATTAAAAGAATACCCATATCAACATGTTAATATGTAATCAACATATTAAAGTTAATGTACTTGTCAAGAGCCTTATAAAGCTGACCATTTGAGCCAGTGATTCTCCTTTTAGGAATCCATCATAAGAACAGTAATCCAACCTAGTAAGAATTATCCATACAGAAAGCTGGTCAGTGCATCATTATTTATATTAGAAAAACAAATAAAATCTCCTTGTCACCAAATAAATAATTATAGATATCTACAAGAGACAACTGTATGGCCAATAAACGTGGTGTTGCGTAAAGGCCATAAACAGACACTTCTCAAAAGAAGTCATTTATGCAGCCAACAAACATGAAAAAAAGCTCAACATCACTGATCATTAGAGAAATGCAAATAAAAACCTAAATGAGATACCATCTCTCACCAGTCAGAATGGCAATTGTTAAAAATCAAGAAACAACAGATGCTGCCGAGGCTACAGAGGTAAAGGAATGCTTTTACGCTGTTGGTGAGAATGTAAATTAGTTCAACCATTGTGAAAAACGGTGTGACAATTCTTCAAAGACCTAGAACCAGAAATTCCATTTGATCCAGCAATCCCATTATTGGATATATACCCAAAAGAATATAAATCATTTTATTATAAAGATACATGCACACATATGTTCATTGCGCCACTATTTACAATAGTAAACACATGGAATCCACCCAAATTCTCATCAATGGTAGACTGGATAAAGAAAATGTGGTACATCAAAAAGAAATGAGATCATATTCTTTTCAGGGACATGGATGGAGCTGGAAGCCATTATCCTCAGCAAACTAATGCAGGAATAGAAAACCAAACATTATATGTTCCCACTCATAAGTGGGAGCTGAAAAATGAGGACTCATGGACACAGGGAGGGAAACAACACACACTGGGGCCTCTCAGGGGTGGAAAGAGCATCAGATAAAATAGCTAATGCATGCTGGACTCAACACTTAGGTGATGGATTGATAGGTGCAGAAAACCATCATGGTACACGTTTACCTTGTAACAAACCTGCACATCCTGCATATGTACCCCAGTACTTAAAATAAAATAAAATAAAAAGTGGTGTTTCCTAAAAGTTTTACTGCACTTCGGAAATTCCTATGATGTAATGTCATTTAATGTAAGTGAAAAGAGAAGGTTATAGCAGTATATTCCTAGTATAACCTCAATCATGTGAAAATCGTAAGCAAAACATTAACAGTGAATAACTACTCTTTTGGTGCTATGATTATAGGTAATTTTTTGTTGTTTTTTGCAAATGTTCTATAATGGACATAATTACAGCAATTTCCAGAATGAAACAATAAGTCAATATGCCCAAAAGAACACAGTTTAAATGTATGTGGTAATACAATCACTAAAGTATGCAATTCCAGTGTGATTTCTCAGTATCACAAATATTAATTCTTGAAAATGAAATTTAAAATCCTTTACATAACCTTTCATGTGACTTAAAATAACTTTAATAAAATATCTTTGGGCTCACTGGAAATACCAATGACATTTATTGATTACTTCAACAAATATTCAAAGTATTAAAAAATGAATATGATAATGTCTATGCTTTTAAGATGAATAAAAATTAGGGAACTCTCATTTCCTAGTTTTGTGAACTATGCAAGCTCTTTCATTTCACTGGATTTTAGTTGCTTCAATTGTAAATTGGGGACAATAATATCTATCTAACATGGTGGTAGTGAGAATGCATTGGGAAAATGGATATAAAGAACTGTTGGAAGTTTCTAAAAAGGAGGATTTTTTACTGCCATGTGTATATGACAATATGCTAGAAATGGAGGAGACAGGAGTTACAGAGTATGCCAGGATAATGATATAATGATATTTAACAATTAATGATATATTTCAGGTATTGGGCAGTACTTTAAATATTGTACAGTCAGTTAATCCTGACACTCATGTGATGTAATAAACAACCTACAGAATAGGAGAAAATATTTACAAACTATGCATCCAACAGAGATCTAATATCCAGAATCTATAAGGAACTTCAACAATTAAACAAGCAAAAAATAAATAACCCCACTTAAAAGTGGGCAAAAGATGTGAATGGACACTTCTCCAAAGAAGATAGACAAGCAGCCAAGAAATATATGAAAAAATGCTCATCATCACTAATCATCAGAGAAATGCAAATAAAAACCACAATTAGATATCCTCTCACACCAGTCAGAATGGCTATTATTAAAAGTAAAAAAACAACAGATACCGGTGAAGCTGCAGAGAAAAGGGAATGTTGATGGGAATGTAAATTAGTTCAGCCATAGTGGAAAGCAGTTTGGAGATTTCTCAAATAACTTAAAACAAAACTACCATTTGACCCAGCAATCACATTACTGGGTATATACCCAAAAGAAAATAAATAGTTTTACCAAAAAGACACTTGCATTTGTATGTTCATCACTATGCTATCACAATCGCAAAGACATGGAATCAATCTAGATGCCCATCAATGGTGGATTGGATAAAGAAAATTTGGTGTATATGCATCATGGAATACTACACAGCCACAGAAAGAATGAAATCATGTCCTTTGCAGCAACATGGATGCACCCAGAGGTCATTATTAACCTAATTAACCTAATTAACACAGGCACAAAAACCAAATATCACATTGTTCTCATTTCTCAGTGGGAGCTAAATACTGGATGCTCACGGCCATAAAGATAGCAACAATAGACACTGGGGACTAACAGATGCGGAAGTGTGTGAGCGAGGGAAAGTTTTGAAAAACTGTTGGATACTATACTCACTATCTGGGTGATGGGATCATTTGCATCCCAAACCTCAGTATCACACAATATATTCATATAACAAACCTGCACATGTGCCCCTTGAATTTAAGATAAAAGTTGATATTATATTTTTAAAATGTGGCTAATGCAATATGTTGAAAGTATTTTGACATATTTAGTTAAATAATATGTACTATGAAAATTAATTCCACCTGTTTCTTTTCACTTTTTAAAATACAGCTGCTAGAATATGTGAAATTGCACATTTCCCTCATAATTTATTTCTATTGAACAATATTAATCTAGAGAGAGAATGCATAGTTTTGTATCTCAGCTCCACTATTTACTGTATCTCCTTCGAAAACTTAACTTAACCTTTCTGTATTTCAGTTTCCTCATCTGTATAATGGAGCTAAAAATAATTACCTCATAGAATTGTTGATATTATGCAATTAGCTACTGCATTTGTAAAGCACTACAACAGTACCGGGAACATTGTAAGCACACAAGTGCTAACTATCACTGATACTACTAATGCTTCTTATTATAGAGAAGAAGAACCCCAAACAGAGAGAATAGAAAGATGAAGGGATGAGAAAACATGGCTCATTCTAATGAAAACTTATTTGGTTATTTGTCTAGCCTTTGTTCTCTGAGTACTACTGGCCCAACGATAGGGGTAAAAACCCTGTTGTCATGCATATAACCCTATTGGTGGGCCAGCGGTACTCAGAGGACAAAGGCTATATATATATATATATATGTATCTGTGTGTGTGTGTGTGTATACGTGTGTGTATATATACATATATAGTACTATATAGTATATATACACACTATATATACTATATAGTACTATATATGTATATATGGTGTATATATAGTGTATATATAGTGTGTATATATATACACATATATAGTACATATATAGTATATATATAGTGTATATATGGTGTATATAAAGTGTATATATAGTATACATATATATGGTATATATATAGTGTATACATATAGTGTGTGTGTATATATATACACACACACACACACACACACACACACACACACACACACAAGATGTTGCTAGTCTCGTTGTACTGAACACTTGAGCCAAGTGAAACAAATAAAATTATCTCTTTCCCTAGAGGTTCAACTAAAAGAAAGAAGGACTGGGGTTGGTTAGAACACATTAATGGCAGGGCTCTTAAATGAAGGCCCACAAATCTCCTACGTTTGAGAGTCCAGAGCTACATCAGTCCCTGAACTTCCCAGGGTCTAGTTGTTCAAATGTCTCATAATTTGTCAAATTGTGAGGATCTTTATGATTATTGGCCACACCACTACCTTTTCACACCCATAAGCCAGTAAAAGTACAATTCTATTGCAATGAAAAGAATAATTGTCAGCACAGCCATTTAGAAACTATAGACATTTCTGTGTGTCTATAGCTAGTTACAAAGTAGCATCATTACCATTTGTAGAGTAAAGGCCAGCACTCTAAGTGTTACACATTCTGGGGGCCTTGCAGATACATACTGTCTACTTGGGGAAAAGGACACTTTTTGCTTTGCTTATATCCCATCCCTCACACTTTGGTTGCACAAAAAGAAGCAGAAGGGTGTGAAGTTGAAGTTACCCACTTTCTGGAAATAAGAAAGCTTTCAGTTGCCAATTCAGAAGGATTGGGAACCTAAGACCAATATTTCCAATAGGCACAAACTTGGAACCTCAGTAAAGCATCCACATGCCTAAGACTGCTAGTTACTGAAAGCTTCTCTGGATGTGAGCCTCATCCAAGGCAAAACGGCCTGTAGCCTTGTGTTTAGGAAACGTTAGGAAAGAAAACCTTGAGGCACAGTGTCCCAGTCTGCAACCAGTCTGAGGAAAAGAGTACTCAGAAAGATAGATATCAGATGGGGTAGTAGCTGAAGGAGAAAGTCTGTGATTAGGAGGTGAAAATAACTCAAAAAGCTGGACTGAACTAGAAGGGACCCTTCAGATGAATGGCAAAAATACCCAAGTGGAGTAAAAAGGAAGTTATATGTGGGAGAATGGCACAAGATAAAGCTGAAAAACTAAGGTATGCCAGATTACAAAGGGCCCTTACATGGCGTTCTAGGGAGTCTGGGTATTGAAATGTTTAAAGCAGGAAAGGGGCATAATCTCTTTAGTGATTTACAGATATCCTTTGGCTTTTGCAAAATAAAAAGTATGGGGAAGGGAGAGCAAAACTAGAAACATAAAGATTACTGCAGTAGGCAAAGATGATGGTGATTGGGACTAAAGTGACAGCAGTTGAGGTAGAGAAAAGTAGAGTTATTTAGAGATGAGATCTTGAGAGAGATATTTAGAAGGTAGAACTCTTATAAAATATTAGAAGGTTAGAATGTGGGGGATGAAGGAATTTTTTTTTCCAGTTTTTCTGGCTTATAGTAGTTGGCAATGTCATTCACTGAAATTTTCATTTCATGAGTTTGATTTTAATTATTTTGACTTTTGGTGCCCATGTGACTTCCTGGTAGAGGTGTCAAGTAGGTAGATATACATATATGGGAATTGAGCTCAGAGGAAAGGTCTGGGCTGCAGACAAAGTTCCAGGAGTTATCAGTGTTCAAATGATATTTGAAGTCATAGAAGACCAAGGCTAAGTATATTTATAACTACATGAACCATTATACACATACACACACACACACACACACAAAATTACAGAATCACACCTTAAGGAAGAATAAAATGTATTTAGATGTGTAAGAGTTAAATAATAAAATAATAGAAGAGCACTGTCTAGAAGCCAAAGGTAGCAATGACTTCAAGAACAGGACAATTATCATTTTGATAATAAGACCAACATGTACAATATACTGAGTCTATTTTATGTGCCAATTATTGTGTTTTAAATTCATTAAGTTGTTCCATCCTCACAATAATCCCATTAGGTACATAACAACTGCTTCATTATGATTATGAGGAAACTGAGATAAAGAGAGGTTAAGGACTCACTCAAAGTCATATTGTCAAGAGTTGCAGACATTGTTCGCTGCCTATCCAAAATCCACTTTTTCCCTTTATAAATATAACTTCAATTTTTCAGGCAACTCTCTTTATTGTACTGCCATATGCCTTACAGGGAATAGGCCCAATCTCTAACCTTAAGTGTGTGATTTCTTATTTGTTTAGTGCAATCACAGTAATGTTATTCACCTTGCCAAAAATTGGTTTACCAGTGGTATCTGGTCACAATTTTGTCTCTTGAGACATAAGGCATAGCAGCCATCTTATGACAATGAGAAGATCTAGTCTAATAAGGCTGACAAACTAGGATGTCCAAGGCAAAAGACTGAAAACAGGTTAATGATGACATTTTTCAGCTGCTGAGTCAATCAATTCTAGAGCTAACATACCAAAAGACTTACTGGTTTGTGGGATAGTATATTTTCCGTATTGCTTTCAGTCATTTTGAATTGGATTTTCTGTTCTTTGCAGTGGAAACAGCCCAAACTGATAGAGTTAGCAGGCTATTTTGTTTGTTTGTTTTGTTTTTTGTTTTGTTTTGTTTTTGAGACAGTCTCTCTCTGTCGGCCAGGCTGGAGTGCAGTGGCAAGATCTCAGCTCACTGCAACCTCCACCTCCTGGGCTCAAGCAATTCTCCTGCCTCGGCCCCCTGAGTAGCTGGGATTACAGGCATGTGCCACCACACCCAGGTAATTTTTGTATTTTTAGTAGAGATGGGGTTTCACCATTTTGGCCAGGCTGGTCTCGAACTCCTGACCTCAGGTAATCTGCCCGCCTCAGCCTCTCAAAGTGCTGGGATTACAGGTGTGAGCCACCGCGCCCAGCCAGCAGGTTATTTTTAATTGAGTCATAGGAACAGAAGCTAGATTTCAGTGAGTATAGGTGTAAATTAGAGGTAAGGATTCAGAAAAATAAGTATTGACTACATTTTTTAGAAGCTTACTTATGTTAAAAAAAGTGAGACAATTTTGGTAGCGAATTAGGCACGGCAAAATATTAATCTGAGAATGTTGCAATCTGGCCTCTTACAAACACAAAGAACCTGGCTATCCAAAAAGCAGTGTAGCAGAGTGGTCAAATCCCAGGCTTTGGAGAAAGACTGATCTGAGGTGGTTATATAACCTTGCAAGTGACAACTTCCTAAACTGTTTCTCCAGCTATAAAATGGTGGTAACAATAAAATCTACATGCTTTGTTATTTAAATGTCATAATGCATAAACACAGTACCTAGCACAGAAGAGCCACTCAGTAAATGGTGGCTATCACTATCATCATTTCTAATTCATCAGGTTCTCCTGACAGTCAACAAAATTCTTGTCAGGAAAATCAAAGGATTAGAATCACAGAAGATTAAGCCAAAGCCATGTCACCCAAACCATAGAGCTTAGGGAAGTGGCAAAATGAAATTTAGGAAGTGGGTTACAAGTCTCTATATCAGAAAAACAATGAGAAGAACTGCAGCAGCTATTTCTTCAACAAGTCCTACCAATACTGATGTTATCAGCAACATTTACTGGCACAATATTTGTTCATGCAAGACAGGGTTCCTGAAACACTTGTCTCCCAGGAGTTTCCCAACCAGGTGGGGCAGGGCAATCAGGCTTCCCAGTCCTGTTCTTTCCAAGGATGGAGAAAAGGTAGTGCCTTAAGTATGTACACTTTCCTAAGGTCTTGAAATCCCCTTCATTAGCATTGCCCAAACTTCAGCCACATACAATCAGCACAAGCAGAGAACTTCCAAGGGAAGGTTGATAAAGGCATAAAGGAAATTGGATACCCTTACATGTGGCCTCAGTGGCACAGGGCAGCACTAGACTCCTGAGACCAAGGAAATCCTCATAGTTTCAGCCAAGCTGAAACAAGGAACCTCAGCCAAAAATCCTTACCCTTGCTTCTATGGAGACAAACAGGATGAGGCCTAAGGGTGGCTGTGACACCAGATGATACATAGGCTGGCCAATGTGGGTTGAGTGAAAGATTTATTGAGGTCTGAGAGGGTTTTTAAAAAAATCTATATATCTTGAAATCCTGCACTTGCTCAGTGATTCAAGTACAGCCAGTGGTAGGGGAGCGAAATCCAAGGAGGATTCTACCCCTTGGATAGCTTTTTGGTGGAAAGCAACACATTATATCACTTTCTCCAGAAAGCCTTTTCTGACACCTCTCCAGTCTTGGATCAGTAACCTTCTCTATGATACCACAGTACTCTTTTCTTCCCCTATCAGAGCACTAATTCCACTGTGCTGTAAATAATGGTTATTCTCATGCTTCAACCACCAGACTGGGAGCTGAAAGAAGTCAGGGACTGTTGTGTTTATCTTTATATCTTCAACACCTAGCATGCTACCAGGTGTATAGTAAGCATTCAATAACCATTTGTGGGATAAATGAATGAAAGTGTTTTCAAGCATTTAAATCCATAAAACTATAAATTTTGAGGGTCCATATTATTTTCCCCTTTAGAAAGGATAAAACAAAGATTCACAGAGATTCAAAAACATGCCTAAGTTCATGAAATAACTAACAGAGGAAGAATTTTGTCCCAGGTCTGTGTGATTCTGTAAGTGTGTATTTTGAGTCTTGACATCTCTGGACTCTAGGGCTCCCAGAAAGTTTGCCGTGACCATTTTCTATGTCATTCACAGATTGGGAAGAATATACCTATTGGATGAAATGCATGACAATAGATGCTTCAGGGAGCAAAGTCTAAAACTAGTAACAAATTTGTACTTTTCCAGGCAAGCAAGAAAAACAGTGAACAATAAATCATAATCCAGGAAGATATAGGAAGCCAACAGATTGCAGAGCATAAGACGAAACTGCATTCAGGAGCTCCAAAACAAACATTGTCTAAACACATGTATATTAATTCGTTACTTACTGAAGAAATGCTAAATCTCAGATCATGTTCTACACACTGAAGACAATAAGATTAAAAAGATATGGTCCATGCCACTGAGGAACTCAGAGTCTGGTGGGTGAGACAACCAACACCAAAATGACTATGCAATGTTGAACCAGTTTTTATATTATTATCTCTCAGCCCTGAAACAAGTATTCTATATGCCACATTTTTTTATTAGATTTTATGTGAAGATATTTCTTTTATTATTATTATTATTATTATTATTATTATTATTATACTTTAAGTTTTAGGGTACATGTGCACAACGTGCAGGTTTGTTACATATGTATACATGCGCCATGTTGGTGTGCTGCACCCATTAACTCGTCATTTAGCATTAGGTATATCTCCTAATGCTATCCATCCCCCCTCCCCCCACCCCACAACAGTCCCCGGTGTCTGATGTTCCCCTTCCTGTGTCCATGTGTTCTCATTGTTCAATTCCCACCTATGAGTGAGAACATGTGGTGTTTGGTTTTTTGTCCTTGTGATAGTTTGCTGAGAATGATGGTTTCCAGCTTCATCCATGTCCCTACAAAGGAAATGAAGTCATCCTTTTTTATGGCTGCATAGTATTCCATTGTGTGTATGTGCCAACTTTTCTCAATCCAGTCTATCATTTTTGGACATTTCGGTTGGTTCCAAGTCTTTGCTATTGTGAATAGTGCTGCAATAAACATACGTGTGCATGTGTCTTTATAGCAGCATGATTTATAATCCTTTGGGTATATACCCAGTAATGGGATGGCTGGATCAAATGGTATTTCTAGTTCTAGATCCCTGAGGAATCACCACACTGACTTCCACAAGGGTTGAACTAGTTTACAGTCCCACCAACATTGTAAAAGTGTTCCTATTTCTCCACATCCTCTCCAGCACCTGTTGTTTCCTGACTTCTTAATGATCACCATTCTAACTGGTGTGAGATGGTTATCTCATTGTGGTTTTGATTTGCATTTCTCTGATGGCCAGTGATGATGAGCATTTTTTCATGTGTTTTTTGGCTGCATAAATGTCTTCTTTTGAGAAGTGTCTGTTCACATCCTTTGCCCACTTTTTGATGGGGTTGTTTGTTTTTTTCTTGTAAATTTGTATGAGTTCACTGTAGATTCTGGATATTAGCCCTTTGTCAGATGAGTAGGTTGCAAAAAATTTTCTCCCATTTTGTAGGTTGCCTGTTCACTCTGATGGTGGTTTCTTTTGCTGTGCAGGAGCTCTTTAGCTTAATTAGATCCCATTTGTCAATTTTGGCTTTTGTTGCTATTGCTTTTGGTGTTTTAGACATGAAGTCCTTGTCCATGCCTATGTCCTGAATGGTATTGCCCAGGTTTTCTTCTAGGGTTTTTATGGTTTTAGGTCTGACATGTAAGTCTTTAATCCATCTTGAATTAATTTTTGTATAAGGTGTAAGGAAAGGATCCAATTTCAGCTTTCTACATATATAGCTAGCCGGTTTTCACAGAACCATTTATTAAATAGGGAATCCTTTCCGCATTGCTTGTTTTTGTCAGGTTTGTCAAAGATCAGATAGTTGTAGATATGCGGCATTGTTTCTGAGGGCTCTGTTTTGTTCCATTGGTCTATATGTCTGTTTTGGTACCAGTACCATACTGTTTTGATTACTGTAGCCTTGTAGTATAGTTTGAAGTCAGGTAGCGTGATGCCTCCAGCTTTGTTCTTTTGGCTTAGGATTGACTTGGCAATGCGGGCTCTTTTTTGGTTCTATATGAACTTTAAAGTAGTTTTTTCCAATTCTGTGAAGAAAGTCATTTGTAGCTTAATGGGGATGGCATTGAATCTATAAATTACCTTGGGCAGTATGGCCATTTTCATGATATTGATTCTTCCTACCCATGAGCATGGAATTTTCTTCCATTTGTTTGTATCCTCTTTTATTTCATTGAGCAGTGGTTTGTAGTTCTCCTTGAAGAGGTCCTTCACATCCCTTGTAAGTTGGACTCCTAGGTATTTTATTCTCTTTGAAGCAATTGTGAATGGGAGTTCACTTATGATTTGGCTCTCTGTTTGTCTGTTATTGGTGTATAAGAATGCTTGTGATTTTTGTACATTGATTTTGTATCCTGAGACTTTGCTGAAGTTGCATATTAGCTTAAGGAGATTTTGGGCTGAGATGATGGGGTTTTCTAGATATACAATCATGTCATCTGCAAACAGGGACAATTTGACTTCCTCTTTTCCTAATTGAATGTCCTTTATTTCCTTCTCTTGTCTGATGTCCCTGGACAGAACTTCCAACACTATGTTGAATAGGAGTGGTGAGAGAGGGCATCCCTGTCTTGTGCCAGTTTTCAAAGGGAATGCTTCCAGTTTTTGTCCATTCAGTATGATATTGGCTGTGGGTTTGTCATAGATAGCTCTTATTATTTTGAGATACATCCCATCAATACCTAATTTATTGAGAGTTTTTAGCATGAAGTGTTGTTGAATTTTGTCAAAGGCCTTTTCTGCATCTATTGAGATAATCATGTGGTTTTTGTCTTTGGTTCTGTTTATATGCTGAATTAACTTTATTCGTTTTCCGATGTTGAACCAGCCTTGCATCCCAGGGATGAACCCCACTTGATCATGGTGGATAAGTTTTTTCATGTGTTGCTGGATTCGGTTTGCCAGCATTTTATTGAGGATTTTTGCATCAATGTTCATCAAGGATATTGGTCTAAAATTCTCTTTTTTTTGTTGTGTCTCTGTCAGGCTTTGGTAGCAGGATGATGCTGGCCTCATAAAATGAGTTAGGGAGGATTCCCTATTTTTCTATTGATTGGAATAGTTTCAGAAGGAATGGTACCAGCTCCTCCTTGTACCTCTGGTAGAATTCTGCTGTGAATCCATCTGGTCCTGGACTTTTTTTGGTTGGTAGGCTATTAATTATTGCCTCAATTTCAGAGCCCATTATTGGTCTATTCAGAGATTGAACTTCTTCCTGGTTTAGTCTTGGGACAGTGTAGGTGTCGAGGAATTTATCCGTTTCTTCTAGATTTTCTAGTTTATTTGCATACAGGTGTTTATAGTAGTCTGATGGTAGTTTGTATTTCTGTGGGATCAGTGGTGACATGCCCTTTGTCATTTTTTATTGCGTCTAATTGATTATTCTCTTTTTTCTTCTTTATTAGTCTGGCTAGTGGTCTATCAATTTTGTTGATCTTTTCAAAAAACCAGCTCCTGGATTCATTGATTTTTTTGAAGGGTTTTTTGTGTCTCTATTTCCTTCAGTTCTGTTCTGATCTTAGTTATTTCTTGCCTTCTGCTAGCTTTTAAATGTGTTTGCTCTTGCTTCTGTAGTTCTTTTAATTGTGATGTTAGGGTGTCAATTTTAGATCTTTCCTGCTTTCTCTTGTGGGCATTTAGTGCTATAAATTTCCCTCTACACACTGCTTTGAATGTGTCCCAGAGATCCTGGTATGTTGTGTCTTTGTTCTCATTGGTTTCAAAGAACATCTTTATTTCTGCCTTCATTTCGTTATGTACCCAGTAGTCATTCAGGAGCGGGTTGTTCAGTTTCCATGTAGTTGAGGGGTTTTGAGTGAGTTTCTTAATCCTGAGTTCTAGTTTGATTGCACTGTGGTCTGAGAGACAGTTTATTATAATTTCTGTTCTTTTCCATTTGCTGAGGAGTGCTTTGCTTCCAACTATGTGGTGAATTTTGGAATAAGTGCAATGTGGTGCTGAGAAGAATGTATATTCTGTTGATTTGGGGTGGAGAGTTCTGTAGGTGTCTATTAGGTCCGCTTGGTGCAGAGCTGAGTTCACTTCCTGGATATCCTTGTTAACTTTCTGTCTCGTTGATCCGTCTAATGTTGACAGTGGGGTGTTAAAGTCTCCCATTATTATTGTGTGGGAGTCTAAGTCTCTTTGTAGGTCACTAAGGACTTGCTTTATGAATCTGGGTGCTCCTGTATTGGGTGCATATATATTTAGGATAGTTAGCTCTTCTTGTTGAATTGATCCCTTTACTATTATGTAACGGCCTTCTTTGTCTCTTTTGATCTTTGTTGGTTTAAAGTCTGTTGTATCGGAGACTAGGATTGCAACCCCTGCCTTTTTTTGTTTTCCATTTGCTTGGTAGATCTTCCTCCATCCCTTTATTTTGAGCCTATGTGTGTCTCTGCATGTGAGATGGGTTTGCTGAATACAGCACACTGATGGGTCTTGTCTCCTTTTCCAATTTGCCAATCTGTGTCTTTTAATTGGAGCATTTAGTCCATTTACATTTAAGGTTAATATTTTTATGTGTGAATTTGATTCTGTCATTATGATCTTAGCTGGTTATTTTGCTCATTAGTTGATGCAGTTTCTCCCTAGCCTTGATGGTCTTTACAATTTGGCAGGTTTTTGCAGTGGCTGGTATCGGTTGTTCCTTTCCATGTTTAGTGCTTCCTTCAGGAGCTCTTTCAGGGCAGGCCTGGTGGTAACAAAATCTCTCAGCATTTGCTTGTCTGTAAAGGATTCTATTTCTCCTGCACTTATGAAGCTTAGTTTGGCTGTATATGAAATGCTGGGTTGAAAGTTATTTTCTTTAAGAATGTTGAATATTGGCCCCCACTCTCTTCTGGCTTGTAGAGTTTCTGCCGAGAGATCAGCTGTTAGTCTGATGGGCTTCCCTTTTTGGGTAACTCAACCTTTCTCTCTGGCTGCCCTTAACATTTTTTCCTTCATTTCAACTTTGGTGAATCTGACAATTATTTGTCTTGGAGTTGCTCTTCTTGAGGGTTATTTTTGTTCTGTTCTCTGTATTTCCTGGATCTGAATGTTGGCCTGCCTTGCTAGATTGGGGAATTTCTCCTAAATAATATCCTGCAGAGTGTTTTCCAACTTGGTTCCATTCTCCCCGTGACTTTCAGGTACACCAATCAGACATAGATTTGGTGTTTTCACATAGTCCCATATTTCTTGGATGCTGGTTCATTTCTTTTTATTCCTTTTTCTCTAAACTTCTCTTCTCGCTTCATTTCATTCATTTGATCTTCCGTCACTGGTACCCTTTCTTCCACTTGATCAAATCAGCTATTGAGGCTTGTGCATTCATCATGTAGTTCTGGTGCTGTGGTTTTCGGCTCCATCAGGTCCTTTAAGGACTTCTCTGCCTTGATTATTGTAGTTAGCCATTCATCTAATCTTTTTTCAAGTTTTTTTAACTTCTTTGTCATGGGTTCAAACTTCCTCCTTTAGCTTGCAGTAGTTTGATCATCTGAAGCCTTCTTCTCTGAACTCGTGAAAGTCATTCTCCATCCAGCTTTGTTGCATTGCTGATTAGTAGCTGCATTCCTTTGGAAGAGGAGTGGTGCTCTGATTTTTAGAGTTTCTGGTTTTTCCGCTCTGTTTTTTTCCCCAACTTTGTGGTTTTATCTATCTTTGGTCTTTGATGATGGTGACGTACAGATGGATTTTTGGTGTGGATGTCCTTTCTGTTTGTTAGTTTTCCTTGTAACAGTCAGGACCCTCAGCTGCAGGTCTGTTGGAGTTTACTGGAGGTCCACTGCAGACCCTGTTTGCCTGGGTATCAGCAGTGGTGGCTGCAGAACAGCAGATATTGGTGAACCACAAATGCTGCTGCCTGATCGTTCCTCTGGATGTTTTGTCTCAGAGGAGTACTGGGCAATGTGAGGTGTCAGTCTGGCCCTACTGAGGGGTGCCTCCCAGTTAGGGTACTCGGGGGTCAGGGACCCACTTGAGGAGGCAGTCTGCCTGTTCTCAGATCTCAAGCTGCGTGCTGGGAGAACCACTACTCTCTTCAAATCTGTCAGACAGGGACATTTAAGTCTGCAGAGGTTATTGCTGTCTTTTGTTTGTCTGTGTCCTGCCCCCAGAGGTGGAGCCCACAGAGGCAGGCAGGCCTCCTTGAGCTGTGGTGGGCTCCACCCAGTTTGAGCTTCCTGGCCACTTTGTTTACCTACTCAAGCCTGAGCAAAGGCGCCCCTCCCCCAGCCTCGCTGCTGCCTTGCAGTTTGATCTCAGACTGCTGTCCTAGCAATGAGTGAGGCTCCGTGGGCGTAGGACCCTCTGATCCAAGTGCGGGATATAATCTCCTGGTGTGTCCTTTGTTAAGCTTGTTGGAAAAGCACAGTATTAGGGTGGGAGTGACCCGATTTTCCAGGTGCCATCTGTCACCCCTTTCTTTGACTAGGAAAGGGAATTCCCTGATCCCTTGCACTTCCTGGGTGAGGTGATGCCTCGCCCTGCTGCTGCTCATGCACGGTGCACTGCACCCACTGTCCTGCACCCACTGTCCAGCACTCCCCAGTGAGATGAACCCAGTACCTCCGTTGGAAATGCAGAAATCACCCATCTTCTGCGTCGCTTACGCTGGGAACTGTAGACTGGAGTTGTTCCTATTCGGCCATCTTGGCTCCACCCCCTCTATATGCCACTTTCTGATGGGACTCAGAAAACTAAACTTTCCTTTGATAATTTGTGCCCTCTTGGATCCTTCAAATATGGGTGCCAGAGAAAGACTAGGAGGAAAGAAAAGAGGTGAAGGGGTTTGTTTCTTCCAGTTTGCCTGCTGTTCCTGACACCATTGTTTCAACAATAGCCTTTCATCCAGGCAACAGTAGTTGATTCCAGTTTCCTATTTCTTCCCACACTCTAGAACTAGTCTCATCACACACCCTCAGAAATACTGGCACCAGTCAGCTGGCAGCTGCTTCTCAGAATTCTGAACCACAGCTCTGAATATGAGGTCCCCTTTCAAAGTTTCTGAGGTAGAAGCAGCAGCCAGGCAACACCCTCTTCACAGATGTCTTGGTCCCAGCTCTGCAGGCATTTCCTTTGAGCTCCTAGATTCTGATAATCCCAATTTCTTCCCTTTGTTCCCTCATACCTAGGGTGTTCCCTCAGTTTGCTGTTTCCTGCAGTTATCATCTTGGTGTTACTTCAGTGTTACTTTTTTTTTGTTTTTTCATTCCTTAAACATCTATTCTACCAATTCCCTATATTAAATTCTTTGTTAAAATAGTGTGGTTTCTGGGCCCTTCATGATACAAAAGTGACATGAGCACAATGTGCTCTGGGAGCTCAGAGTAGAAATCTCACAGAGACTGAGATGATTAGATAATGTAAAATTGAGAACTGGACTGAGTCCTAAAAAATTAACTAAGCCAAATAAAGGAGAGGTGGGGAAAGGGAAAGTGTTCCAGGCAAAAGTAATAACATGTGCAAAGTTATGCAGATGATAGAGAGCATAAATGGATCAGGAGAAATAGAGTAGTTCCGTACGATTAGAATAGGATATGAAGGAAAACAAGTTTGACATGATGATAAATAAAGAAGAAGAGCCAGTAAAACTTGTTGATTAATTAGAGTTAGAAGATAGATTTGGGAAAAGAAGGAAGAAGGTAGAGTCTAGGGGTACACCTAGGTATCTTGCTTGTGTGACTGGATGGAAGAACAGGTTTGGGAAGGAGGTAAAAAAGCAGTGACTATTTTCTCATCAGTCAATCACAAACACAAAGCTGGAAGCCAAAGAAAGACAAAGCTAGAAGCCAGCATAATTAAAGTTCACATATCTTCCTACTATTTTGTAGCTGTGTGATTTTAATCATTGAACTGCCTTGAGAGTAAGTTTTAGTGCCAAGCAAACAGGGATAACAATGCAATAGAACTGTGTGTAATCATAAGGACAGCTCCATTTATTGAGCTCATGTTGTAATAACAACCATAACAATAAAAGAGCTAACACTGAGGGATTGATGGAAGGTTCTATACTAGGTGCTTTACACATATTTTTCATCTTAATGCCAGTGTTTTAAATTTCTAGTAAAATAAAAACACTGTTATCAGGACAGTAAGCCCATTTGGGGGCCCTTTACAGGAGGGAGGAAAAAAGCACAGATGTCACACATAGCATGCATGAACTTCATAAAATTATTTCTGAGCATCTTTTTATTTTACCTAAGGTCTCTGTCTTAGAAACAGTCCTGTTTTCTCTCTCTTCAAATCTCCAATCCCCTGACAGTCACTGCCCTGCCATGCTCCCCCCATTTACCCACAAGCACCCTCTCCAGTCTCCTAGTAGTAGCCCAAACTCATTATTTTCAACAAGGTCAAAATTTTGATTTTCTCTCAGGTCTTTATCTATGTCCTCATACACAAAAACAAGCTCTGCAACAACTGACCCCCTTCTTCGAAACTCCTTTTTAAAAGGCAACAGAAAATTTAAATAATAGAATCTCTCTCAAATGTTTAAAGATACACTCTGCCCCAAAAGTACCCCCAAATTACATTTCAGGTAAAAGTTGGTTCACAGAAGAAAGAGACAAGTCAGGACCTCCTGAAACATAGAACCACCCCATAGTTCTGTTATGTAAGCTTGGCATCACATATCCATATTCTTGAATCATGGTTGTCACATACATTTTTTGAAATGCTGTTGAGATGATCAAATGAGAAAACATGTATAAAGTATCTATTATGATACAAATCCATTTGATGCAGTACTTATATTTCATTAAAATATTTTAAATGTCTATAATTTCATGATATTGGCTAGTTTTCATTTTATTTATATTAACCATCCATGTTAAATGATAGGTTTTCAATATGTGTAGTGATATAAAGTTTCATTTTAAAATGATTAAGTTAGAATAAGTGACTCAATTTTAATAAGTATATTAACAACAACAAAGCTGACGTGCAAACAAGACAAAAATCCTAAAGATGGTACATGAATGGCTGAGAGCTACACGATGGCACCCTATGTCATGGTGTGCTAAGAAGAACTGTACTACCCATTAAACAGAATATTACAAAGAAAATAATCCAAGTTTTTGGCCCTCTAATACCTCAGAGCTGCTGAGAAGTGTTTACTTAGCAATAGAGACACAGAAGTAACGTATATGATACCTATATAAAATACTATCTACTATGCTAAATACACATTCAAAAAAGTGTGCATGTGTAGGGGGGTTCTCCTATTAGAGTCACTGCCAAATATTAATCTATTCAGTAAATGTTCAATGATGCCTACCAAACTGTAGACCTTGTTCTGGATGTTGGATATGCAAAAACAACAAAATTTAGTCCTTGCCATCAAGGATCTTGCAGTTAATAGGAGGAGGATGCAGACAAATAATCATAAACACTCAACAAAGGACAAAATACTGAAATTAGAAGTCAGAGAAGTTCCCAGTGAGAACAAGGGAAGGACAAAGAGAAAGAAGAATCTAGGAAATATGCTAAGGTGGCATGACCACAGAAGTAGAACAAAAACCACCATAAATGACTCCTTGAGAGAGTGGAAATGCTCACCTGTACTTGACAATTCCATTGATCATTGGGTTCACGTCCTTGATTCTGTTGATATAAGCCTGAACAACATCTATACATTTCACCTGCAAAATACAATACTTTAGTCAGCAGCCATTTATTCACTAAACAATTCATTCAACAAGTATTTCCTGAAAGACTCCTATGTACATTAATCATTTTTTGAGACACTTTCAGTGAATTACACAGTGTAGTCCCCCATGAGGCAAAATATGAAGCTAAGGAGGTATAAGATGTCTACTTTGAAGGTAAGAAGTCAGGAATATACCAGTATAAGAAAGTTCCAAACAATGAGTAGGGATAAAAGGAATAAACTCTGCTGAAATTAAATATAAATTGGAGTTCAGAGATATTATGTATATATACTAAACTAGCAAATATTTTGTTCTAGTAAATAATCAATAAAAAAATAGATATTGTTTCAGTAATACACTGAAACTTAACAGTATACATCAACTCTGCAAAACCAAGAGTTGGAGAGTGGAGACATAAAAGGGCATAAAGTTAGGGTTTCCAGATAAAATACAGGAAATCAAGTTAAATTTGAATTTCAAATGAATAGAGAGTAATTTTTAATATAAGTATGTCCCAATAATTGCATGAGGATGATTATACTGAAATCTATTTGTTATTTATCTTAAATTTAAATTTAGCTAAGCATATTGTACTTTTGTTTGCTAAATTTACCAACACTAAACCAAAGGTCTTAAGTTAAGCATGTGAGCAGGAATGAGACAAGTAAAACATCCTGGGTGGGTGCTACAGGATTATAATTTAATTATTATATACAATTGTAGTTTTAATGTTAATTCTTAGACATGAGACAATAAACATTAGAAAATTGCAAAGCAAAACAGAACCCCCAAGTAATGAGGAGAGAAAAATAATTAAAAAGAAATCAGATCAAGACAGAAAAAAGAAGGAAAGGAAAAGAAAAAGCAAGTATGATAAATTATAAACATTACATCAAGTGAAAAGGATTAAACCAATTACATAATAAGTGTGAAGGACTGAATTCCCCTGCCAGAGGGCAAAAGCATTAAATTTGGTTTTAAAAAAAGCTCAGCTATACAATGTTTATATGAAATTCATCTGGAACAAAAAGACAATGAAAGATTGAAAACAAAGAGTTAGGCAAACATATACTAGGTGAAAACAAACAATAAGAAAGGAGAGGTGGTATCATTAATATTAGAGAAAGCAAATT